>NC_000013.11:113063160-113368090 GCF_000001405.40 Homo sapiens
CTCAGGCACAACGTGCCCATTTACGAAGGAGGCAGCTGAGACACAGAGTGGGCGGCTGGCCTGCGGGCGAGTGGGACCCACATCTGGGTCCACACAGGTCCGAAGCCAGGCGCCCCTGTCCACACAGCCACCCACAATGTCCAGGCGCCCCCATCCGCTCAGCTGCCTACAGTGTCCAGACACCCCTGCCTGCACAGCCGCCCACAGCGTTCAGGCGTCCCTGTCCACACAGCTGCCCACGGTGTCCAGACACCCCTGTCCACACAGCCGCCCACAGCGTTCAGGCGTCCCTGTCCACACAGCCGCCCACAGCGTTCAGGCGTCCCTGTCCACACAGCTGCCCACAGCGTTCAGGCGCCCCTGTCCACACAGCCACCCACGGTGTCCAGGGTTTGGATAAAATCTAGGCTTGGCTTTGCAAGCAGTCAGACGGGACCACAAAATGGGTCTCCTGAGGTTTAGCTCAGGGGTTATTTGACACCACATCATGTTTTATTAAATACCGTATCAGTCTAGAGTGGGGACTCCACTGGGGGTGATTTTGCCAGATAGTCACGGCAGCAGAGGTGCCGGGGCCACTGTTCTCCCTCATGTCTCCTTTCTACGGCTGAGTTCAGCACACGGCACTGAAACACGGACACACACGTGTCAACAACTGCATCCTTCACATCATCCACTCTAATTTCAAGAATTATCTAAGTGGGGCTGTGAGTTTGAAGATGCCGGTGATTTCTGTGAAACCCATTTTGACGGCTTGCTGTGGAGCCGTTGTGCAGGGGAGCCTGTGGCATGGATGACCCGTGAGGTCGGTCTTGCTCCCCGTGACACGTCTGTGGTCACAAAGCCTATGGCTAGTGTGCAGTGCCTGCCAAATAGCAGGGAAGGAGGGCGCACGGAGTTATCTCCATCATAAGGGCCATAACACACACACGCCACCACGAGAGGAGGTGTCGGCGGGGCGCTGAGCTGCATCCCATCCGCACATCCATCCGCAGTGTCCAGGTGCCCCCACCCACACAGCCGCCCGCAGCATCCAGGCAGACGTGGTCCTCTCTGTGCTGCTGGGTGTTCTGCTGATGGGGCAGCTCTTTTGGGAGCCAACAATAATCCCAAACACTACCACGCATTCCCTTTCTCCTCCAGGTCATAATGCTGAGCTCCGTACCAGACTTACACGGTTACATCGATAAGTCGCAGCTGACCGAGGACCTGGGTGGGACCCTGGACTACTGCCACTCCCGGTGGCTGTGCCAGCGCACGGTGAGCCGCGTCGGGGCCAGCGGGGCTGGCTGATACCAGCTCGAGTACTTCCACAGAATCGCTCTTGCATTACAACACGGCCCTTTCCAAAAACACATTCACATTAACAGTCGTTTTCTTTCCCAAGAATGAGGAGATGGTCTCAGTGGACCTTAGTCATTGTAAAGAAGTAACGTGAGTCATAAGTTTGGGAGTGGCTTTCTCTGGGCTTGGAGACCAAAAAAAAAAAAAAAACCCTTGCGTTGTGGTTTGCAACACTCACTGCTCTCAACGGGGAGAGGCAGCGCAGGCACAGGCGACTCTAGGTGACGGGCACACGTGTAGAGTGTGCCTGGTATGTTTCTGAAGAGGTCAAGGAGGGCAGGACGCTATGGGAGGGCGTTCACCGTCTTTGCGTCAGCCGGTCTCACCTGATGGGTCTGTGTGGGAACGGTTTCCGCCGGTGTCTGCTTTCAGGGCAGCAGGAGGTGGGTGCAGTGCACAAGGCATGCAATTGTGTTTTCTCTGTCCCCAAGGCCATCGAAAGTTTCGCCCTCATGGTGAAGCAGACGGCTCAGATGCTGCAGTCCTTCGGGACCGAGCTGGCTGAAACAGAGCTGCCCAATGACGTCCAGTCGACAAGCTCAGTGCTGTGTGCGCACACAGAGAAGAAGGACAAGGCGAAGGTACATGGGGGGTGCTCCGGCTGGAAGCTGTGGGGGGCTCCGGTCAGTCAGAAGCTGCGCGGGGCTCCGGTCGGAAGCTGCGGGGGGTCTTTCGTCCCAGCGGGAGTTTGTGTCAGCAGCACGTAAGACCAAGAAGTCAGCAGGCTTGAGATGCCTTTTGATGGCAATTAGCTCGGCAACCTCTCCGACGAGAACGGAATAAAAGGAGTGTAAATGAACCCTGTAGATTGCTGGCTGCGCCTGCCATTCTGGCGTTGGGTCAACCATTGGCCCTGGGTGGCCGTGGCTTCAGGAGTGGGACCAGGGGTGGCTCCTCTCAGGAGCACTTTTGGCTGTCTGTGCGGGGAGCTCCCGAATAGACATCTCTTGCTTCTGAGTGTGACCGAGACAGGATGTCTGTGCCGGTTTCTCATGCCGAGCAGGCGATGAAGTGGCGGTTGGAATTCCTGTTTGCAGAACACTCCCAGTGCTCACGTGTCCACAGCGCTTGCTGGAACAAACGTATTCTGAGGAGCACGTGCTCCCTGCTCTGTGCTGCCCCTGGCCCACCGGCACGCTGCTGGCTTTGCAGCAATGGTAGCCCAGGGCCATGACCTGCTGGTGTGTCCCCGAGGACTGTGCCTCTGTGCTCACCGGGCCGCTCCACCGTGAGGACACTGAGGACCAGGAGCAGGCACCATGAGAAAGCCTGGTCTCCAGTGACTCTTTCACCTTAACCCGTTGCCCTGAGTGCCCTGTAATGGCAGCTCTGCCCCGGGGCACACAGGAGTGAGGGAGGCCCCCACATCACCCCGCCTGCCCGCACGACCCCACAGAAGAGACTGGGAAGACTCGGGGGTCGGGGATTGACCCCTTCCTCAGTCCCCGCCCCCTCAAGAGCAAGGCCCCACGAGGCCTCACCACCAGCCTGCGCTGTGTGCCTGGACGGGGCCGGGACATGAGGCTGCATTCTCTCCACAGGAGGATTTGAGGCTGGCACTGAAAGAGGGGCACAGTGTCCTGGAGAGCCTCAGGGAGCTGCAGGCTGAGGGCTCAGAGCCCAGTGTGAACCAGGACCAGCTTGACAACCAGGCCACCGTGCAGAGGTGAGGCCCGGCTGCCTTCCTGCCCTCATCCTGTCCCAGTCCATGGCAGGATCCTCTCAGGCACACAGCTTCTGCAAAAGAAACAGGCCACGGAAATAGCAAGCAGCGTGGCAGGCAACCCCACTCCTGGCCAGGGCCAGCACAGCAGCCGGCCTCCGAGCCTCTGTGTGGGCCTGGCTCCTCCTGCTGAAATGCTTTTCTCTCGAACCCCACAGAAAGCCACTGTTTTGGGGACAATTTCCTAGAGCAAACGCCCTTTTGCCGGCATGAAGGAGGCGTTAGGGGAAGCAGAGGCGATGGGAGTGCCTTAGACCTGGGGCTTCTGCATTCCAAGCGGGGCTTCCACAGACAGGGAGAAAGCCTGGGGTTCTCCTTGCTGCAGATAGTGTTTCTTACTTTCATTGTGAAAGGTGTGATTCTCATATTTCTCCCTTGGGCTTCCAGCTTTATAGCAGCACAGGGTAGGGCACTCGTGTGGTTGGCATGGTGCTCTAGGATGTCCAGAACTCCCTGAGCATCCCCCTCACCCCCCGAGAACTCCCCGAGCCTCCCCCCGTCCCATCCTCCCCAAGACTCCCCAAGCCTCCCATGTCCCATCTCGCTGGTGGGTGCTATCAGCCCTGCCTCCGAGCTGAGGAGCAGGGCCCGCACAGCTGGACAGCGGCTTGTCCGGCAGGGCCGTGCGGGGCGCACCCAGGCCTGGACCAAGCTGGTCCTTTTGACTCTCAGCTGCCTTTGACTCCCACGCAGCGTGGCCCACACCCTGAGCTGCCTTCTCTGCCAGGGACATGCCAAGGGCCCCGGGGACTCGACGGCGCATCCTTGAGGGGCTCCTCGTAGATGGGGTGCCGTGACCCACGAGGCAGAGGCTGCAGCACAGCCCATGAGGGTGGGCCCTGCCCTGGCCTGTGTCAGGCACCTTGTCAGCTTCCCAAAGACTCAGTTTCCTCATCTGTAAAGTGACGCTGATCCGTGCACACGCCTGGCAGGGTGGGCGTGGGGCTGACTGGGTGGTGCACAGCTGGAGTCCCAGCTACGCGGAGGCAGAGGTCGCAGTGAGCCGAGATTGCACCTGGGTGGTGCACAGCTGGAGTCCCAGCTACGCGGAGGCAGAGGTCGCAGTGAGCCGAGATTGCACCTGGGTGGTGCACAGCTGGAGTGCCAGCTACTCGGAGGCAGAGGTCGCAGTGAGCCGAGATTGCACCTGGGTGGCGCACAGCTGGAGTGCCAGCTACTCGGAGGCAGAGGTCGCAGTGAGCCGAGATTGCACCTGGGTGGCGCACAGCTGGAGTCCCAGCTACGCGGAGGCAGAGGTCGCAGTGAGCCGAGATTGCACCTGGGTGGTGCACAGCTGGAGTGCCAGCTACTCGGAGGCAGAGGTCGCAGTGAGCCGAGATTGCACCTGGGTGGTGCACAGCTGGAGTGCCAGCTACGCGGAGGCAGAGGTCGCAGTGAGCCGAGATTGCACCTGGGTGGTGCACAGCTGGAGTCCCAGCTACGCGGAGGCAGAGGTCGCAGTGAGCCGAGATTGCACCTGGGTGGTGCACAGCTGGAGTCCCAGCTACGCGGAGGCAGAGGTCGCAGTGAGCCGAGATTGCACCTGGGTGGTGCACAGCTGGAGTCCCAGCTACGCGGAGGCAGAGGTCGCAGTGAGCCGAGATTGCACCTGGGTGGTGCACAGCTGGAGTCCCAGCTACGCGGAGGCAGAGGTCGCAGTGAGCCGAGATTGCACCTGGGTGGTGCACAGCTGGAGTGCCAGCTACTCGGAGGCAGAGGTCGCAGTGAGCCGAGATTGCACCTGGGTGGTGCACAGCTGGAGTGCCAGCTACTCGGAGGCAGAGGTCGCAGTGAGCCGAGATTGCACCTGGGTGGTGCACAGCTGGAGTCCCAGCTACTCGGAGGCAGAGGTCGCAGTGAGCCGAGATTGCACCTGGGTGGTGCACAGCTGGAGTCCCAGCTACGCGGAGGCAGAGGTCGCAGTGAGCCGAGATTGCACCTGGGTGGTGCACAGCTGGAGTGCCAGCTACTTGGAGGCAGAGGTCGCAGTGAGCCGAGATTGCACCTGGGTGGTGCACAGCTGGAGTCCCAGCTACGCGGAGGCAGAGGTCGCAGTGAGCCGAGATTGCACCTGGGTGGTGCAACGCTGGAGTGCCAGCTACTCGGAGGCAGAGGTCGCAGTGAGCCGAGATTGCACCTGGGTGGTGCACAGCTGGAGTGCCAGCTACTCGGAGGCAGAGGTCGCAGTGAGCCGAGATTGCACCTGGGTGGTGCACAGCTGGAGTGCCAGCTACTCGGAGGCAGAGGTCGCAGTGAGCCGAGATTGCACCTGGGTGGTGCACAGCTGGAGTCCCAGCTACTCGGAGGCAGAGGTCGCAGTGAGCCGAGATTGCACCTGGGTGGTGCACAGCTGGAGTCCCAGCTACGCGGAGGCAGAGGTCGCAGTGAGCCGAGATTGCACCTGGGTGGTGCACAGCTGGAGTGCCAGCTACTTGGAGGCAGAGGTCGCAGTGAGCCGAGATTGCACCTGGGTGGTGCACAGCTGGAGTCCCAGCTACGCGGAGGCAGAGGTCGCAGTGAGCCGAGATTGCACCTGGGTGGTGCAACGCTGGAGTGCCAGCTACTCGGAGGCAGAGGTCGCAGTGAGCCGAGATTGCACCTGGGTGGTGCACAGCTGGAGTGCCAGCTACTCGGAGGCAGAGGTCGCAGTGAGCCGAGATTGCACCTGGGTGGTGCACAGCTGGAGTCCCAGCTACGCGGAGGCAGAGGTCGCAGTGAGCCGAGATTGCACCTGGGTGGTGCACAGCTGGAGTCCCAGCTACGCGGAGGCAGAGGTCGCAGTGAGCCGAGATTGCACCTGGGTGGTGCACAGCTGGAGTGCCAGCTACTCGGAGGCAGAGGTCGCAGTGAGCCGAGATTGCACCTGGGTGGTGCACAGCTGGAGTGCCAGCTACGCGGAGGCAGAGGTCGCAGTGAGCCGAGATTGCACCTGGGTGGTGCACAGCTGGAGTCCCAGCTACGCGGAGGCAGAGGTCGCAGTGAGCCGAGATTGCACCTGGGTGGTGCACAGCTGGAGTGCCAGCTACTCGGAGGCAGAGGTCGCAGTGAGCCGAGATTGCACCTGGGTGGTGCACAGCTGGAGTCCCAGCTACGCAGAGGCAGAGGTCGCAGTGAGCCGAGATTGCACCTGGGTGGTGCACAGCTGGAGTGCCAGCTACGCGGAGGCAGAGGTCGCAGTGAGCCGAGATTGCACCTGGGTGGTGCACAGCTGGAGTCCCAGCTACTCGGAGGCAGAGGTCGCAGTGAGCCGAGATTGCACCTGGGTGGTGCACAGCTGGAGTCCCAGCTACGCGGAGGCAGAGGTCGCAGTGAGCCGAGATTGCACCTGGGTGGTGCACAGCTGGAGTCCCAGCTACGTGGAGGCAGAGGTCGCAGTGAGCCGAGATTGCACCTGGGTGGTGCACAGCTGGAGTCCCAGCTACGCGGAGGCAGAGGTTGCAGTGAGCCGAGACTGCACCACTGCACCCAGCCCAGGTGATGGAACCAGACCCTATCTCAAAAAATAAATTTTAAAAAAAGTTTTTAAACTTTTAAAAAATAAAAATGAACAAACTCGGCGGCTCAGCCTAGTCGCAGTGACCTAGAGGGAGAGAAGCAGGAAGGAAAGGACACAGCCCCTGATGCTTTCTCCAGGGCCTCCCTCCCATGCTGACGGCCCTGAGTGCCCGCGCCCGCAGATCCCAGGTTTAGGTGCAGGGAGTGAGCGGAGGCCAGGATCTCAGGAAGGCCCGGGGTGGAGATGAGCCTTGGGGTCGCTTGAACACCCACCGCGCTCCACGTTGCATGGGGCGCCGTGGGCCACACAGACGGTCAACTCCTCCTCTTTCCCAGGCTCCTGGCCCAGCTGAACGAAACCGAGGCTGCCTTCGATGAGTTCTGGGCAAAGCATCAGCAGAAACTGGAGCAGTGTCTGCAGCTCCGGCACTTTGAGCAGGGCTTCCGGGAGGTGAGTGGCCCTGGGTGGAGCCGGCAGCCGCCCTGATGCTCACGGGGCCTCCTGTGCCTGCGCCCTGGTCCCAGTGCCGGGAGCTGAGCCGTGCCACCCAGTTGACTTTGGCTTAATGCAGAAAAGTCTCCGCTTGCCAGGTGGAGCCTGTGAGATTAAGTCAGGCTGAGCCTTGAAATGCACGATTGATGACTGCGTCATTGTATAGAAAGGTGATTGAAAATCAGCTCACTGGGATGCACTTACACTGCATTATTCGTAAAGTAGCAGGAAGCCTTTGCTCTCCCTTCATAGTCATTTGCATGCCCTTTTATTCAACATGCATGTAGGATGTGCCTGCTGTGTGCCAGACTGTAGGACGGCGTCACAGTCATGAGGTGCACAGCGACACGGCCAGTGCAGCCAGACCCAGACGTCTCCCTCCTGCGGCCCTTCGTGGACTCACCCATGTCCCTCCTCAGCCCCCGGCAACCACTCATCTGTTTCCGTGGCTGTGCTTTTGCCATTTCAAGAATGTGACATTAATGAATCCCACAGAATGTCACTCTCGGGATTTGTTTGTTTGCTCAGCACAGCTCTCTGCAGACCCCCAGGTGCCGGTGGCTCACTCATTGTGTTCCCCGGTGTGGACGGACCACAGTTCTTTCAATCATTCACCTGTTGAAGGGTATCTGGGTTGTTTCCGGATTTGAGTATTACAGATAAAGCTGTTACAAACATTGATATACTGATGTTGGTGTAAATGTAAGTTTTCATTTCTTGGGCTTAAGTGCCCAGAATGTAATTGCAGGGTTATATAGTAGTTGCATGTTTCGTTTAAGAAAATGCCAAACGGTTCTCAGTGTATGAGAGACTAGTTGCTTCCCCTTTCCCCAGCACGTGGTGGGGTAGTGATTCTTCATATTATGCTCACATCCTGATGTGTGTGCCATCTCACGGTGGTTTTCTGTTGCGTTTCCCCAGTGTTGATGGTGCTAAACACCTTTCCACGTGCTTATTTGCCATTCGCATATCCTCTTTGGTAAAATGTCTTATTTCTGTTGCCCATTTTCTAACTGGATTGTTTGGTTTTGTGCTTTTGTTTTACGGTTTTGTTACATTTTGAGAATTCCTTATATACTGCAGATACTAGTTCTTTGCCACATATGTGGTTTGCGAATATTTTCTCCTGGTCTGTAACTTGTCTTTTCATCCTCTTTAACAGGGTTTTTCACGTAGCCAAAGCATTTAATTTTGACGAACTCCAATTTGTCAATTTCTCCTTTTAAGGTTTATACTTTTGGTCCTAGATTCCAAGTATATTCCCCTAAGCCTTTTTCCCCTCAAATTTCATAGTTTTACATTGAAGTCTATGACCTAATTTGAGCTAATTTTTGTATAAGGTATGAGAATTAGATCATGATTTGTTTTACCTCTGGATGTCCAATTGCTGTAGCACTGTTTGTTGAAAAGGCCCTTTCTTCCACTGGATTTCTTCTCCACCGTTGTCAAAGCTCTGGGCACATTTGTGTGGGTCTGTTCTGGAGACTCTCTATTCAATTATGTTTATCTACATACCTCTTCCTCTGTCTGTACCACAAGGTCTTAATTGCTGCAACTATATAATGTCTTGAAATCAAGTACACTCATTCTTCCCTCTTTGTTTTCTTTTTCAAAATTGTGTTAGCTTCTAGTTCTTTTGCCTTTTCATGGCAATTTTAAAATTATCTTGTCTACATATATGAAAACAAATTTCCTGGGGTTTTCATAGGAGTTGTGTTAAACCTATATTTTAAGGAGAAGAAATGTCTTTACTGTGTTGACTCTTCTAGTCAACAAACATGGTATTCCCAACATTTGATTTCTTTCATCAGTGTCGAGTAGTTCTCAGCACACAAGTTCAGTACGTATTTTGTTTGACTTACCTTTAATATTCCACTTTAAGAAGTCATCACAGTATTATATTTTTAATTTTGGCATTTATGTATTCATTGCTGCACATAGAAACACAATTGATTTTTGTATATTTATCTTGTCTCCTGCGACCTTGCTGAGCACACGTATTTGAGATGGTTTTTTGTGAAGTCCTTGACATTTTCCATATAGACCATCATGTCATGTGCAAATAAGGACAGTTTGGTTTCTTCCTTTTTGAAGATATGCCTTTTATTCTACCCCCCACCCACAACACCCTGCCCCACTGCGTACTGCCCCAACTAGAGCTTCCACCATATGATAAGAGTGGCGAGACTGGACATCTCTGCTTTGTCCCCAACCTTAGGAGGAAAGTGTTTAGTTTTTCACTGTCAGGTGTAATGTTAGTTGTAGGATTCTTGTAGATGCTCAATAAAACTATCTGGGCCTAGAGATTTCTTTGGGAGACTTTTAAAATTATGAATTCAGTGTCCTTAATAGTTACGCAACTATTGAAACTATCTGTTTCACAATGAGATATAGTAGTGTGCTTTTCAAGGCAATGTGTAGGGTTGTTTATAGTATTCTTTCTTATCTTTTTGACGTCTGCAGGGTCTGTAGTGATATTCCCTGTTTCATTTCTGATATTTGTAATTTGCATCTTTTCCTTTTTTCTTTGTCAATCTAGATTGAGATGTATCACTCCTCATCTTTCCAAAGAACTCGTTCTTTGTTTCATTAGTTTTCTCTGTTGTTTTCTGTTCTCAGTTTCATTGATTTCTGATCCTACCTTTATTATTTCTACAAATTGCTTTGGTGGGAACTTACATTCTTTATTTGAGACTGTTCCTCTTTTCTAACATACATATTTAATAAGAACACTATAAATTTCCCTCTCATCACTGATTTAGCTGTGTTCCACAAATTTTGATGTATTGTATTTTCTTTTTCATTTACTCCAGCTTTTTTTTTTTTTTTTTCCAATTTCCCTTGGAACTTCCTCTTTGACCCATCCATTCTTTAAATGTATGTTGTTTGGCTTCCAGTGTTCAGAGATTTTCCCGTTGTCTTTCCATTCTTGATTTCAAGTTTGATTCATTGTAATCAGAGAACATACTCTGTATGATTTCTGTTCTTATAAATGTGTTGAGATTTGTTTTGCAGCCCAAGAATATGGTCTTTCTTGGTATATGTTCCTCACTTGAAAAGAATGTGTATTCTGCTATTGTTAGGTGAAGTTTTATACATATCAGTTAGATCCTGTTGGTTGATGGTATTGAGTTCTTCTATATCCGAGCTAGTTTCTGAGAGGTGGTGCATTATCCATAACTCAGTGGCTGTGCGTAACATGGAGAGAAGTCTCACTCATCAGCTGTGCCAGATGCAGGGGGTTCAAGGATGGACAAGAATCCTGCCTTCCTGGCCTTCAACCCCAGGCCATCTGAACTACAACCCCCTTGGCACTGGGATGTCTGCGTACACACCCATTCTCAGGATCATTTCCAATAACAAAAATTAAAAGCTTTTGTATTTAAAGGAATAAGTGGTCATATGTTTTAAAAATCAGGCCAGGCATGGTGGCTCACACCTGTAATCCCAGCACTGTGGGAGGCCAAGACGGGTGGATCACCTGTGGTCAGGAGTTCAAGACCAACCTGGCCAACATGGTGAAACCCCATCTCTACTAAAAATGCAAAAATTAGCTGGGCGTGATGGCTGGTGCCTGTAATCCCAGCTACTTGGGAGGCTGAGGCAGGAAAATCACTTGAACCAGAGAGGCAGAGGTTACAGTGAGCCAAGATCACGCCACTGCACTCCAGCCTGGGCAACAAGAACAAAACTCCGTCTCAAAAAAAAAAAATTAAAAATTAAAATAAAAATCATTTCTATGACACCCATTGTCTTCCTGCCAACAGCAGAAATCGTAGACATTAGAAGTTAGTAGCAAGCTAGAAGGGACTGAGTTACATAACTCTCCACACCTAGGATCCAGTAGGAATGCTGACAATTCCAGTGTCCATATTGCTGCTGGCTTTCGGCTCCCAGGGCCTTTGTCCTTGCGTGATCTCATCTTCTCCTCATGCTGTTTTCAGGCGTGTGGTTGATAAACGGAGGCACACACAAGCCACAGAGAAACAATTGTTCTGCCAGTGAGGTCACTGGTGGGTAGCGTCGACCCAGAGGCCCCACGGTCCCCGCTTGATTGGTGACCACTCGGGGCCGACTTTGCACCTGTCTGACTGTGGTCCCTGCTTGATTGATGACCACTTGGCCCGACTTTGAATTCTGTCATTTCCCTGATCTGGAGCACTGGAGTGGGTTCTCTCTGTTCAGGTGAGGGAGACACCCCCCTGAGATGGGCCCTCCTCTGTTCCAGGTCAAAGCCATCTTGGACGCAGCGTCCCAGAAGATAGCAACCTTCACAGACATCGGCAACAGCCTGGCGCATGTGGAGCACCTGCTGAGGGACCTGGCCAGCTTCGAGGAGAAATCAGGCGTAAGGCGGGGTCCCGGCGGGGGCGGCGGGAGAGTGTGGGCAGCATCATCAAGTGCTGCTCAGGAAGGCGCAGGAATGGGCCTCCCGCCTACGGAGAACGGACCCCACAGCCCCCCGGGGATGTCCATGGGGTGGGGGGTGCTGCTGCCTGTACCCCTCCCCTCCCACACCCCACCCACAGCACATGGCCCTGCCCGGCCTCCTCTGGGTCAGGTCCCTGCAGACGGTCAATGCCTTTGCTGGGACCACCACAGCCCCCAGAAGCACTTGCCACAGAACAGCTTCGGGGATTAAGCAGCATCTCAGGCATCCGCAGCAGTAAACAAAGAAATCAAGACACACGTGTGCCCCGGGACACACATCCCGTACAGCAAGGCACTGTGTGCCTCGAACAGAAAGAGGCCTGAGCTGGTCCTCTGGGTGGCCGTCCACAGGTGGCCGTGGAGAGGGCCCGGGCCCTGTCTCTGGACGGCGAGCAGCTCATTGGGAACAAGCACTACGCGGTAGACTCCATCCGCCCAAAGTGCCAGGAGCTCCGGCACCTCTGTGACCAGTTCTCTGCGGAGATCGCAAGGAGGAGGGGGCTGCTCAGCAAGTCCCTGGAGCTGCACCGCCGCCTGGAGACGGTAGGCCGAGCCGGACCCCACCCCACTCCCCCCCAGCTGCGGAACCAGCCTCTTCCTCCCACATCCACCACCGGCTGACCCTTGTCGTGGGGAGGGCAGCTCTTTGGCTGGAAAATGTCCTTGCACCCTTCGTTTCTGGTCTTGTTGGCCTAGAGGGTCTTTTTCTAGAATTCATTTGCCACAGTTTTATTTCTTTTTTTTTTTTTTTCTCACTGCAACCTCTGGTTCCTGGGCTCAAGGGATCCTCCCACCTCAGCCCCCAAGTAGCTGGGACTGTAGGTGCATGCCACCGTACCCAGCTAATTCTTGTATTTTGTGTGTGTGTGATAGAGATGGGGTCTCACTATGTTGCCCAGGCTGGTCTCGAACTCCTGGGCTCAGGTGATCCTCTCACCTTCACCTCTCAGAGTGCTGGGATTACAGGCGTGAGCCACCCTGCCCAGCCAATAATGATTTCTTTAAAAGATCCAGAAGCTTAAGGCCTGGTTGATCCTACTGCACTTACCCTGCCTCTCCAGGCCCCGCCCTGGGTAATTCACTGGTGTTGTCCAGCACTGTGTCCCCTTGGGATTGGCCTTGTCCAGCACTGTGTCCCCTTGGGATTGGCCTTGTCCAGCACTGTGTCCCCTTGGGGTGCTTTGGACAGGGTGGCGGGAGCACGAGGAGTCGGTGGCCCGGGATCTGTCGGGAGGACACCCCGGCAGTGTGTGCCTGGACAGGGTGACGCTCTCACCCTCTCACGGCGTCCTGCCCTCGGCAATGCTCTGTGTTTCCAGTCCATGAAGTGGTGTGATGAAGGGATTTACCTGCTGGCCTCACAACCTGTGGACAAGTGCCAGTCCCAGGACGGCGCGGAGGCTGCCCTCCAGGAAATCGAGAAGTTTTTGGAGACCGGTGCGGAAAATAAGATCCAGGAGCTCAACGCGATTTACAAGGAATACGAATCCATCCTCAACCAAGATCTCATGGTAACGCTGACTCGGGCTCTCCATTTGCAGCTTGCTGTCCCGAGCAGTGAGGCATTCCTCTGTGGGAAGTTTGAAAGAATCATTTAATGAATTATTTGTATTTATTTATTATTATTTTTTTTTTGAGATGGAATCTCGCTCTTGTCGCCCAGGCTGGAGTGCAGTGGCACGATCTTAGCTCACTGCAATCTCCGCCTCCCAGGTTCAAGCAATTCTCCTGCCTCAGCCTCCTGAGTAGCTGGGATTACAGGCGCCCACCACCAAGCCTGGCTAATTTTTGTATTTTTATTAGAGACAGGTTTTCACCATGTTGGCCAGGCTGGTCTCGAACTCCTGACCTCAGGTGATCCACCCAGCTCAACCTCCCAAAGTGCTGGAATGACAGGTGTGAGCCACCGCACCTGGCCCATTTAATGAATTACTACCAAATAATAGGCATATGAGAGAAACACACAGTTGGGAGGTCAAGCTGAATTTTCCTTTCAACACAGAAATTATTTCCACGCCAACCCTGCGAGGTGGCCATCCCGCCTCCGCTGGCAGACTTTGTGGCATGGGTGTGTTCTTCAGGAAGGGCCTGGCCCTGGGACCTGGTGATGCCCTTGAGACCAGGCTCCTCCTGAGCCCTCCACATGCCTGGGGAAGGCTGCAGGCCCCTCCCTCGCATGGAGCTGCCCTTTCCCGAGGCCGGGGCCCCGTCCCGTGTGGGGGCTGCATCCCCCTCTCCGTCCGTAGTGGCCAGGGCTGGACACAGCTGCGCTGCGCTGACAGACCCCGCATGGAGAACATTTAAAGCGGGGGTTGGGCGTGCCCCGGCACGTTCTGCGCCTGACTGTGTATTTTTAGTGATGACACCAACATGTGCAAGGCACCTTACTGAGCATGCGGTTTCAGGAGCACGTGCGAAAGGTCTTCCAGAAGCAGGCAAGCATGGAGGAGGTGTTCCACCGCAGGCAGGCCAGCCTGAAGAAGCTGGCGGCCAGGCAGACGCGGCCCGTGCAGCCGGTGGCCCCCAGACCCGAGGCACTGGCAAAGTCGCCCTGCCCCTCCCCAGGTCTGTGTGGCCGCCCGGTGCCCCGGGTGCTGTGGGACCCTCGGGGGAGCCCCGGGCGTTGAGAGCTTGGTACATCTGAGGCAGCCACCTGCGAAAACTGTCTCCACACGCCTCCTCCCCTTCCACCTCCGGGCCCCAGTTCAGGGCCTGAGGGCCGGTTCCCGCCACCCCTCACCCATGTTTATAAATGGAGTTTTGTCAGGACCCGGCCACGCCCATCCTGTGCCACGCACATCTTGTAGGCATCGTTGTGGCTGCTTTTCCATGAGGCTGGCAGGGTTCAGTGGTCTCAGTGAAGCCCACGTGGCCCAAAACTGGAAACACAGAGCTCCCACAGAGGAACCATCTCCGGCCTTCCCAGCTCCAGCCTCTCCACGGTCTGTCCTTTCCCGGTGCTATTGCCAAACAACATTCCTCACACACGGCCCAGACCCTGGGCTCCAGGAGCCCTGAAGAGCCACGTCCGCGCACCTCAGTCCGGCGCGCATTGCTGGTCCCAAACCCGCCCTCTATGCCGAGCCAGGCACGGCGCCATTTCCCAGAGACTTTCCCGCCACCTCTGTGTCTCAAAACGAACCCTCTTCCCATCCTTGCTGGTTTCTCACACACGAACCCACCAGGCGAGCTGCTGCCCCAGCTTTGGCGAAAGTCAGCTGTCAATCTCAGGGGCCCCGGGGGCCAGGCTCTTGCCTTCCTGTGCTGGGTCCCAGGCGACCTTATTTTCTGCCTGTTGGGAGCTCTCCCAGGTCGGAGCCCACAGGCGCTGTGTCCCCGTGGGCTGTGGGAACGTGGGGTGACTCAGGGCAGTGAGGCCCCACCGTCCTCCCCCTTCCCGCACCACCACCTGTGGCCTCAAAGGCCAAGTCCTGCCCACGCCACCACCTGTGGCCTCAGAGGCCAAGTCCTGCCCACGCCACCACCTGTGGCCTCAGAGGCCAAGTCCTGCCCACGCCACCACCTGTGGCCCCAGAGGCCAAGTCCTGCCCATGCCACCCCCTGTGGCCTCAGAGGCCAAGTCCTGCCCACGCCACCACCTGTGGCCTCAGAGGCCGAGTCCTACCCTCTCCTCGGGGCCTTTTCCCGCTGGGTGCACTTCCCCTCTCCAGAGGGTCAGAGGGGACTTCATGCCCCGCTCCCCTTCTTCCCAACAGGCATTCGGCGAGGCTCTGAGAACTCCAGCTCCGAGGGCGGTGCGCTCCGGAGAGGGCCCTACCGGAGGGCCAAGGTGAGGCTTGCCCAAGACAACCCCGCCATCCACACCCCCCTCCTTGGTTCACGCTGGGCCTGGTTCTCCGTGTGGCCCCCCCTCCCGGGCACTGCCCAGCTACCTGGCCAGCTCCCCATCGTGGGAATTCAGCCCTGTCCCCATACGGGAACTGGTGGGCTCTGGCCTTGAGAGTTGGCCCTTGAGGTTCCGTCCCGCCTTTCAGACCTGACGCTGTTTTTCTCCCCAGAGTGAGATGAGTGAGAGCCGGCAGGGCCGCGGCTCAGCGGGGGAGGAGGAGGAAAGCCTGGCCATCCTGCGCAGGTGGGTGCGCTGCCCTTCTGTCCTCACAGGGGCCCTCCGACCGCAGCCTGAACCACCAGATGCCGTCAGGCACTCGAGCAGATGCCTCACAGATAGAAGGCTGGTGCAGAAGTCATTGTGGTTCTTACTTTTGCACCAACCGATACCCAGAGGGCCTGCCGTGGCTCGAGCGTGTGTCCTGGTCCCCACCGCGTGAAGCACACACACGCCGCACACACACCACTCGGGATTCAGGAGGGAAGAGAGGGCGATGGCTGAATGCAACAGTGAAGGGGCATCTTCGCCCCAGCAAGAGCCTCCACCCGCCACTGCCATTCACAGGAGACACCACTCAAAGGCCCCAACCAGCACCAGCTGCAGCAGCAGTCACCAGCTGCTCAGGGCTCAGTGTGGCAGGCAGTGGTGCCAGGCAGCTGGTGTGTGGGAGGGCATCGTCTCCAGCCCTCCTTTTCCCCTGGGATTCCTGGACCCTCAAACTCAGGGAGTGTTGTGCAAACAAAAGCAGTTCTCTTTCCTCCTTCACCTTTAAGAAAGAAAGACCTCACTGGTGCAGGGCCAGGGAATGCAGGTCCCCAGAGCAAAACTGGGAAGGAGCCAAACACCCATGAGGCACACGCGGCTCCCTCCCAGAGGCCCTCGAGGAAGAGGAGGAGGCCACACACCGACCAGGCACCCGCCACTGGCTTCACACTTTGCACTGTCTCCGTTTTTAGTATTTGCACTGAATATGTTTGCAAGAGACGCTTGGAACCACGTCTCCCCCTTTCACCATCAAAACTCCAAAATCAGGAAAGAAGAAAAGGCTCTTCCTGATGTGTTGACAAGCAGGTGTCCGCAGGCAGCGCCAGTGTGACCCTGCAGGGTTGGGAGACGGCGCAAAATTGGGAATTACAGGAAACTGAGCTTGGTGTGAAAGCTGAGTCTGTCACTTCCGGCTTCTGATGGAAGCTGGTGAAACAGGATGGGAAGGAAGAGGGGCTTGCCAAGAAGCGTCCAGGCAGAGGATTGTCCACACGGAGGAGGGTCCAAGCAGAGGGGCGTCTGCACGGAGGAGGGTCCAGGCAGAGGAATGTCTGAATGGAGGAGGGTCCAGGCAGAGGAGAGTCCATACGGAAGAGGGTCCAGGCAGAGGGGCATCCGCACAGAGGAGGGTCCAGGCAGGGGAGTGTTCGTATGGAGGAGAGTCCAGGCAGAGGAGTGTCCATACCGAGGAGAGTCCAGGCAGAGGAACGTCTGAATGGAGGAGGGTCCAGGCAGAGGAGAGTCCATACGGAAGAGGGTCCAGGCAGGGGGGCATCCGCACAGAGGAGGGTCCAGGCAGGAGAGTGTTCGTATGGAGGAGAGTCCAGGCAGAGGAGTGTCCATACCGAGGAGAGTCCAGGCAGAGGAACGTCTGAATGGAGGAGGGTCCAGGCAGAGGAGAGTCCATACGGAAGAGGGTCCAGGCAGGGGGGCATCCGCACAGAGGAGGGTCCAGGCAGGAGAGTGTTCGTATGGAGGAGGGTCCAGGCAGAGGAGTGTCTGTACGGAGGAGGGTCCAGGCAGAGGAGTGTCCATACGGAGGAGGGTCTAGGCAGAGGGGCGTCCGCAGGGAGGAGCAGCAAGTGCTCGGCCCTGAGACGCAGAAGGAGTGGCCCTCGGCTGGCAGTTCCTGGGTTGTGAGAGGGAGTCCAGAGCCCTCTTGCTCCCCAGTCCTCTCCCCTGTGCCGAGTCCGGGGCCTCTGCGGGCCGACAGCTGTCTTAGAACAAGCTTGCTGAACAACCTCAACCCAGGACCAGCCCCCTGGCTCCAGTTTCTGTGCATCACATAAGCAGGCAGGGCCGTAGGCTGCTGAAAGGTGCTCACACCCACAGCAAGACCTGCGCAGCCAGCTTGTGCACCCTCCCCTTCTGGATCCAGTGTGGTGGGTGCAGGGTCACTCCCCGGACCACCACTGCCCACCTGCTGTGTGTGAGGGCGTGGGCAGGGGGCAGCTCCGGCGATGCCAGACCCCCGCCCTGGCCACGAGGGGCCACACAGATACCCACCACGAGGAAGGCTCAGGGAGGCCGGGCAGCAGGCGGGCGTCTTCTTGGCAGAAGAGACTCGGGTGGATTCTAGGGATGGGTCCTAGGAGTAGGATGACTTGCCCATGAGCGTGAGGAACTCAGCTCATTTTGCACAGGTGGGACCCAAAAGCCCAGGAGGCGAGTCTGGGAATCCCTCCTACCAGGCGGTGTGTGCCGGGCCAGGGGCAAGACACTGCCGGCCAGTCTGGGAACCAGGGAGGCTTCAGCCGCCGTCTGCAGGGTCTGAGGCCGCGAGCTGGGAGGGGAACCCCGAGGAGCGTCCAGCCTGTGGGCTTTGGGTCGCCGCCAGTCCCCTCCTGCTGGGCAGGCCATCATTCTAGGTGGCACCTGTGAGACTGTGGAGCAGACCATTCCTGCTCTCCCAGTGCTAACCTTTTTTGCTCTCCACATGACCTGCCACCAGGCACGTGATGAGCGAGCTCCTGGACACAGAACGGGCCTACGTGGAGGAGCTGCTGTGCGTCCTGGAGGTGAGGCTGGACTCGGGGAGGGCCGACTGCCACGGGGACTCCCCTGGGCCAGCTGGTGGGGCTTCCTCTGACAACTGCTGCTCGGAGCAGCCTGCTGTCCACCAAATGCATGTGAGAGAGCGCCCACAGCAGCCTGGTCGGGCCCCAGACGGGGAGCCCCTGGGGGCCTATCAACAAGACACAGACCAGGCAGCTCAGGGGGGTCCGTACAGGGGACAAGTGTAGTGATAAGAAAGAGGAGCTGACACACAACAGATGCACAAACCACACACACATCGTCACCAACACAGGCCACAGGGTGCCTGCGATTCCCGGCACGGGGCACTCCAGGGCAAGCAAAACTCGTCGGAGGTGGGAGGCAGATTAGAGGTGACCTTGGCAGTGGGCTGTTGCCTGGGTGAGCTTGATGTGAGTGGTGGTCACCTGAGTATAGACAGGCATCTCATTCACCCAGTGTGCACAGGTAGTGATCACCTGAGTGTAGACAGCGAGTGTGCACAGGTGGTGGTCACTTGAGTGTAGACGGGTGTCCGAATCACCGAGTGTTCAGAGGTGGTGGTCACCCAAGTGTAGACGGGTGTCTGATTCACCGAGTGTGCACAGGTGGTGGTCAACTGAGTGTTGACAGGTGTCTGATTCACTGAGTGTGCACATGTGGTCACCTGAGTGTAGACAGCGAGTGTGCACATGTGATCACCTGAGTGTAGACAGCGAGTGTGCACAGGTGGTGACCACCTGAGTGTAGACAGCGAGTGTGCACAGGTGGTGGTCACCCAAATGTAGACGGGTGTCTGAGTCACCGAGTGTGCACAGGTGGTGGTCACCTGAGTGTAGTCGAGTGTCTGATTTACTGAGTGTGAGCAGGTCACCCGAGTGTAGACATAAGATTTGTGCCCTCTGTTTCAGTTACACCTGAATCATAAAAGGTTAAAAGGGAGAAGGGTAGAACCTCCACCCCATTCCCCCAAATTGGTGCTGTTCATAATGCTTTTGCTTTGATGGATGCCTGTCCCGGTAACTTAGAAATCACCCGAGAATAAAGATGAAGGGCTGGCCTGGCCCACAGATGAGCCGGCATCCCTGGCCCACCTGCCCCCCCACAGCATCAGGCCCAGGACCCCCGCCGACCTCTGCGCTCTCCCTGCAGGGCTACGCCGCGGAGATGGATAACCCACTGATGGCTCACCTCCTGTCAACAGGCCTTCACAACAAGAAGGATGTTTTGTTTGGAAACATGGAGGAAATCTATCACTTCCACAACAGGTGGGCCCTTCCCCCCGACACAGGCACGCACCCGTGATCTCTTGCAGCTAATGGTGCTGGCTTCAGGGGGCTGGAATGGGGGTGGAGGCCAGGCCATGCCTGGCTAGGGAGGGGCGCCCAAGGGGTGGACTCACAGAGGCACAGGCTTGAGTGTGGGTACATGGGGCCATCTCTGAGCGCCCACGTGGCACCGTACCTGGTGGCCTGTGTCTAGGCAGCCAAGTTGTAAGTGAGCCGCCAGCCGTGAGGAGAGGGCTCTGAGCCCGAGTGCGCCCTGTTTTGTGGTGCAGGAAATGGGACCCGCCTGCCCCTCATCCCCTCCTCATCCTGCTGGGCAGGTGGAAGCCGGAACCCCCTCCCAGGTGTGTATTCGGCCCTTTAGGGGGTCACCGAAGGCCATACCACATAGCAAGGCCTGTTTTGTTCCCAAGCTCTTGAAAAGGACGGCAAACTAGGCGTTCCTTACCCATCATGGGGGCTGCTTGTCCCCCGAGCGACCCGTGGCCTCTCCAGTGCAGGTGGCCTGTCCGGCCTCTTGTCCTCCACTCCTCTGAGCTGTTTGGCTGCTTTAACACAGTTTTGGGGAGCTCATGGGAAGGTGTAGGGTGCACACGCAGTGCAGAATGCCAGGGAGGCTGCAGTGGACAGCCCCCGCTGCGTGTCCTGGAAGGAACCCATGTGAGTGGCTCCCATGCGGCCATGTGCTTGGGGACCAGCGTGCCCCACTGGCCATGGGAATCGCCAGTGCTTGGGATGTTGTTCTGACACCTGTTTCTTGCCCTCTCATCACCTCACCTGCCACTTACAAGGAGGCAGCAGGTCTGCAGTTGACCACCAAGGAGCCTTCCACGTCCACGGAGCTTGGGCAGAACCTTAGTGTCCCTTAGTATCTGTCCTCATGGCCCCCAGGGTCTCAGCCAGTCCTGCACGCAGGGGTCCCCACAGCTTTCAGCTGTTGTGCTCATGCCCCAAATCCATCCCCCAGACGGTTTTCCCCTCCAGCCGGACTTCCTCCAGGGGACAGATGCAACAGAAAACAGCCCAGGAGCCTGGGGGCGGCGCTGCCTAGGGCCAGGGCTCAGGGTGTGTCTGCAGAGAACCCACAGACCCACGGCCAGTTATGGGGGTGGCGCCTCCAGGGCCCTGAAAGGTCCCATCTCTGTCTTTGCCTGCGGCCCTGTGAGCCGTGTGTGTGCTGAGGGAAAAGCAGCTCCCTCCAACTTCTGTGTGCAGCCAAGGCCAGAAATATAAAGAGACTCAGCCTGGGGCTGCACCTGCTGGCGCCTGAGAGCTTGGTGCTCAGGACAGGCGTGGCTGCGGCGTCTCCAAGTCATGCGGGGCAGATTGCCCAGAGCAAGGCGTAACAGGCTTCTGAAAAATGACGTCCATCCACTTGTCACTGGTCCACGTGACTCGGCCTGTCTTTCATACTACTTAAAAACCTTCTTTGTCTAGGATATTCCTCAGGGAGCTGGAAAACTACACTGACTGCCCAGAACTGGTTGGAAGATGCTTTCTGGAGAGGGTAGGTGGTGTTTTGACGTGTATTTTGTCACAACTTCTTAAAAGTACTGAATAATGACTTCAGATTCTACTGCAAGTTCCTATTCTAACCAACTGAAATCACAAAATACGATGTTTTCAATTTGGCTGAGATACCATGATGCTCCTGTACCCCTAGAACCTCCTGAACCCCCAGAACCTCCTGAACCCCAGAAAACCTCCTGAACCCCAGAAAACGTCCTGAACCCCCAGAACCTCCTGTACCCCAGGACCTCCTGTACCCCAGAACCTCCTGAACCCCAGAACCTTCTGTACCCCCAGAACCTCCTTTGCCCCCAGAACTTCCTGTCCCTTAGAAACTTCTGAGCCCTGTGCCTTAAAACCTTCTGTGCCCCTAGAACCATCTGTGCCCTAGAGGCACCCAGGAGCAATTGCACTTCACAATGGGGCTAGGGTCTGTTTTTTGCTAAATAACAGGTAATTTGTAAAACTGCCAGAGAAAATGCTAGAAGTTCTATTATATAAACAAATCAACAAACCACACCATAAATGGCCTTCTAAGAATGGCTGCGGTGGAACCCCGTCTCCACTCCACGCCTGTGCTCTGGGAAGTCAGGGGCTCTGGGACAGGGAGCCCCATTAATGGAGGGCAGGCCCCCCAGCGGAGCCTGGGAGCCAGTGCCGGCCCTCGGAAGCTATGGGGCCAGCAGCAATGCCTCGCAGGGCCGGGAAGACGCTGCGTGATGCGGTGCCCGTCCCTCACCGCGTAATGCGGTGCCCGTCCCTCACCGCGTGATGCGCTGCCCATCCCTCACTGCGTGATGCGGTGCCTGTCCCTCGGTGCAGATGGAAGATTTCCAGATCTATGAGAAGTACTGTCAGAACAAGCCCCGCTCTGAGAGCCTGTGGAGACAGTGCTCCGACTGCCCGTTTTTCCAGGTTTGTCCCCGGACCTTCCTTTAGAACGTTACTCCCTTTCCTAGCCGACTCCTGAGGAATAATGAAAATTGTGCAAACCAAAGGCTCTGGGTTGGTTCCAGGAATGCCAGAGAAAGCTGGACCACAAGCTGAGCCTGGACTCCTACCTGCTGAAGCCAGTGCAGAGGATCACCAAGTACCAGCTGCTGCTCAAGGTGGGCTCCGCGGTGACCGTGGCCCGGCCTCCCCAGCACCTGCTGGCCAGGTGTCTGTGCCGCCCTGGGGCCCCGTCCCCATCGCGCCCTGCCCCTCCCAGGCCAAGGGCACCTCTTCCGAGCCTGTGCTGAGGCTGGGATGCCTTTCGAGGTCCTACTGTGCGCCACTGTTAGGGGTCTGAGGACGCAGGTGAGCAGACGAGTCCCCGTCCCCATGGGTTGGCACACAGCCCAGCCCACATGGGATTCTGTGTGATGTGCTGACCCGTCCCTCCAGGGTGGAGCCGTGCCCGGATTATCTGGCACACAGCAGGGACGTGGGGCGGCCTAGACTGGGGATTCCAGCTATGAGTTTGCCATGTGGGTCCCTCTAACCTTCAGGCAGGAAACTGCAACTCCATGCCTTTGGCCAGGGTTAGGGTGGCGAGAGGAAACTCCCCAGGGAGCAGGTGCGAGGGGTTTGCACCTGGCATCAGGGTGGCAGGAGGGAGCTCCCCGGGGAGCAGGTGCGAGGGGTTTGCACCTGGCATCAGGGTGGCAGGAGGGAGCTCCCCGGGGAGCAGGTGCGAGGGGTTTGCACCTGGCATCAGGGTGGCAGGAGGGAGCTCCCCGGGGAGCAGGTGCGAGGGGTTTGCACCTGGCATCCGGGTGGCAGGAGGGAGCTCCCCGGGGAGCAGGTGCGAGGGGTTTGCACCTGGCATCCGGGTGGCAGGAGGGAGCTCCCCGGGGAGCAGGTGCCAAGGGTCTGCACCTGGCAGGGGTGCTGCCCCATCTGCAGCACCACTCAGTCTGTCCCAGCTGCAGGAGGGCAGGCAGGGCAGCTCCCCACAGACCAGGGGAGGGTGAGCAGCATCCCTACCTCGTGCCAAGCTCCTGAGGGGTCTGTTCCAGGGGAGCCAGGGCTCTCCGTGTCCCGACGCGGTTGCCTCACCCCATGCCCCTCAGGAAATGCTGAAATACAGCAGGAACTGCGAGGGGGCTGAGGACCTGCAGGAGGCGCTGAGCTCCATCCTGGGCATCCTGAAGGCCGTGAACGACTCCATGCACCTCATCGCTATCACCGGCTATGACGTAAGGCGCCCAGATGCCCGGTCTTCCCCGCCGCCTCCGTGGAATACACCAGCCCAGCAACTTGGCGGCCTCCCTGCACACGCCCCTCGCTTTGGTGTGAATGTGCAGGTTCTGGGCAGGAGGTCTGGGGTGGTCCCTAGATAAGCCCACTCCCAGGCCCCACAGCCGGGTCCACAGACCCCACAGCCGGGTCCACAGACCCCACTGGGCTCTCTGGGACGTGGAGAAAATCAGGAAGCGTCCCTTGCTTGGAGGGCACGCATCTCCAGCAGGAACGCAGCTCAGACCTCCTCACTCCTTGTCTTCTCCTGGGGAGGAGGCGTGGCTCGGAGCAGACGTGACTTCTGTTTTCTGGGCTGCGATTTGCAGGCTGGTGACTTAGAGCAAGTGGCCCCAGAAGGCAGATGTCACTTTCCCCGTAGAGCCCCACATCAGGTCACAGCTTATTCATCTTTTGTCCGTCTTTATGTCCACCCAGCACTCATTCTCAGGTGTTTTTTTTTTAACTAATAGAGTTGATTTATTGCAGCAATTTTTGGTTTGTGAGATAATTGAGTATAAATCAGAGGCCCTGAGGCTTCCCCTAGTGTTGACATTTAGCATGGGTGCCACACCTGCCACACATGGTGAACTAGCGCTGATGCTGATTAGTGACTGAGGGCCGTTCCCCTTGGAGCTCACTCTGGGTGCTGTGCATTCTGCGGTTTGGACAGGCGTGTAACATCCTACACCCAGCGCTAGAGCATCACACAGAGCAGCTTCACTGTCCTAGAAGCCCATGTGCCCCGCCAGTCCATCCCTCCTCCCCCAGCCCCTGGCACCTGCTGACCTGTCAGTCTCCACGAGCTTGCCTTTCCTGGGACGCCCTGCAGCTGGAATCCCACCGTGGGTGGGCTTTGCAGAGTGGCTGCTTTCACTCAGCGATGCGCGTCCATGGCCCCAGGCCCATCCCGTCCTGAACACAGCCCTGCTGTCGCACATTTAGGGGAATCTCGGCGACCTGGGCAAGCTGCTGATGCAGGGCTCGTTCAGCGTCTGGACCGACCACAAGAGGGGCCACACCAAGGTGAAGGAGCTGGCCAGGTTCAAGCCCATGCAGCGGCACCTGTTCCTGCACGAGAAGGCAGTGCTCTTCTGCAAGAAGAGGGAGGAGAATGGGGAGGGGTATGAGAAAGCTCCCTCCTACAGCTACAAGCAGTCCTTAAACGTAAGTGAGGCCGGGTCTGCAGCAGCACGCTCCTGGCCACAGACCCCGACGGGGGAAGTCTGTAACTCGGTCTGAGGTGGCCACGCTGACACCCAGCTCTCAGCCTTAGGTGTAGGGGTGGGGTATTCTGCCATTCTTAGCCCTCACCCCCAAAGTATTTCCATCATTTCGTGCCTGCACCAACACCTTTTAAAAACAAGGCAGTGGGTTCACTGTGCACGCGAACCCCATCTCCACTCTCTGCTCGCAGATGGCTGCCGTTGGCATTACGGAGAACGTGAAGGGAGATGCTAAGAAGTTCGAGATCTGGTACAACGCGCGCGAGGAGGTCTACATCGTCCAGGTGGGCCACCCACCCTACCCCTGGCCTCTTACACATTGCCACGAATGGTTTCTCATGGGAACCAGTGCAAGGATCTGCCATGAAGTTGCATCGAGCCCAGGAGCAGCCGCTGTACACTTCAGGATGCTGCCCTGGGCTGTCTTCACCCTGAGCTGGACCCAGAATGAAATGTGGGGAAAAGTACACATCAGACGGGGTGCTGCGAGGAAACGGGCTCTCCCTCCCCAGGGGAGCTCATGTGTCCCTGGACGGTGCAAGTGTGCATCTGGCACGCAGGGCCGATTCTCACGGTGGGGAGGGTGCCGTGCCCTGGGTGCCAGGCACAGTTCTTCAGTCAGTCCCGTGCATGGGGCACAGAGGGTCCCGCAATGCGGGGCCACCCACAGTGCTTTCCTCCTCTCCCCTCACACGCAGCCACCTGACCTTTGACTCCTAAGATTATCTTTGGATGTTCCGAGAGTGAAACCAAAGCGTGTTTCCTCGGGGGCCTGAGTACTCACCTCCTGGCGTTTCTTTTGGGGAAACAGGCGCCAACTCCTGAGATTAAAGCCGCGTGGGTGAATGAAATTCGGAAAGTGCTGACCAGCCAGCTGCAGGCTTGTAGAGGTGAGGCTGTCTTCAAGCGATCGTTTCCCGTAGCTTCCGCTCCAGGTGCATTTTTACCTATGTTCAGAGCAACCGCACAGTCCCCCCATGCGCAAGGTGCCTCGGCGTTGAAGTAAAGACGCTCGTTCACGTGGTTTGTCTGCTCCCTCCTCGCAGAAGCCAGCCAGCACCGGGCGCTGGAGCAGTCACAGAGCCTGCCCCTGCCGGCCCCGACCAGCACCAGGTGAGAATGGACACGCTGCCGCAGGCCTGCGTTTCTGGAGCAGTCCCGAGCAGGCCATTTGCACGCCAGGGTCCTCGGCCTCTGTCAGTGGGACCCTGTGGTTATTGGGGTTTTCCTTGAGGCCCCTGGTGTTTATGTGCTGACGGGTCCGTCCCAGAGGGTGTACTTCACAGATGTGTGCCTCCGACAATGCCCAGTCCCTCTCCAGCTCTTCCCGGGGTGGGCTGTTCCACAGCACGGCAGTGCGCACATGGCCTGTCCAGATCACAGCCACGCCCCAGCACTCCTCAGACAGTCGGGGCTCAGCTGGGAGCCGGCACTGATGGCCCAGCACACACGTGGGCACGTTTCAGACTCCGACCCTGACCGTGGCTTCGTCGTGTCTCTTCTGCCCTTGTTTTTTCTTTATTTTGTTCATCCACTTATTTTTTTCACTTTATCCTGTTTCTTATATAAGCTACCTTTAATCATTCATGGAACAGGATATGGCCTAAATAAATAATCCGTAGAACAGTAGTTTTAAAAAAGAAACACTCCCCCGCCCCCCCCCCCGCCCCCCGAAAAAAAAAGCCTCATACTTCAGAGCAAGTAGGGTGGGCGTCTGTTCTCATCCAGCCCGTCCGGGTTTAACTTAGAAGTGTGTGGCCCCTCAGAAGCAGGAGGGTGGGCATCTGCTCTCATCCAGCCCGTCTGGGTTTAACTTAGAAGTGTGTGGCCCCTCAGAAGCAGGAGGGTGGGCGTCTGCTCTCATCCAGCCCGTCCGGGTTTAACTTAGAAGTGTGTGGCCCCTCAGAAGCAGGAGGGTGGGCGTCTGCTCTCATCCAGTCCGTCCGGGTTTAACTTAGAAACACGTGCAGGAGATGCTGCTTTAGGATCAGGCCGGGAGCTCAGAGATATCTGAATGCCTCAGGTCCTCAGGGCGTTCTGAAAGACTAACCAGGCAACACACTATTTCCTTTTTGATTTGTCTGATGTCATCAGTCCCTCAAGAGGAAACTCAAGGAACATCAAGAAGCTGGAAGAAAGGAAAACAGACCCCCTAAGCCTGGAGGGATACGTCAGCTCAGCGCCACTGACAAAGCCCCCCGAAAAGGGCAAAGGTGGGTATGTGCAGGGACCGGGCCTCACACGGAGGCCTCACACGGAGCTGCTCACGGAGTGCTCACTGCATCCGAGAAACCTGCGCTTCCTGCAGTGTGAAGAAGCTTTGCAGAGCATTCAGGGCCCCTTGCTCCCCTCTTAACAGAGCCCTAGGACCCCACAGAAGAGCCCCTCCCTCTCCATTGCTCTGCACCCCTGCATCAGCAAGGCCAGCCCCAGAAGGAGCCTCGGCCGAGCGTGCAACCCGGAGCCGCCTTGGGCCCTCCCTGCGACAGCCGGACCCGCCTCCGCATCGGGTTGCGATGCCCTCTGCATAGTTTCTTTCTCTTCCTTCATAGATGACACGGTCACTAGCTCTGCCTCAGAAAGCTCTGCGCTTTCCAGAAAGCGCTTTACCCTGCAGGGTTTTGCTAACCTCAAAGGTCAGAAAGGTAAAAGTAGTGCCTGCCCCAAACCCACCCTCACCGTGGTGGCGTCTGTCATGCATCGTGTGTGACCATTCGTGCCTCCTTCGTCACAAGGGCGGCCACGCAAAAGCGTTTCTTTCCACCCAATCACGTGTTCCCTGATGCTGTGTCTCGCGCACAGACACCAGAGTTATTTAGAGGTGGCTTTCCTTCGGGAAAATGAAGGCGAGCTTTTCAAATGGAGGCTTGCTCAGAAACGGAGCTGTCCTTGGCTTTCCAGGCCCCCTCCTTCCTCTCCCTGCCCCCCACCCCCGCCTTCTCCCGCCTTCTCAGGTGAGTTCCCTGCAGGGTGCTGACCTTGCTGGCTGCGTGTCTCTGCTCCGCCTGGTGGCAGAGGCCGCTCAGCCATCTTCTGGGGCATCCACTAGTGAACAGGGCTGATGGGACCCTTGAGACGGAGACGTCTAATGCCCTGCTCACCTGCGAGAGCTCCATGATGGGAAATACATGGCGGGGAAATGGGCCCAGGAGGCCCTGGAAGCCGGCCCTGGCGTGCAGGCGGCTCTTCTGGGAAGCCCTGAAGGCCAGCGTGGACAAGGGCTCTTTCCAGAGAAGTAGGAGTGTTTTCCAATTTATAAAATGCTTTTAAGTTGGCCTGAGACTTGAAACAAACAAACAAACAACAGATTCTGGTGCTGCAAACTCTGCTAGCGCAGAACTAAGAAAACGTCCCTAGAGACGGGCCCCGAAAGGACGCCTCTGAGTGCCGCAGCCCCCACTCCCATGCCCTCCCGGCCCCTCCTTCACTGCGCGGCCCCTCGGCTCCCTGTGTTTTGCTCACAGAAGCTCCTTTTTCATCGGTGGAAAGGGGCCACAACGTCGGTGTCCCCTTCCAGCACGAGCGCGGGTCAGCCTCCTCGCCGCCTCCCTCCGTCCTTCACACTCTCTCTCCGGTTGTATTTCTGCCTCCTCCTCCTCTTGCAGCTTCTCCTACCAGTCCTGACAAAAAAGCCAAGCGGCATGAAGTAAAGAGCGACCCGACTCCCTTTGGTGTGCGAGGTAGAGTGGCACCCTCGGGCACGGCACCCACTCTGCGTTGGCAGGAAGCGCGGCCCAGCTGGCTGTCAGGTGGCCGTCAAGGCCACCTAAGGGGGATGCTCTCGTGGGTCTTTATGCTGCGGAGGCAGACACGCGGTTGTGTTCAATGTGTGATGCTCTGGTGACAGGTCCTCGAGGACAGCACGCCTCTCAGCCAACTCCTCACAGCAGGTCTATCTGGAGCCTGCGGAACTGCCCACCCCGTCGGTGGCTGCTGGCCACGGCTGCTGCGCTGGTCACCTGGCCGTGCTGGGTGGAGCTGGGTGGGGTCTCACTGCCCAGTGGCTGCTGTCGGCTATAGGGCACCCTGTTCCCTGCCCTTCCCTGTGGCACAGTTTGCCCCGACACTTCCTGCTGGGAACACAGAGCATAGCAACTGGCAGGGCCGACCCGGACCCTCCTTTCCCGGGGCCAATGAGGCCGAGCTCCCTGTCCGACCCGGACCCTCCTTTCCCGGGCCGACGAGGCTGAGCTCCCTGTGGAACCTGGCCCTTCTCGTTTCCTGCCTCCCTTATATTCTCAGGGTGAAAACTGCCCTGTGAAGCCCAGAGACCTCCCCTGGCCTGTTGAGGACCTTCAAGTGCAGGGACGGGGCTCATGTTTGCAATCTTGAGTTTTCAAAAATTTGCAAAGGTTCCCAGGGGTGTAAGCAGAACCAGCCTTCCCATTCCGCCCGCCTCCACAGCCTCCTCACATGACACAGCGAGCCTCACAGAACCAGGCAGAAGCTGTGGCCACCCTGGGCATGAGTTCAGAGGCAGGGAGCTGGCCCGGCGTTACTGACTGTCCTGCCTGCAAGTGGGTGGGCGCCCGGCTTGCTGCTTCGAGGCCCCAGGAGTGCTTGGGAGAAGGGAGTCATTTCCCTGTTGACAGTCTCCTGGGAGAGGCTATTCTTGTCTGTCAAACCCTCTCCGCTTGTGAACTGGAGTCGGCAGAGCCGGTCCCTGGTGGAGAAGGTGGGCCGGGTGGGCCCTGTGGGCCAAATGCCGCTTCTGCTGCACTTTGGCCAAGCTCAGCCTCTGCTTCCGTCTCGTCATCCATGAATGAAGACAGTACAGCCTTGCAGGGTCTCGAGAAAGCCAGTGTGGTGTTGAAGCCGGGCCACTGCCCGTGGGTCATTTCCACCGTGGTCAGTGTGGTGTCAGAGCCGGGCCACTGCCCGTGGGTCATTTCCACCGTGGCCAGTGTGGTGTCGAAGCCGGGCCACTGCCTGTGGGTCATTTCCACCGTGGCCAGTGTGGCGTCGAAGCCGGGCCACTGCCCGTGGGTCATTTCTGCTGTGGTTGGTGGTAGTGAGCCCAGGTGGTTCTGGGTGGCCTGAGCGCTGCCCAGCACCCACTCCCCAAGCCCTGCAGGTGGTGACTCCAATGAGCAAAGGCCAATGGCTGTTTTACAGAAAACAGAGGGCACCTTCCTGGCCATCACCCGGCCTCCTGCCTTCACACAGAATCCCCCAGCTCCTGGTGCAGCAGTGCTGGCCTGGCCTGTGGCTGCCCACTCCCAGGCACTGCCGTTCCCATCATGGTCAGACCTCTGCGTTTTGCTGTTGGCCTCCCCCGCGCCCTGTTCCAGCACAGCGCTCTTGATGGCCCGCAGAGAGGCTCTGGGGAGCACTGAGCACCCACGGCCAGGGCAGCTCAAGAATCCTTTTGTGTCTCTGGTGGTGCCAGGGGCAGAGTCGCTTGGGTTTCACCCCGCACAGGCCGGCCTCGCTGCCCCTGTGGACAGGTTCGTGTGTAAGGTCCTGCCCACGCCACACCAGCTCCTGTGCACACACAGCAGCCCCCCTTTTTTTGTTCCCACTGTCCTCAATCAGACTTTTGGTTCTGTCTGGCCAGAGGCCCCACGTGCGGTGCCTCAGAGCGACTGGGGGCCTGGACGGGGAGGGCACGCTGGCAGCCAGGCCCCACAGGCCAGTCCCTGCTGCTGTAGAGGAGGCACCTGGGCCCCCACCCTTGCTGTCTCTCAGCCTCCCTTGCTGGGGGCAGCTGCAGGTGCACTCAGGAGGCCAAGCTGCAGGTCTGCAACCGGAAAATCACAGTCCTCAATTCTCACACAGATGCAGGCCTGGTGTGGTGCCTGGAAGGCTCAACTGCCTCCAGCTGTGACCCCAAGAAGGCAAAGCACCCGGGTGGGGTGGAAGGAGCAGCCCCGTGCTCTGCTGGCTGACAGTGGTGCCCAGGCCCAGCTCCCTTCTCTGCACAGACAGCAGAGTTCCGCTTAGCACAGGCTTTTCCTTGCCAGCGCAGACGCTGTCAGCCATTGGAACTGGCCTGCAAGACAGCTTGCTGTGGCGGCTTTGCAGGCACAGGGCACACAGGCATCCGTGCACGCAGCTCCTCTGTCCTCCCCATGCCCCACACCCTCCATCGCAAGGAAACGCTTGCTTCCAGTGGTACCAAATAGGATTTGGAACCAGTTTGTGCCCAAGCTCAAATCTCGTTAGCATCTGCCTGTTTCCCTGGTGTGCATGTGTCCTGCCTCGATGCATTTGGCAGCAGGTGGGATGCGCTGGGCCTGCTGCCTGGTTGCTGGCTTTGCGTGTTTATTTAGCCCCAATGGCGTCTCCCATCTCCCCCGCATGGGAAAGGCCGGTGCTGCCCTCTGGGAGCCTGGCAGGAGGAACACTGGGTTGGGGAGGGGGGCATGTGTGGTCCCAAGTCTGGAAGAAGCTCCTTCCTCTTCTCCCGCTGGGAGCTGCGTGGCCGATGGGAGCCCATCTCCACCGCGGCACCTGCATGGTCTCAGCCTTCCGGTTCGGTGCCGCTGTGCCGGGGGCTACTCTCTTGCCAGTGGGGACCACAGCCCTCGGTATCCCATAGGTCAAGGGCGTCAGGCCCTCTCAGTGAGCTTCAGTCATTCACTTTAGAAACTGCTTCCCGGCTCGGTCTGCTAGGTGTTGAACATGACCGTGGCACTCACTGAAAACACCTGCCTGGGAGGGCATCTGCGGCAGGAAGGCTGCTTCCCTCCTGGCTGAGGGGCACTGCCCTGCCTGACAAGGGCGTGGCTTCCCAGGGCCTGGGGATCGAGGTCTCCCACAGGGTGGCCCAGCAATTGGAAGCAGATGGTCTCAAACCCTGAAACGTGCCAGGCATTCTGGAAGTTTGCAGGGGTGTCCTGCTCAGCTCTTTATGAACCCGGGAAGATGACAGGCTCTGTTGGGGGCCCACGGCACACATTTCAGGGGGTCTGTGGGACTTAGCTGACCCCACCTCAGACAGATGCAGACAGCGGCTCATCACCGGGGGGTCCCTCACGGGTGTCTGTCTCTCTTAGGTTGGAGCAAAACGTCCCACTCACTGGAGGCACCTGAGGACGACGGGGGCTGGTCAAGTGCAGAGGAGCAGATTAACTCGTCCGACGCAGAGGAGGACGGCGGGTTGGGCCCCAAGAAGCTGGTAACCACGGCTTCCCTGTGGGCACTTGGGGTGGGGGCTGCCCTCCGGGGATTAGGGGTGCTTCTGGCAGGTCCACCCAGGCTTGGGTCTTAGGACACAGCCCCAGCTCCTCCTAACCCTGGAAGGTCCACATGGGCCTGGGTCTTACGGGCAGTGCCAGCTCCTCCTAACTCTCTCTGGAAGGTCCACCCAGACCTGGGTCTTGGGGCACAGCCCCAGCTCCTCCTAACTCTCTCTGGAAGGTCCACCTGGGCCTGGGTCTTAGGATGCAGCCCCAGCTCCTCCTAGCTCCTCTGTCTCAGCAGCACTTTGTGTTTCTGGGTTAATTTCCAGGTGCCCACCCAGCCTCCTGTAGAGCCCACTCGTGGGTGCACCTTCCTCAGAGGAGACAGTCCCCACCCCCCTACCCTTTATGTCATAGAATGCTGTCACTGAGCCTTCCTAACTATACATACAATTCTCATTTTGTAAGAAAATGGAACTGCTAAGCATGGATTTGCATTTGAAAAAACATTCATTGTTAATGTCAGAAGCAAGAAAAAGCTGCCATGTGTTAATCATTCCAGTGAGGGTTACACCAAGAAGTGTCTGCTGCACCTTCTGTGCTGTGCGTGGTCCATGCCCCAAGGCTGGAGGTGCAAAGGGGACAGGTCCCGGAGGCTCTGGAAGGGCAGAGAAGCCAGGCGTGGAAGGGTAGGGAGAGCCCTCGGGGCCTCTGGCCTCTCCCACAGAGACAGCATGAAGGAAGGCCTGGGCGTGAGAACAGATGTGGGGGACACAGAGGCGGAGGCCACGTGGCAGGAGGGGAAACAGGCTGGTGGAACAGGGTGCACGGGGCCTGGGGAGGGATTTGGATCTCATTCTTTGTGGGGTGTGGGGAGTGATCCTGGCTACTCTGGGCACCACAGAGGCAGGAGCCAGTACAGGCCATCACGTGAGGGCAGGCAGCCCAGTCACCGTCCTCTTGCTCCAGGCCATCATGTGAGAGCAGGTGGCCCAGTCACCGTCCTCCTGCTCCAGGCCATCACGTGAGGGCAGGTGGCCCAGTCACCGTCCTCCTGCTCCAGGCCCTGCAGCCGGCAGCACCCCTCCGCAGCCCACCACACGCAGCACCAGGAGGCTGTGAATCTCCCCACTCTGTAGGAACAGCTGCCGCTTCCTGGGTCCCCATTCCCCAACGGAACGTGTTCCATGACATCTGTGCAGCATCCGCTGTGTGCCAGGCACAGTTCTAGGCCCCGGAGACAAAGCGGGAACAGCACAGACAGGAACCTCCACTCTTACAGTGAGGAGAGAAAGAGGAGTGAGGCTTGGGGAGGTTGGGCAGGACAGCTGCAGGGAGAGGGAGGGCAGAGGACGGGCGAGTCGGGGAGTACCAAGGAAGGCCTCAGCAAAGCAGCATGGAAATAAGACCTGAAAGCACGGAAGGGCCCTCCGGGAGGCGGGTATGCAGGCGCAAAGGCCCTGGGGCCGAGAGCTGTGTGTGGAGACCAGCGTGAGGGGCTGGGGCAGCTGGGCCCAAAGACAGATTCACAGACGCCTTCCATCGCCGCTGCGGTAGTCATGCCCTGCGGCGTAGCCTCCTCCCAAGGCTGGAGCCCTTCCCCGGAGCTGGTCGTGGCCAGGAGCTCCCACCGGGGCAGGGCGCTAAGGCCCGGCACTCCGCCTGGCTGCTGTGGGGCTGCTGCCGGGGCGGGTGCTGACGCTGTCTGTGCCCCTGCCCGTCTCCCACCAGGTTCCAGGTAAATACACGGTCGTGGCGGACCACGAGAAGGGAGGCCCCGATGCGCTGCGCGTGAGGAGCGGGGACGTGGTGGAGCTGGTGCAGGAGGGCGACGAGGGCCTCTGGTAAGACCCCGCGCTCAGCCCCGGACTGCCCCGCACGTGGCTGCCGCTGACCCTCGCCCCTTGCAGGTACGTCAGGGACCCGACCACTGGCAAGGAGGGCTGGGTGCCGGCCAGCAGCCTGTCCGTCCGGCTCGGCCCGTCCGGCTCGGCCCAGTGCCTGAGCAGCTCAGGTAAGGCCCACGTGCCCCGAGCCCACCCGTGACGCTGCCAAGGGCCCGGGCGAGGAAGCTGCCCCGTGTGTGCCCGGCAGAGCCGACGCCGAAGCCCGTCCCCGCCTGATCTCCCCGCAGAGTCGAGCCCGGGGTCGGCCGTGCTGAGCAACTCGTCCAGCTGCAGCGAGGGCGGCCAGGCCCCCTTCTCCGACCTGCAGGGGTAGCGCGGCCTCGGCGCCGGAGACCCGCGCGCTGTCTGGGGCTGCGGTGGCGTGGGGAGGGCGCGGCCCCCGGACGCCCCGAGGAAGGGGCACCTCACCGCCCCCACCCAGAGCGCCTGGCCGTGCGGGCTGCAGAGGACCCCTCCGGGGCAGAGGCAGGTTCCACGGAAGACCCCGGCCCGCTGGGGCTTCCCCGGAGACTCCAGAGCCCACAGAGGAGGGGCCGCAGGGAACAGCCCCGGGCGGCAGGCGCCGGGCAGCGGCATCTCGTCCTGGCTCCACCGTGCTGCTTCTGCCTCTGGACGGTGCTTTCAGGGGACGCGCGGACCGTGGTGGAGCTGCTTCCGGAGAAGTGGAGGATCCTCTGGCCAACGGCCTGAGGAGAGCGGGGCACGGGGTCTCTTTAGCTTTTACAAGTTTTAGGATTTTTTCAAGCAGGGATCAATCCCGTGGCCATTTTTTGTGGTACTTTGGCCTCAATTCTTCACCAGGAATCACTGTGTTTACATGAAATGACAATTTGATACTGTATTTGATAGAAAACTATTTTTTTGTTACCGGGGTTTACATAGAAGCACGTTGTTTATACCACTAAGTGACTTTGGGGGGGCTCTCCCATGGAAACGGATGGCACTCCCTGAAGCTCCCTGGTCACAGGTGGATGAAAACGTGTCCGTGGGTGACATCAGGTGGTGTCTCCACCACCAAAAGCAGTTAGAAGCCAAGGAGATTCCTTTATCTACCTAGGGTTCATTTTCAAAAGAAAATTTAAACTATAATTTAAACAATTAACGTTCTTTTCTACAAAAAAAATGCAGGGACTTGATTTTTTTAAAGAGCTTCACTGAATTAGGATATTTTTATTGCTTTTAAAGAAAATACAAAGATGCAGTTTCTGCAGGGTGTGGCGTGGACCAGTGCTGCCGACCATAGCTCAGAGAGCCCTGCCCCTGCCTCACTGCACTGCAGCCTCCTCGGAGGCCGCACCTCCACTCCACTCCCCACGCGCCCCCTGCCTCCCACCCAGGTCCACCTGCCACCTGGTGACCACCTTGAGTACAGAAGTGAAAGTGGGGAGAGTATTTTATTCAAGTCACAGCAGAACTGGAAAAAAACTCTTCTGTTTTACCAACTTCTTGTGTTTCAGAAACATATTCTGTTCAAAACTTTTGAAGCCCTTTCGGTGTCTAGTCTGCAGATGTTTTTGTATGTGTGCACCTCTGACCATGTGTGTACATATGTGTCTTGCTGGAAAGGACATATTCGCTGTCCCCGTGCTGCTGGGAGGGCCGCCTCACAGCCTCACGGTTCCCAGCCCCAGCACAGTGGAGGCAGGCGTGGCTGCATTCCCCTCACGCTACCCTCCCAGCGGCTTGTAGCCGTCACTGGCCAGACCTCCAGGGTGCGGAATCAAATAGGAAGCATGCAGAGACTCGGCAGCTTTTCCTCTGATGTGTAAGTTATTTGGAACGCGTGCTGTGTCCCGCGATGTCCCTGATGTACTGTGCAGGCGCGGTGCCTCCGTCTCGTCGCACAGCTGCGCGCCCTTGTGTGACCCTCCCCATAAAGGCACTTTACAGCTTCATGTTTCATCCACTGTCACTTTTTTTTAACTGCTGATGTAAATGGAATTTTAAAAGCAGAGTTCTTTATTGTATGGATGACGTTTGAATAAATATCAGCAACTCCTGCCATCTGCCTTTGTCTGTCAAGACACAGAACGTCTCAGCAGTCGGGGTTTCCAGGGCCGCAGTGCACTGTGCTTGCACATGGTAAGTCATTGTTGGGACGGAAAAGAAGCCGGCAGTGGGCAGGGCCCAGCGTGCGGCTCAGGCACCGAGCAACCGCTTTGCTTTCTTCTGTCAGACGGCGATGATGACAAAATAGCAACAAGGTTGTGCGTGTCAGAAACGCAAAGGCAGCAGAGGAAGCGTAGTGGAACCATTACAGAATCACAATGCAGCCGACACTCTCCAGACCAGAAAAGGGAGCATAAAGAAAGGGTATTGATCCAATAGAAGAAGGGAAGGGTGGAGAAAGGGGAAAGCATGGTTAACAGGAAACAACATGTAACGGAAGAGACAGCCCAGATGTGTCTGGCTCACAACAGACGTGATCATGTTATGCTGGCCTGGAAGAGCATCGGATCAGACGTGACAAGTCACTGCTTAGAGACCATCAAGCAAATTTATATATAGATTGGAGATTTAAAATAAAAGAAGACAGAACAGACAAACACCATAAGAAAGCTGGTGTAGCAGTATCGATGACCTGAAATGGGATTCAGGACAGTTCATAGAGTAAAGGGGGCTGCGTGGCAATCAGGAACTCATAAGCCACTGACTATAAAGCTCAAAACACAGCAAAGTTGGCAGTCGGCAGACAGCAATGTTGACTGTCATGAAAAGTGATCCCTGTTTGCCCCTAAACGTAGAGAAATCTGCGTTATTTTCCAGCACACATGGAGCACAAACAAAATATTTGCAAAACAATGGGAAGATCATTGAAACACTGTTTGGCAATTTAAAAGCTTGTTTCTAACTCACGGGATGCGGGCAGTCTGCTCTCTAGAACTGGACAGCGTGCACAGAGCCACGGGAGGGAGCAGCCACGGCCAGCTCAGATTGGTGTCGACAGCTTAGTGGTGTCTGATTTTATACATGACAAAATGAACGAGTTAACCATTTAAGCCAAAAAAATAAGACTAGCGTAACCCAAAGAAAGTATTTAAATACTTCTGTCAATTAGGACAGTTGAGAAAAGAGAATAACAAAATCAAAAGCAAAACTCAAACTTTGTACCTGAAAAATCTAATAAAACTGACTAATTTATAGAAAACCTAAGAAACTCCATATCAAATAAAAAATTTTAAATATGAGAGAACCATTATGAACACCTTTCTGCCAATATATTTGAAAACAGATAAATAGGATTTATTGTTAGAATTGGTCAAGAAGAAATGAAATACTTGGGTTGATGAATAACAGTTACAGAAATTGCATTGCAATTAAAAAAAAAATTACCCCAAACAGATACCAGATCTAGGTGATTTTGTAAGCATACAAACATATTTATAAAAGCTATTTAAAAGAATATAACAAGAGAAAGCAACTCAATAAAGTTATGAATCAAATTTAACCTTGGTACCCAAACCTGACAAAGATTATGTAAGAAAAGAATCAGCTGGGCCAGGTGGCTCACATCTGTTCTTCTAGTACTTTGGGAGGCCGAGGTGGGAGAGTTGTCTGAGACCAGGAGTTTGAGACCAGCCTGGGCAACATTGCAAGACACCATCTCTACATGAAATTTAAAAATTAGCCGGGCATGGTGGCACATACCTGTAGTCCCAGCTACTTGGGAAGCTGAGACCTTACAAGTGAGCCCAGGAGTCCAAGGCTGCAGTGAGCTATGATGATCATGCCACTGCACTCCAGCCTGGGCAACAGAGCAAGACCCTGTCTCTCAAAATCAACCAAACAAAAAGACAATGTAAGAAAAAATAAAATTATGAAGATGAATGCAAAAATTCCAAATGAAATATAATTAAGTAAAACCCAATTCTGTGTTATAAATAAAGGTAATACTTTCTAAGCAAGTAAATTCATCCCAGGAATGCAAGGGGTAGTATGTTAATGTGGCTATAATTTGCCATATTAATGAAGTGAAGGGTAAAATCACCAGCTTAACAAATGCAAAACAATAATTCAATTTTTATTCAACATGTACTTGTCATGTTAGGCCAACTAGGAGTAGAAGAAAATTTCTTTAACTAAATAATATGTATCAAACAAAATCTTTGCAGCGAACTTTTTTTTTTTGTTTGTTTGTTTGTTTGTTTTCTGAGACGGAGTCTCGCTCTGTCGCCCAGGCTGGAGTGCAGTGGCGCGATCTCGGCTCACTGCAAGCTCCGCCTCCCGGGTTCACACCACTCTCCTGCCTCAGCCTCCCGAGGAGCTGGGACTACAGGCGCCCGCCACCACGCCCGGCTCATTTTTTGTATTTTTAGTAGAGACGGGGTTTCACTGCGTTAGCCGGGATGGTCTCGATCTCCTGACCTCGTGATCTCCCACCTCAGCCTCCCAAAGTGCTGGGATTACAGGCGTGAGCCACCGCGCCCGGCTGCAGCAAAAATTTTAAGTACTGAAATCCTTTAGAACCATCCCCATTGGCAGCAGAACTGAACGGGGCCCCACTACTCTCCAGCGCCATTTAGCCGCAGTACTAGTGACTACCACCGCAAAGGAAAAGGAAACAAGGCCAGCGCGGCGGCTCAGGCCTGTCATCCCAGCACTTTGGGAGGCCGAGGCGGCAGATCACGAGGTCAGGAGATCGAGACCATCCTGGCTAACACGGTGAAACCCCGTCTCTATTAAAAATACAAAATTAGCCGGGCGTGGTGGTGCATGCCTGTAATCCCAGCTACTCGGGAGGCTGAGACGGGAGAATCGCCTGATCCCAGGAGGCAGAGGTTGCCGTGAGCCGAGATGTCGCCATTGCACTCCAGCCTGGGCAACAAGAGTGAAACTCCATCTCAAAAAAAGAAAAAAAGAAAAAGGAACCAAGGCATGCTAATTGAAAAATAACTTTTCATATCTAGAAAAACCAGGTGAATTCATAAACTATTGAAACTAAGAAGTCCACAAGATCAACCCACAAAAAGTTATTAACATTCCTAGCAATAACAATACTATTTTAACAGCAACCTAAATACTAAAATAAATGTAACAAAAGTTTTGGACAAAATTATGAAACATGATAGAAGGTCATAAAAGAAGGCCTAAATGGGAGATTTTTATGGATGGGACAATTCAGTATCACCAAAGTGTTAACTCTCCCCCAAGTTAATCTGTGTATTTCATCAAAATTCCAACAGAATTCTTTGTGGAATTAGGAAGTTGATTGTAATAAACATAGAAGATAAAGGTCTGAGTATAGCCGTGGTGATTCGGGGAGCAGAGGCAGGAGGAGGAGGGCTCACCTACCAGGCATCTGGATAGATCATAAACCTGTCATCAGTCGTGACAAGGGGGAGAGAGGCTAAACTGGTCGAGCAGAATTCAGATTCCCAGGCAGGGATGTGTGCAGGGACCTGGCTTGTCCTGGGGCTGGTCAATCTTTGGCACGGAATGGCCTCTTCAGGAACGGGTGTTATTGGGACAGCTGCCTTTCCATGTGGATGATGGCATAAAAGTATAGCCCCCCCAAACTTAAGATTAAAACATTATTATGAGGAAACAGAATATTCTTATTGCCTAGGGCAAGGATAGATTTCTTACAAAAGACAAGCTACACTTTAAGAGATGGACAAAAAGATAAGATGGACAATCTGAGCACATCCCATGGTGAATTTCTCTCCACGCTAAGACCCCAGACAAGGGTGAAAAGCAGGACCAAGGCCCAGAGAAGAAAAATTCTGCTCAAAATCATAACTGTTCAACCTTGCATACATTCTCTCTCTTAAACTGAAAGTTAGCATCCTACAGCACTGGTGTGACACCCGGCAGGCCCGAGGGCTCAGCTGCCTCCAGCTGTGGCCCCAAGAAGGCAAAGCACCCGGGTGGGGTGGAGGGAGCAGCCCCGTGCTCTACTGGCTGACAGTGGTGCCCAGGCCCAGCTCCCTTCTCTGCACAGACAGCAGAGTTCCGCTTAGCACAGGCTTTTCCTCGCCAGTGCACACACTGTCAGCCATTGGAACTGGCCTGCAAGACAGCTTGCTGTGGCGGCTTTGCAGGCACAGGGCACACAGGCATCCGTGCACGCAGCTCCTCTGTCCTCCCATGCCCTGCACCCTCCGTCACAAGGAAACCCTTGCTTCTAGGATTGCACCAAATAGGATTTGGAACCAATTGGTGCCCAAGCTCAAATCCTGTTAGTGGCTGCCTGTTTCCCTGGCATACATGCGTCCTGCCGAGATGCATTTGGCACCAGGTGGGATGTGCTCACTGGTTCCCAAAACGAGAACACATAGCAGTTTCCCTGGATGTTTGTTCAATACTATTCCCGGGACCTGCCCGTAGATTCCAATTCCTTATGGGTGTGGAAGAGCCTGGAAATCACGTGTGTGTAGGTGTGTGGCATGTGTATAGGGGTGTGTTTATGTGGTGTGACTTTGGGGTATGAGTGTGGCATGTGTACGGTGTGTGTGAGTGTGGTATGTGTATGGCGTGAGTTTGGGTTGTGCGAGCGTGGTTCTCATGTACGAGTGTGAGCATGGAGATTCTTTGGTAGGGAAGGAGTCAGGGTCTCCCTCTGTCGCCCAGGCTTGAGTGCAGTGGCACAATCTCAGCTCATTGCAACCTCTGCCTCCCGGGTTCTCTGTCTCTGGGACCACAGGCATGAACCACCAAGCCCAGCTAATTTTTTTATTTTTTGTCTAGCTTTGGTCTTGCTATGTTGCCCAGGTTGGTCTGGAACTCCTTTCCTCAAGCGATCCTCAGTCCTCAGCCTCCCAAAGTGCTGGGATTACAGGCATGAGCCACCACCCAAGAGATTCTGATGTCACAGACATCTGACTCACACACTCCCTGGACAGCTCACGTGTGCCCACCACCACAGTCAGGGATGGCTGCAGATGAACAAGGTGCTGACGTGGTTTCTGTAGCCCCCAAACAAGCAACTTGCCTTGAGATGACAACCAAAGTTTTCCTGTGTCCTCCACACTCAAGAGTGACTGTGAGGCGGAGGGGCCCAGCCCTTCTTGCAGGCGGGAATGAGTGGATGGGTGGATCAACAGAGGCTGCCACAGGAGAGAGGGAGGCCTGGCCTGGGAACAGAGCTGTGACCGTGCCCTTCCCCAGGGTAGGGGCTGAAGGACCCTCCCATCCTAGTGACAGGGCCACAGCATGTCCAAGGAGGCCCCAGAGGAGGTCCCGGGAGTCCTGGGAGAGCCTGGTTAGCCTCCCTGAAGGGAGGAAGTGGGGTTTTGTGAGAGGGATGGTGCAGCAGCCCCCACACCTGCTACTCCGTGTGGCCGGGTCCAGCCCCAGGCAAGGTTCCAGGCATGCCCCTGGGACAGACGTGGGAGGGAGACCAGCAGGCAGGTCCCCCTCAGGGAGGTATGGAGCGGGTCCCCGGGGCCAGGTGGAGCCCCTCACACCTGTGTCCTCAAGGACCCACACCAGGACAATGGCCATAGGCGGGCACCTGCAGCCGCCCTGGCCAGCAGTGAGACGGGCAGAGAGCCCAGCCAGATAGCCCGGTTCCTGCCCCCTCCCGCCTGCCCGCACAGAGAGGGCTGCATGCAGGTGAGGGTCCATCACCTGAAGAGCTTCACCAGCCCCGAGGCCATGAGCCACTGAATCTCTCAGGGGGTTTTGGCGCTTGAGGTTCCCCAGGTCATTCTGCTGCCCAGAGAGGGTTGAGGACCTCTGACCTGGAGCCCCAAAGGGGAAGGGTACCCTAAGACCAGCCAGCCATCTACTCTCAGGTGGGAAAGGGGTAGGGTTTAGATATGGCCCCCTCCCCTCCACGTCCTGAAATTACCTTGGGCTGTGCTGGCCGAGAGCCGCGGGGACCAGATTTGAGCTGGACGTGAGCTTTATTCCAGACGGAGCAGCTACTTTGTAAGCGATCTCCCTGGGATCGATATCATGGAGGGGCACAGATGGGCTTCAGCTGTGCTGGGTGGAAGAGAAAACATGCCCTGTCGGCCCCTCAGCAAGTGCTCTGCTCTCTGGACTGAGATGCAGGTCAGCAGCAAGCAGGGAGGCTTTGGGGGTGCTGGGGGCTGCTTTGAAAGGCACCCCTGAGCTAAGACTTGGCTGTTGGGAAGGAATCACCTCCCTCCCTCCAGCCGTAAAAAGAACTGGACATCAGCTTCCAAAGAAGTCATCAGCAATGCAACTGTTCACATGGAGGATACTCCCTGCTTGAGGGGTCAGACAGGCCTGCTGGGCAACCCAGGAGGCTTGGATGACCGTCTACCCCAGTGTTTTTGGGATGGAAAGTTCCACATTCTGAGAACCCTCAGTCCCTGGGCAACCTGGGGTGGTTAGTCACCACAGCTTGTGGCTTGGGCCCATGACAGCAGGTAGAAATGACGTGGACTGCCGCCAGCCGGGCACAGTGGCTCACGCCTGTAATCCCAGCACTTTGGGAGGCTGAGGCATGTGGATCACTTGAGGTCAGGAGTTCGAAACCAGCCTGGTCAACACGGTGAAACCCCATCTCTGCTAAAAAAAAAAAATATATATATATAAATTAGCCAGGCATGGTGACGTGCACCTGTGGTCCCAGCTACTCAGGAGGCTGAGGCACAAGAATCACTTGAACCCGGGAGGTGGAGGTTGCAGTGAGATTGCACCAGTGCACTCTCCAGCCTGGCAACAGAGCAAGACTCTGTCTCAAACAAACAAAACAAAACAAACAAAAAGACGTAAGATGTGGACCGCTGGAGAATGGGGGTGCTGCCTGCAGTCAAAACGGAGTGGGGGTGCCCAGCTCAGGGCCAGAATGATCCTATTCCCGGCACTTCTCAGTGAGGCTCTGTGGCTCACCTAAGAAACCAGCCTCCCTTGCAGGCAACGGCCTAGCTGGCCTGGTCTGGAGGCTCTCTTCAAATATTTACATCCACACCCAAGATACAGTCTTGAGATTTGACTCGCATGATTGCTATGGGACAAGTTTTCATCTGCAGTTTAAATCTGTTTCCCAACTTACATTAGGGGTTTGGAATTCTAGATCGTATTTGAAGTGTTGGTGCCACACACACCTTAACACCTGCACGCTGGCAACAAAACCGTCCGCTCTGCAGCACAGCTGGGGTCACCTGACCTTTCTCCTGTCCCCCCCACTTGAGCTCAGTGGCTGGGCAGCAGGGGATGCATGGCCACTGGCCGGCCAGGTGCAGCTCTCAGCTGGGGTGTTCAGAGGACGCCTGTGTCCTCCCCTCCCCCATCCCTCTGTCACCCTTGGAGGCAGAGAACTTTGCCCGTCAGTCCCATGGGGAATGTCAACAGGCAGGGGCAGCACTGCAGAGATTTCATCATGGTCTCCCAGGCCCTCAGGCTCCTCTGCCTTCTGCTTGGGCTTCAGGGCTGCCTGGCTGCAGGTGCGTCCGGGGAGGTTTTCTCCATAAACTTGGTGGAAGGGCAGTGGGCAAATCCAGGAGCCAGCCCGGGCTTCCCAAACCCCGCCCTTGCTCCGGACACCCCCATCCACCAGGAGGGTTTTCTGGCGGCTCCTGTTCAATTTCTTTCCTTCTAGAAACCAGCATCCAGGCACAGGAGGGGAGGCCCTTCTTGGTGGCCCAGGCTTTGGCGGGATTATTTTTCAAAGAACTTTAGGAGTGGGTGGTGCTTTCCTGGCCCCCATGGGCCCCTGCCTGTGAGGTCGGACAAGCGCAGGGAGTCTGGGGCCTCTCAGAGTGCAGGAAGTGCGCACAGGGTGCTCCCAGGCTGGGGAGCACAGGTAGGGGACGGTGCGTGGGGGATGGCGCCTGGGGCATGGGGGATGGGGTGTGGGAAACGGCATGTGGGGCGTAGGGGATGGGGTGTGGAGGATCGGGGGTGGGGATGGCGTGTGGGGTGTGGGGGATGGGCCGTGGGGGGGTGGGGCCTGGGAAACAGCATGTGGGGCATGGGGTGTGGGGGTGAGGTGTGGGAAAGTGTGTGGGGTGTGGGGGATGGGGCATGGAAAGGGCGTGTGGGGTGCAGGGGATGGGGCATGGAGGTGTGGGGGATGGGGTGTGTGGGGTGTCGGGGATGGGGCATGTGGGGTGTGGGGGATGGGGCATGGAAAGGGCGTGTGGGGTGCAGAGGATGGGGCATGGGGGGGTGGGGATGGCGAGTGGGGCTGGGGCCTGGGAATGGTGAGTGGGGCATGGGGATGGCGAGTAGGGGGTGTGGCGTGAGGATGGCTAGTGGGGCGTGGGGATGGCGTGTGGGGATGGCGAGTGGGGGGTGGGCTGTGAGGGACAGTGCCTGGGATGTGGGGCTGCAGCCCTAGCTCACAGCATGGCCTTATGACCCCGGCCACCTTCCTGCCCCAGGCGGGGTCGCTAAGGCCTCAGGAGGAGAAACACGGGACATGCCGTGGAAGCCGGGGCCTCACAGAGGTGAGCAGGGACTGCCACTGGTTTTGTCCTGGGGCCCAGTGGGGGCCAACATCACCTCCTTCCCCTCCCATGGCAAAGAGCCAGCCCGCGGGGTGGCTACTGCAGTGCCCCCCAAGGAGGGTGTTCCCTGCTCGAGAGGAAGTGACCGCTCCAGCTTGGCCTTCCCTGGGACTGGGGTGCAGGCGATTTTATCTTCTTTGCTCCATTCTGTTCCTTCCAGATAATCGTGTGTTCTTCATCAGGTTTTCCTCAGTTCTTGAGAGCTTTTCTGATGCAAATCTGCTTTCACCCCAGGGCGGTCACCGGCTCTGCTCACACCAGCCTCCAAGGGTGTGGGTGTCCCGGGAGTGTGGGTGTCCCGGGGGCGTGGGTGTCCCAGGAGTGTGGGTGTCCCGGGGGCGTGGGTGTCCCGGGAGTGTGGGTGTCCCGGGGGCGTGGGTGTCCCGGGAGTGTGGGTGTCCCGGAGGCGAGGGTGTCCCGGGAGTGTGGGTGTCCCGGGGGAGTGGGTGTCCCGGGAGTGTGGGTGTCCCGGAGGCGAGGGTGTCCCGGGAGTGTGGGTGTCCCGGGGGCGTGGGTGTCCCGGGAGTGTGGGTGTCCCGGGGGAGTGGGTGTCCCGGGAGTGTGGGTGTCCCGGAGGCGAGGGTGTCCCGGGAGTGTGGGTGTCCCGGGGGAGTGGGTGTCCCGGGAGTGTGGGTGTCCCGGAGGCGAGGGTGTCCCGGGAGTGTGGGTGTCCCGGGGGCGTGGGTGTCCCGGGAGCGTGGGTGTCCCGGGGGCGTGGGTGTCCCGGGAGTGTGGGTGTCCCGGGGGCGTGGGTGTCCCGGGAGTGTGGGTGTCCCGGGGGCGTGGGTGTCCCGGGAGTGTGGGTGTCCCGGGAGTGTGGGTGTTCCGGAGGCGAGGGTGTCCCGGGAGTGTGCGTGTCCCGGGGGCGTGGGTGTCCCGGGGGCGTGGGTGTCCCGGGGGCGTGGGTGTTCCGGAGGCGAGGGTATCCCAGAAGTGTGAGTGTCCCAGGGGCGTGGGTGTCCCGGGGGTGTGGGTGTCCCGGGGGCGTGGGTGTCCCGGGAGTGTGGGTGTTCCGGAGGTGAGGGTGTCCCGGGAGTGTGGGTGTTCCGGAGGCGAGGGTGTCCCGGGAGTGTGGGTGTCCCGGGGGCGTGGGTGTCCCGGGAGTGTGGGTGTTCCGGAGGTGAGGGTGTCCCGGGAGTGTGGGTGTTCCGGAGGCGAGGGTGTCCCGGGAGTGTGGGTGTCCCAGGGGCGTGGGTGTCCCGGGAGTGTGGGTGTTCCGGAGGCGAGGGTGTCCCGGGAGTGTGGGTGTTCCGGAGGCGAGGGTGTCCCGGGAGTGTGGGTGTCCCGGGGGCGTGGGTGTCCCGGGGGTTGTGGGTGTCCCGGGAGTGTGGGTGTTCCGGAGGCGAGGGTGTCCCGGGAGTGTGGGTGTTCCGGAGGCGAGGGTGTCCCGGGAGTGTGGGTGTCCCGGGGGTGTGGGTGTCCCGGGGGTGTGGGTGTCCCGGGAGTGTGGGTGTCCCGGGGGAGTGGGTGTCCCGGGAGTGTGGGTGTTCCGGAGGCGAGGGTGTCCCAGGAGCGTGGGTGTCCCGGAGGCGAGGGTGTCCCGGGAGCGTGGGTGTCCCGGGGGCGTGGGTGTCCCGGGAGTGTGGGTGTCCCGGGGGAGTGGGTGTCCCGGGAGTGTGGGTGTCCCGGAGGCGAGGGTGTCCCAGGAGTGTGGGTGTCCCGGGGGCGTGGGTGTCCCGGGAGTGTGGGTGTTCCAGAGGCGAGGGTATCCCAGAAGTGTGAGTGTCCCGGGGGTGTGGGTGTCCCGGGGGTCGTGGGTGTCCCGGGAGTGTGGGTGTTCCAGAGGCGAGGGTGTCCCGGGAGTGTGGGTGTCCCAGGGGTGTGGGTGTCCCGGGGGCGTGGGTGTCCCGGGAGTGTGGGTGTCCCGGGGGAGTGGGTGTCCCGGGAGTGTGGGTGTTCCGGAGGCGAGGGTGTCCCGGGAGTGTGGGTGTTCCGGAGGCGAGGGTGTCCCGGGAGCGTGGGTGTCCCGGGGGCGTGGGTGTCCCGGGAGCGTGGGTGTCCCAGGGGTGTGGGTGTCCCGGGGGCGTGGGTGTCCCGGGAGTGTGGGTGTCCCGGGGGAGTGGATGTCCCGGGAGTGTGGGTGTTCCGGAGGCGAGGGTGTCCCGGGAGTGTGGGTGTTCCGGAGGCGAGGGTGTCCCGGGAGTGTGGGTGTCCCGGGGGCGTGGGTGTCCCGGGAGTGTGGGTGTCCCGGGGGCGTGGGTATCCCAGAAGTGTGAGTGTCCCAGGGGCGTGGGTGTCCGGGGGGCGTGGGTGTCCCGGGGGTGTGGGTGTCCCGGGGGTCGTGGGTGTCCCGGGAGCGTGGGTGTCGGGGACTGCAGGGACATGGGCCTCCCCTCCCACTCCTGCCGCCCAGGGCACCTCCTGTGAGGACTCGGAGTCCGTGAGTTCCCACCTCCTTGAGCCCGATTCTTTGGTGTCCCCGCCTGCATCCTCAGCCTCCTTCCAAACCAGACCAGTTCTCTAGGGGCGTCGACGTGTGAAACTGATTTTAAAGAAAACAGGCAGTGGCCTTTCTCTCGGCCCCACGTGGCCCAGTAGCGCTCACCTTCCGTCCCTTCTTCCGCGCTCAGTAACCAATTTAGGCCGCTCCTGCAGAACTCGGGCTCCTGCCCACCGGCCCACAGCGTCCACCTGAGGCCTCGTCCTCCCAGCAAAGGTCGTCCCTCCGGAACGCGCCTCCTGCGGCCTCTCCAGAGCCCCTCCCGCGCGTCCTCTCAGCCCCGCTCGCCTCCTCCCGGGGCCTCCCTCTCCCGCCTGCCCCCAGGCCCGTCTCCCCTCGCGGGCTGAGGCAGGTTCGGGCAGCACGGCCGCCCCGGGGCGGGGGTCACTCTCCACCACCGCGTGGTGCCCACAGCTCACGGCGCTCCCGGGTGACGGTCCCCTCGGCTGTAGGGCGTCCTGAAGAGCGGCCTGCTCGGAGCTGAGCGCACGGGGTTGCCTCGCCCTGGGCGTCTCTGGCCCTCACCAGCCCCGTCTTCCCATGGGCAAAACGGCGGTCCTGTTTGTCCACAAGTAACCGTCGGGGTTACGGAGGGGCCAGGAGCTGCGGCGGGGGGCTGTGCTCTCAGGACCGGCCCCAGGAGGATCCGCGCGAGGTCTGGAGCTCTCAGGGGTCGCGGGGGACAGAGGGGCCCCAAGCGGAGGCGGGGAAGGCGGCAGAAGCCCAGGACCGCCAAGAGCTGGCGAGGAAGCCCGGGGCTCGCTGTCGGGGGAGCCGGGCAGGGGCCGCGCCTCGGACCAGGACGGAGGCCTGGGGAAGGCGGATCTGGCCGCCGGAGACGCGGTGCGGGTGGAGACGAGGGATTTGGATTTCCGCGGGCGGCTGTACGGATTTCCACGCGCGGTTCACGTGGGCCCCAGGGGGTTGCCCGGCACCCGGGGCCGCGCCGCCTTCTCCTCGCCGGCATCGACCCGCAGCCTCACGTTTACGCGGCGGCGCCCGCAGCCCCCTTCGGCCCGGCTTCCGCGCGTGCCCCCGAGCGCGCCCTCGGGATCAGCCCCCGGAAGCAGAGAGGCCAGGCCGGGAAGGATGGGCGACGGGGGTGGCTGACCCGGGAGCACGGCAGGGAGGACACCCAGCCAGGCCCGCGAGCAGCGCCGCTCCCCTCCTCCAGGACGGGCGGGAACCTGCGATGCCCCCGCCGCGTGGGCCGTGGGGCGGTCTCCGAGGCACTGGGCGGGGCACGCGGTGGGCGCTTCACGGAACTCGCATTTCCCAGTCTTCGTAACCCAGGAGGAAGCCCACGGCGTCCTGCACCGGCGCCGGCGCGCCAACGCGTTCCTGGAGGAGCTGCGGCCGGGCTCCCTGGAGAGGGAGTGCAAGGAGGAGCAGTGCTCCTTCGAGGAGGCCCGGGAGATCTTCAAGGACGCGGAGAGGACGGTGAGCCCAGCCTCGGGGCGCCCCGCGCCGCGGACACTGCAGGCGGCGGTGAACCAGGCCGCGTGGGGCCGCCTGCGTCTCTTTGGCTGCGGCTGTGGGCGGCGAACACGCAGCGGCGCCCGCGCGGCGCTTTCTGCGGGGGTCGCTTTCCGCCCGGGGTGACTCCGCTTTCCTGGGCGATGCCCCCCACCCCCAGGCACGCGCTCTCCCCGTGCGGCCGCACCGCGCATGCCGGTTTTCACATCAGAAAATACGATTTGCAAAGCACACTTAGGGTGTCCCCCTTAACTTCCCAAGGGAGTCCCCCCAGTCCCCGAAGGGTCCAGGGCAGCCTGCGCATCGCAGACGCGCGCGGCTCGCAGAAGGGACGTGGTGAGAAGCTGGCCCACAGCATGCCACCAGCGGCACCTCCTCAGGGCACGTGTCGGGGAGAAACAACACTTAGGGACCTGGGACTTTCTCCAGCTCACGCTCACGGGTCACCTCACACTCCAAGATCACCTCAAAGAGGACACCTCACACAGGGCACACTTCACACTCACAGGTCACCTCACACTCACAGGACACCTCACACTCACAGGGCACACTTCACACTCACGGGTCACCTCACACTCCAAGATCACCTCAAAGAGGACACCTCACACAGGGCACACTTCACACTCACAGGTCACCTCACACTCACAGGACACCTCACACTCACAGGGCACACTTCACACTCACGGGTCACCTCACACTCCAAGATCACCTCAAAGAGGACACCTCACACAGGGCACACTTCACACTCACGGGTCACCTCACACTCACAGGACACCTCACACAAGACACCTCACACGGGGCACACTTCACACTCACAGGTCACCTCACACCCACAGGACACCTCACACAGGGCACACTTCACACTCACGGGTCACCTCACACTCACAGGACACCTCACACAAGACACCTCACACGGGGCACACTTCACACTCACAGGTCACCTCACACCCACAGGACACCTCACACAGGGCACACTTCACACTCACGGGTCACCTCACACTCACAGGACACCTCACACTCAGGGCGCACTTCACACTCACGGGTCACCTCACACCCACAGGACACCTCACAGAGGTCACCTCACACAGGACACCTCACACTCAGGGTGCACTTCAAACCCACAGGTCATTTCACCTCACACTCACAGGACACCTCACACAAGATACCACACGGGGCACACTTCACACTCACAGGTCACCTCACACTCACAGGACACCTCACAGAGGTCACCTCACACGGGGCACACTTCACACTCACAGGTCACCTCACACCCACAGGACACCTCACAGAGGTCACCTCACACCCACAGGACACCTCACACAGGACACCTCACAGAGGTCACCTCACACCCACAGGACACCTCACACTCATAGGTCACCTCAGTCTTACAGGACAACTCACACTCACAGGTCACCTTACTCTCACAGGACACCTCACACTCACAGGTCACCTTACTCTCACAGGACACCTCACTCTCACAGGACACCTCACACAGGGCACACTTCACTCCCACAGGTCACCATACCTCACACAGATCACCTCATACTCACAGATCACTTCATTCTCACAGGATACCTCACACTCAGGGCACACTTCACACTCACAGGTCACACCTCACACAGATCATCTCATTCTCACAGGACACCTCCCTCTCACAGGTCACCTCACACTCACAGGACACCTCACAGAGGTCACCTCACACCCACAGGACACCTCACAGAGGTCACCTCACACGGGGCACACTTCACACTCAGGTCACCTCACACCCACAGGACACCTCACAGAGGTCACCTCACACCCACAGGACAACTCACAGAGGTCACCTCACACAGGACACCTCACAAAGGTCACCTCACACCCACAGGACACCTCACACTCATAGGTCACCTCAGTCTTACAGGACAACTCACACTCACAGGTCACCTTACTCTCACAGGACACCTCACACTCACAGGTCACCTTACTCTCACAGGACACCTCACACAGGGCACACTTCACTCCCACAGGTCACCATACCTCACACAGATCACCTCATACTCACAGATCACTTCATTCTCACAGGATACCTCACACTCAGGGCACACTTCACACTCACAGGTCACACCTCACACAGATCATCTCATTCTCACAGGACACCTCCCTCTCACAGGTCACCTTACACTCATCTCACACTCACAGGTCGCCACACCTCACACTCACAGGATGCCTCACACTCACAGAACCACATCTCATATGCACAAGACACCTCACACTCAGGACACCTCATGCTCAAAGAAGCCTCACACTCACAGGAGGTCCAGCTGTCTGAGGCAAAGGCTAACATGACCCTTTCCAGACAAATTGAGGATGGTCATGCCTAGCATTTTTATACACCTAGTTTTGAAAGCATTTCTCATCTGTTGTATTCTCACAGCACCCCGTGAGTTTAAGTTCAGGTGGCCAACAGTTTCTTCAGCAATCACTTTTTTCTGTGGAGTGCTTTTGCTGTTTGTGGAATATTTTGCATCTGCTACTGCACCCTCTCCCCGTATGTGTGGCCACCCTGTCAGAGGTGGAGCTGTGGCTCAGAGCCTGTGTACCTCGTCCCAGGTCCACAGCTCAGCGACAGAAGAGTCAGGGTTGAACCTCGGGTGTTCTGACTTGGGAGCAGGAAATGTGTGGTCACCCATAGTTCCAGATGTCCTGGGGAGGGGCCAAGATTAGAAGAAACCTACCTCAGCTCCAGAGGAAAGTCTGGCTTCCTGAGCCCACCCCGCCAGACCCAGGTCCAAGTCCCCCAACCCCAGTTCATGGTGTGTCCAGTGCTTACCGTTGGGTGCTCTGGTGAAGGTGCATCTCACGAGGCTTGCTCTCTTGTTCCTTCAGAAGCTGTTCTGGATTTCTTACAGTGGTGAGTGGATGATCACCACCAGTCCTGCCTGCAACCCTTCTCAGCTTACTGACACCAGCCCACTCCACAGATGGGGACCAGTGTGCCTCAAGTCCATGCCAGAATGGGGGCTCCTGCAAGGACCAGCTCCAGTCCTATATCTGCTTCTGCCTCCCTGCCTTCGAGGGCCGGAACTGTGAGACGCGTAAGGCCCCACTTTGGGTCCCATATTTGCAGAGGGCCCTGGGGAGCTGGTGGAGGTGGCCTGGCCAACCGGGCTGCAGGGTGCACAACCTGGTGGGGTGTGTAGGCCGGGCATTCAGGGCTCAGCCCCAGTTGGAAATTGGTCTAGGTGACCTTGAAATCCCTTCCAGTCTGAGGTCTTTGACAGGGACCCAAGGTTCTGATTATCAGACTCAGTGGCCCCTTGGGCTCCCGGCCCTGGGCAATTCTCAGCCCTCGAGATGGCCCAGCTGAGAGTCCCTGTGTCCCTGTCCCACTTCCACATCCCACCACGCAGGACCGCTTGGTAAACTTCCCCTTCTCTACTTTCCATTACAAAGGTTTGAGGGGTTTGTTTTTTTTTTAACCATCTGAATATTAAATTATCACAAAGTTTGAGGCCCCCAACCTCCCTTGGGTTCAGTAATTCACTAGAAGGACTCATAGAATCCACTGAAGTGGATACACTCACAGGTACCGTTTATTACAGCAAAGGATGCAGGCTTAAGTCTGCAGAGGGACCAGGCACAAGCTTCCCCTTGTCCTCTCCCTGTGGGGTCATGTGGACAGTCCTTAATTCTCCCAGAATGACGTGTGACGAGACGTGGGAAGTACTGCCAACTTGGGAAGCTCTACGAGCCCCGGTGTCCAGAGGTTTTATCAGGGCTCAATCACATAGACCCAGCTGACCACCCGCATGGCTGACCTCAGTCTCAGCCCCTCCAGAGGCTACGCCGATAGTGCGGCCCAAGGCCCCACCATACATCACATTGTCAGCTAGACCATCCAGCATGGCTCAAGGCCCAGGTAAACACCAACATTCCCTCAGGCAAGACCTTCCAAGGGCTTAGCGGTCATTTCCCAGGAGCCAAGGCAAAGGCTACCCTTTCTCTGGCACAGCAGTTCATCCTTGACCACCCAAGACCACATTCTTACACTGAATGAGCTCTCCTGTGCAGCAGCCATTTTCTTCTCTAAGCAGAAGAGAGCCCAGCAAGCTGGAGGAGGCTGAAGAGAGAGGCTTCCTGCTGGTCATCTGGGTCCAGAATGCCTGGAGATCTCTGCTCAGCCCTGGTGCCCAGCAGCCCTGGTGTGCATCCTGCAGGGCAGGCCTTCCCGCCGGAGTCCTGGACTTGCTCAGGGCCACTCCCCTTGCCCATGTCAACCAAAGTCAGGCTGCCGGTTCTGCTTCTTCTGTCTGAGCCCATGACCAGTGCTGGGACTAACTGTCCCCAGGCGGGCTCACGGTGGTACGAGGCCAGCTTGGAGAACTGTCTCAGCTCTCTGGTCCTCTCGTCAGTTGGGTCTCTGATTGGAAAGTCCCTTGGACACTTTTACCATCCCCATTGGACTTTCACTTTCCCCCAGGCTCCCATCAGCTGCTCGGAAGAGTGGTCACCCTGGAGGCCACTGCCCACCAGCCAGGCACCCCCCAAATGCAACCGCAGCCAGCACTGCCAGCCACTGGCAAGGCTGTTCAGACATGTGGCTCCTCTGATCCACGCCTTGTCCTTTGGATCAGTCCACGGAGCAGGTGGTGCCAAGCTCAGGCTCTGTCACCCACAGCTCAGTGCCACCTTCCAGGCAGAACACCACTGCTGACCCAGGGCATGGCCACCCCGGGGGCTGGCTCTCGCTGACCCCCAGAAGCCCCTCTCAGGGTGTCCCCTTCCTGTCCCCAGACAAGGATGACCAGCTGATCTGTGTGAACGAGAACGGCGGCTGTGAGCAGTACTGCAGTGACCACACGGGCACCAAGCGCTCCTGTCGGTGCCACGAGGGGTACTCTCTGCTGGCAGACGGGGTGTCCTGCACACCCACAGGTGACCAGGCTTCATGTCCCAGTCCCAGATGACACCAGTCCCTGTCCCACTACGGATTATCTTACTGGACAAAAGACGGGTGGGAGTGGCTTCACATCTACTGAGCACTAACTATGCACTGACCAATTGTGAGGTGGGATCTGGGCACCAAGGGTGGCACAGGCCAGAGCGACAGTGACTAGGATGGGCACCCTGGGGGCAATCCCTGAATGGCCTCAGGCCCCCTGCCAATTCTAGGCAGACCAGGGGAGCCAAGCAAGGCACTATCTCACGTCCAACTCCCACTCGCAGGACCTCCGCCAGGGTTCATGAATCTACTTCGGCACAGCCAATGTCTGTACTGACTGCTGCCCACTCTGCATTCCAAAACTCGTAAAGGCTCCTGGGAAAATGGGATGTTTCTCCAAACCAGCCTGGAACGAATGGGCTGCACTTCCAAAAGCAGGGACACCCCACACCCACTGTGTCTCAAAGAGGCGGACGTGCCCACCCTGGCCACACAGCCTGGGACTCAGCCTGCCACCTCCTCGGGCTTCCTTTCTGGCCCAAGACCTTGATTGAAGCAGATCAAAACTAAGCATGGGATCAAAACAACACAGTTTGATTCATCTTTAGGTAGAATTTCATTCACCTTCTACTAAAGTCAAACAACACATCTTCTCCCTGAAAAGTGAGCAGAGGGCGGTTTTAAGACGTAAGCCCTCTGTTTCCTCCAAAACCAGCCCTGACCATTGTCTCCTCAGCCAGCCACTTCTTCAAGGGCCTCTCATGGCCGGGCCCCACCAGTCAGGCCCAGCCGAGGCCCTGCCTTCCACCACCCCTGGGCCCTGGGAGCTCCTGCTCCTGGGGGCCTCCCATAGCCTCGGCCTCAAGGCCTCTCAGAGGATGGGTGTTTCTGAATCTTTCCTAGTGGCACGTTCATCCCTCACAAATCTCTGCATCTTTCTGACTTTTGTTTTACACAGTTGAATATCCATGTGGAAAAATACCTATTCTAGAAAAAAGAAATGCCAGCAAACCCCAAGGCCGAATTGTGGGGGGCAAGGTGTGCCCCAAAGGGGAGTGTCCATGGCAGGTAAGGCTTCCCCTGGCTTCAGGATTCCAAGCCCTGAGGGTCTTGAAGCCTTTTGAATGTGAACAACAGCTCTGGAAGGGAAAATGGGCAGGTCAGCCCCAAGCCCACCAGGCTCCAAGTCAGCACACCTAGCACCTCCAGCTCGCGGCACCCCCATGCTTTTAGTGGGGCAAGGAAGGAGAAAAGAAAACGACACTCACTGAGGGTCTACCCTGTGCAGAGAACCCTGCGAGATGCCCCATCCGAGTTGTCACGTCGTCCTCACGGTTACTCTTTGAGGTGGGATCTTTGCCTGATCTTTGCAAAATCAGGAGCATTGGATCAAAGCTATGTGAAGATCCTGTGAGGTGAACAGTGAAATCTCACAGCGACATTTGTATTCTTGGGCCGTGCCCAAGAGCACGTCTCGGCTAGAGAGGGGCACAGCCTCCCAGAGCCAGGTCTGAGCAGCTTTGCCTGGGAGGGATCTGCAAAGACCCCAGGATTTCAGAAAGAAATTGTGCAATGCCAGAGGTTCCTTGGCATGCCCGGGAGGGCGAGTCATCAGAGAAACAATGACAGCAATGTGACTTCCACACCTCCTGTCCCCCCGCCCAGGTCCTGTTGTTGGTGAATGGAGCTCAGTTGTGTGGGGGGACCCTGATCAACACCATCTGGGTGGTCTCCGCGGCCCACTGTTTCGACAAAATCAAGAACTGGAGGAACCTGATCGCGGTGCTGGGTGGGTACCACTCTCCCCTGTCCGACCGCGGTGCTGGGTGGGTGCCACTCTTCCCTGTCCGACCGCGGTGCTGGGTGGGTGCCACTCTCCCCTGTCCGACCGCGGTGCTGGGTGGGTGCCACTCTCCCCTGTCCGACCGCGGTGCTGGGTGGGTGCCACTCTCCGCTGTCCGACCGCGGTGCTGGGTGGGTACCACTCTCCCCTGTCTGACCGCAGCTCTCAAGTGTCTCAGGGGCTGTGGCTCTGGGCTTCGTGCTGTCACTTCCACAGACAGACAGACATCCCCAAAAGGGGAGCAACCATGCTGGGCACGACTGCTGTGGCCACCGTGCTCTCAGCCACTTTCCCATGCCCAAATAAAACGATAAAAGACTGGGGGCTTCTGCCCATCCTGCCTCACTTGACCAAGAGCCCAGAAGAGGATGCGACACCCAGGGCCTCATGGGACCACCGGCTGGCAGGGGTTCTGCTCACTGGGTTTATGGGTGAGACGAGCACTCCCAGGAGGGCCACTGGGCCGGGAAGAACTGTGGAGAATCGGGGCACGCCCTGTCCTCCCAGCTGCCAGGGCACAGCATCCCTTCCCCACCTCAACACCCAGACCCCAGATTCACCCCAGTTCACTTGTCCCCACACGAGCCACAGGCTGCCACCTGGGGCAGGCTGGCCCCACCTTGGGGTTAGATGCAGGTCCCCTTGCCCCAGAAGGAGACTGCAGCCCCTGCAGACCTAGAAATGGCCACAGCCCATCCCCATGCACCAGGGGGTGAGGTGGCAGGTGGTGGAAAGGGCCTGAGGGGGGCTTCTTCCTTCCAGGCGAGCACGACCTCAGCGAGCACGACGGGGATGAGCAGAGCCGGCGGGTGGCGCAGGTCATCATCCCCAGCACGTACGTCCCGGGCACCACCAACCACGACATCGCGCTGCTCCGCCTGCACCAGCCCGTGGTCCTCACTGACCATGTGGTGCCCCTCTGCCTGCCCGAACGGACGTTCTCTGAGAGGACGCTGGCCTTCGTGCGCTTCTCATTGGTCAGCGGCTGGGGCCAGCTGCTGGACCGTGGCGCCACGGCCCTGGAGCTCATGGTCCTCAACGTGCCCCGGCTGATGACCCAGGACTGCCTGCAGCAGTCACGGAAGGTGGGAGACTCCCCAAATATCACGGAGTACATGTTCTGTGCCGGCTACTCGGATGGCAGCAAGGACTCCTGCAAGGGGGACAGTGGAGGCCCACATGCCACCCACTACCGGGGCACGTGGTACCTGACGGGCATCGTCAGCTGGGGCCAGGGCTGCGCAACCGTGGGCCACTTTGGGGTGTACACCAGGGTCTCCCAGTACATCGAGTGGCTGCAAAAGCTCATGCGCTCAGAGCCACGCCCAGGAGTCCTCCTGCGAGCCCCATTTCCCTAGCCCAGCAGCCCTGGCCTGTGGAGAGAAAGCCAAGGCTGCGTCGAACTGTCCTGGCACCAAATCCCATATATTCTTCTGCAGTTAATGGGGTAGAGGAGGGCATGGGAGGGAGGGAGAGGTGGGGAGGGAGACAGAGACAGAAACAGAGAGAGACAGAGACAGAGAGAGACTGAGGGAGAGACTCTGAGGACATGGAGAGAGACTCAAAGAGACTCCAAGATTCAAAGAGACTAATAGAGACACAGAGATGGAATAGAAAAGATGAGAGGCAGAGGCAGACAGGCGCTGGACAGAGGGGCAGGGGAGTGCCAAGGTTGTCCTGGAGGCAGACAGCCCAGCTGAGCCTCCTTACCTCCCTTCAGCCAAGCCCACCTGCACGTGATCTGCTGGCCTCAGGCTGCTGCTCTGCCTTCATTGCTGGAGACAGTAGAGGCATGAACACACATGGATGCACACACACACACGCCAATGCACACACACAGAGATATGCACACACACGGATGCACACACAGATGGTCACACAGAGATACGCAAACACACCGATGCACACGCACATAGAGATATGCACACACAGATGCACACACAGATATACACATGGATGCACGCACATGCCAATGCACGCACACATCAGTGCACACGGATGCACAGAGATATGCACACACCGATGTGCGCACACACAGATATGCACACACATGGATGAGCACACACACACCAATGCGCACACACACCGATGTACACACACAGATGCACACACAGATGCACACACACCGATGCTGACTCCATGTGTGCTGTCCTCTGAAGGCGGTTGTTTAGCTCTCACTTTTCTGGTTCTTATCCATTATCATCTTCACTTCAGACAATTCAGAAGCATCACCATGCATGGTGGCGAATGCCCCCAAACTCTCCCCCAAATGTATTTCTCCCTTCGCTGGGTGCCGGGCTGCACAGACTATTCCCCACCTGCTTCCCAGCTTCACAATAAACGGCTGCGTCTCCTCCGCACACCTGTGGTGCCTGCCACCCACTGGGTTGCCCATGATTCATTTTTGGAGCCCCCGGTGCTCATCCTCTGAGATGCTCTTTTCTTTCACAATTTTCAACATCACTGAAATGAACCCTCACATGGAAGCTATTTTTTAAAAACAAAAGCTGTTTGATAGATGTTTGAGGCTGTAGCTCCCAGGATCCTGTGGAATTGGATGTTCTCTCCCTGCCACAGCCCTTGTCAATGATATTTCACAGAGACCCTGGGAGCACCTGCTCAAGAGTCAGGGACACACGCATCACTAAATGCAAGTTCCCAGGCCCTGGCTGCAGTGGGAGGACCTGGCAAGCTGCACTCTTGCTGAGTCCCCAGGGTGGTGGAAGAAGAATGAGAAACACATGAACAGAGAAATGGGGAGGTGACAAACAGTGCCCCCACTCAGACTCCGGCAAGCACGGCTCAGAGAGTGGACTCGATGCCATCCCTGCAGGGCCGTCCTGGGCACCACTGGCACTCACAGCAGCAAGGTGGGCACCATTGGCACTCACAGCAGCAAGGCAGGCACCAGCAACCCACCTCGGGGGCACTCAGGCATCATCTACTTCAGAGCAGACAGGGTCTATGAACTACAGCCGTGGGCTGCTTCCAAGGCACCCTGCTCTTGTAAATAAAGTTTTATGGGAACACACCCATATTAGTGTCCATGGAGTGGCCGTGGCAGAGACGTCCAGCCGGACAGACCAGCTGACCCGCCAAGCCCAGCATGGTTAGTGTCAGGACCTCTGCTGAAGATGCTTGCTGACCCTGGCCAGACCCCGGTTCCTAATGCCCCCTAAACGGGACGGGAGCCAGTGGCGGGCCCTGATCCAGGTCAGAGCTGGCTCTGCTTTCTCTTTTGTCCGAGTGACCATGCCTCAGTTTCCTCATGTGTAAAACAGGAGCCCACCGTGATGCTTATGGTGGGATGAGATCAGCATGGATGGAACAAGGCCCTGGAAGGGCCCATGCCATGGTCATCGACAGCAAAGCCACTCTGCAGACAGATGCTTCAGTGAATTGGTAGAAAATTCTGCAACCAGAATGCCCGGGGCTCCTGAGGGCCTAAGCCCAGCCCAGGGTTCTGGAAGCCACTCTGACTTCTTGGGAGTGGAAGTTGGCAGGACTCTTCCTGGGAAGAAGCGGAGGGTGGGGATGAGAGGACAGTTCAGGAGCCCACCCAGACCCACAGGAGGAAACTAGGGGAGTCATGCGGGGTCCTGGTGGAGCGCCAGCCTCCCTTCCTGCCAATGGGAAATGCAGGCGCCCACCTCATGGTGCTGCCGGAGGAGGGGGCCCGGGACTCCCCAGAGGCTTCGCTGAAGGGCCTGGGCGCCCCCAAAGGCTACATGTTTCATATGGGACGTGCCACCTGCCACGGCTCAGCTCCAGCTTTCTGTGAGTGGCGAGATAGAATACGGGGAGGCCACTGGCCATGGGCCTGGGACAGGGTGGGATGAGGCGGCAGGCTTGGGCCACCAAAGCCAGCATCGCCACCCAGCATTGATGACAAAGACTGCGTGTCTGCCATGAGCATCCTGCTGTTGGTGCACACACCGCATTGGTCTCTCCATACAAACATGCCTAGAGGCGATGTCAGAGGGTGGAGACCAGGAGAGGCAGGAGTCAGACATCTGGTGCCACCAGGAAGGCCCTTCTCAGAGGACCAGGCTGTGCGTGGTGCCCGCCGTGGGAGGCCAGCCTGGCGTTGGCATCCAGCATCATCAGTTTGTGCAGTCGGGTGGGGCTCAGTGAGTGCCTCCTGTGTGCCAGGCACAATGACGCACAATGTGTGCACACCAGGCTCATGTGCAGGTGGCTGCGAGACAGGGCGACCCATCAAGGCAGATGCACCATGAGGCAGTGGCCAGTGCTGTGGGTGTTAGGGGCATTGCTCCCCGGCCACTACGGCATAGCAGGCAGTGATCGCCACACTGGCCAAGCTTTAGACCATTTATTCCAGAGACCCCAGAGGCAAAAAGCCCGGCTGCACCTCCCAGTGACTCCCACAGCCATTGAGCAGAGACACTCAGGACCTTGTGATGGGAGGTTTCTGCACTGGAGAACGAGCCCAGAAGCCCTCTCAGCCTCGGAACAGTGTGGCCAGTGGTGGGCAGGTCAGGAGGGGCTTCAGACACAGCCTGTCCCTCCAGATGGTCACGGGAAGGTCACTCCCCACAGAAGTACGTTTTGGGGCCATGCGGGCACAGAAGGTTTGGGGGTGGGTGGGGCAGGTGCCAGCCTGGCCTGTGGGAGGCCATGGTGCAGATGCCAAGCCCCCCCCGTGACATGAGACCACCTGATACCACCCAGAGAGTGGCTGTGAGCGGAAGGGCCCGCCCAGAAACAAGCAGGGCCTTGGGGCAGAAGTCCTGGGCTCAGATCCCACGCTCACTGCCAGCGGCCTCGGCTCAGGCTTCTGCGCTCTCTAAACTTAGTTTTCTCTTCTGGAAAAATGATGGGGAAAATGATATTTGTATGTGAGGACTGAGAGTTAAATGTAAACATCTGGAAACTACAAAATGAGCACGAAATGATGTTTTTATTCTTAGAACAGAAAGTCCCCACACCCGCGGCCCTGGTGACTGATGAGGATGAGGTTCTGCGGGGCCTCTCTGGCCGCCCAGCTCTGCCTGGGGAAGGTGGGGCCAGAGTGGATGTGTTCCCAGCGTGGTCACTCCCCTGCCTCGCCAGCAGGTCTCGGCTCCAATCAGGAGGCCTAAGCCAAGTGATAAGCAGCCAGACAACAGCCATCCCAGCTGGGGCGTGGACTTTGCTCCAGCAGCCTGTCCCAGTGAGGACAGGGACACAGTACTCGGCCACACCATGGGGCGCCCACTGCACCTCGTCCTGCTCAGTGCCTCCCTGGCTGGCCTCCTGCTGCTCGGGGAAAGTCGTAAGTGCCCCTCGCCCTTCAGACCCAAAAGCAGCGCCAGGGAGCAGGGAGGGGCGGCAGTTGGGGAAACCCTCTCATCTCTGCAGCCTGGACGGTGGGTGCCTTGAGTGCTGCCAGAGGCTGGGCTCGGATGGCTGGGCTTGGCCTTTCCAGCCAACGGCATCCTCAAGGCCAGCTGTGGCTCCCTGGGGCTGAGAGTCAGACGGGCGGATCAGAGGTCACAGAGACAAAAACACAAGGACAGAGTCAGAGAGAGAAAGGGAGAGGGAAGGAGAAACGGAGACACAGTGAGATGGGAGGCCAAGAGGCAGAGACAGAGGTAGAAAGACGGAGACAGAGAGAGAGGGAGGGGTTGGGGCAGGCAGAGACAGGACAGTTAGCCATCTGCCACCACAGGGAGGCACAGGACGAGGGGCACAGCAGAGGAGCTCCCAGGGAGGAGGAGGCTGAGCCGAGCCAGTGCCACCACTCTCGGACTGGCTCCGTCGGGGAAGGAGCTGCCTAATGCACAGCTGGACAGGTGGGGGCAGCAGGGCTGTCCAGGACCCCCGGGTCTGTCCAAAAGCAGAGGCCCAGACAGGACAGAAGCCAGGCAAGCCTGGGGACAGCGGAGGAAGAGGAGGCCCCTCTGGTGGGGACACGAGAGACAGGGACCCTAGACTTGTTTGCATCCTGGACAAAGTGGACAGGCAGGGGCACCAAGGGGACCCAGGCCTGGGAAGGGAATGTGTGAGGGAGAGACGGAGCAGGGGGAGACCCTCGTGGGGTGGAAAGGGGAGACCCCTGGGAAGGCTGAGTGGATCCTCAGTGCATCACTGACCTAAACGGCCCCTCCGCCTGGTGACTTGGAGCTCCAGTCACATCACACGGGGGTCTTCTCCATCCCACCCTCAACCCCCTGCCCTCCCCAGCCTCTGTCCCCTGAGCCACATCTTCCTGTCTCCCACGCGGAACGGGACTCCCGTCTTCATGGGGTACTGTGTGGCTCCAACTCGCCCAGCCTTCTTCCTCCCCCTCAGGCCACACTGCCCCCTGCAGGAGCCCACTGTGATGCTTGTGGTGGGATGAGATCAGCGTGGGTGGAACAAGGCCCTGGAAGGACCCATGCCATCATCATCGACAGCAAAGCTACTCTGCAAACAGACAGATGCTTCCGCGAATTGGTAGAAAATTCTGCAGCCGGAATGCTCTAGGATCCTGAGGCCCTAAGCCCGGCCCGGGGCTCCCGAGGCCCTAAGCCCGGCCCGGGACTCTGGAAGCTGCTCTGGCTTATTGGGAATGGAAGTTGGCAGGACTCCTCTTCCTGGGAAGAAGCAGAGGGTGGGGATGAGAAGACAGGCCAGGAGCCCACCCAGACCCACAGGAGGAAACTAGGGGAGTTATGCAGAGTCCTGGTGGAGCGCCAGCTTCCCTTCCTGCCAATGGGAAATGCAGGCGCCCACCTCGCGGACCTCTGGGTCCACAGGGTATTGGCACCCTTAGCTGTGTGATGCGGGCCTGGCTCATAACCATGGCCTGTGGTGTCCCCGGGGGCCGGCCTGGACCCTGGGTGGACATGGCCAGCCCCGGAGAGCCAGGGCCAGGCCATCTCTCTCCCCTACTCTGCCTCAGAGGCCTCGGCAGCTGCACTGTGGGGTGGGTGGGGCTGAACACAGGTCCCAGAAGGTCCCACTCAGGACCCTGCTGTGCACACTTTTGATTTTAATAAAATCAGAATGCGCACAGCATCTGCAGTCTAGCCTTTAAACGAGCACAGCTGTCCTGGCAGTCACGGAAGTTCTTCTGGGGCGGTGGGACCTCAGCATTCCTTTGCTGGTACTGCTACAAGAAAGGACAATGGACCAAGTAGCTTAAAGCAACAGAAACATTTCTCCCACAGCTCTGGAGGCTGGAAGTTCAAAATCAAGGCGTCAGCGGGGCTGGTTCCTCCAGAGGCTGGGAGAGAGTCTGCTCTAGGCCTGTTTCCTGGCCTCGGGGTGCCAGCGGCCTCACAGCCCATGGCTTGTGGGAGCATTGCTCCCATCGCTGCCTCCATCATCGCATGGGGTTCTCACCATGGCTGTTTTTCTGTCTTCTTTTCTCTCAGAAGGACACCAGTCATTGGATTTAGGGCTCACTCTACTCCCATAAAATGTCTTCCTAACTAAATACATCACAAAAGTTCTATTTCCAATTAAGGTCAGGTTCTGAGGTTCTGGGAAAGACATGAATTTGGAGGGACATTATTCAGCCCTGTCCTGCCACCTGTGAGTGTTTTCTGCAATCCAACTTTTTATTTTAATAAAATCAGAATACGCAGAGCACCTGCAGTGCCAGCCTTTAAACTACTGCTGTTGTACTGGCAATCATTAAAGCTACGTGGCTTCAGTTTCAATCTTTACATTCAACAAGTTTAAACCCATTCTTCATGAGTTTGGACCTTACTGACTGAAAATTTTGCTTGCTGGTAAAACTTGCTCAAATGCAGTTGCTGACTGTGGAATTCACTGATGTTGCCAAAACAACAAACACAACTGTGTGCTCGAGGATTGCAATGCTCCCAACAGCTTCTGAAGAAACAAACCACACGACAAATGTCTACCAATCTGGATGCTCCATATCAGAGTTCTAGAGTGTTCCATTAATTTCTTGAGACAAGTGCCTAAAAACCTTGTTTTAATTTCGTTTTGCCAAAATCCCATTTTACTCACATCAGAAAGTGTGGCCACGTGGCCCAGACCCGGCCTGCTCAGTCTGACTGAAGCGTTGATGCGACTCAGCCATAACAGATAGCAGAAGCGCCCAGATTCAGTCCAGAGGGCTGAGCCAGGCACGCCATCTTTCCTTCATTCCCTCAACACATATTGGTTAAGTTCCGGCCGTGCTAGGCACGGGCATACAGCTGTGACCAAACACGTCAAGTCTTTTTCCAGCGGAGGGAAGGATAAGCCTGTCAGCATGTAATGTCAGAGAGGGGTTGGGTGCTAGAAGACAAATAGCACAGTGTAAGGGGATGAAAGAGACACGAGTGGGGGCAACGTCAGAGGGCGTGGTCAGGGAGGGTGTCTCGGAGGGCGCTGGGCCTGAGCCACTTGGGTATCTGTGGAAAGAATGTTCCAGACAGGGAGGTGACTGGTGCAAAAGTCCTGGGGTGTGAGTGTTGGGCTCAGCCAGGGTCAGCGCAGAGCCCAGTGTGGCAGAGAGAGGTGAATGAGGGCAGAGTTGAAGGTGGTGAGGCCTGGGAGGCCTGGCCATGGGAAGACCCTGGGCTCTGTTCTAAGACCACTAGAGGCAGATTCTGGGTAGTCCTTGACTTCCTTGCATCACCCTTTCCACCCCGTGCCTGCCACCTGTACCCTCTTCCTCACACAGTCCAGCTCAACCTTATAGGCCGTGTCCTACCCCCATGAGCTGGGGAGAGCTGAGCAGGCTTCAGGGAGATGGGAAAAGGCGGGAACTGGACAGGGGCTGCAAAGGAAAGGTGACTTCTTACTGGTCAATCAGCCTGGGGATGCTCGGGGGTGGATGCCAAGGGGAACAGAGCTGTGGCCGCTATCACAGAACAGCGAGTTCCTCTAAGAGGTCAGAGGAGGCGCAAGGGATCGACCAGAGACAGTGAGGGCGTCAGGCTCCAGTTGAGTGGGGACCAATCCTTGTGGCAAGTCTGTGAACCATCACTGTGGCTCTAGGGTAGCAGAGAAAAAAGCAGGCATATGTCCATCTGGCCACAAGGAAGGAGACCAAGGGGAAGAGAGAAGGTACCAAGAGAGGTGTTCACATGGAGGTGCGTCAGAACACCGAGGGCAAGGCAGAACGCGGTCTTCAGACCCCAACTGGAGCCCAGGAGGCCCGCGAGTCCCAGTTTGGGAAACACTAAGCCAGGCTTGGATAACTTGTCTGAGGCTGTGGTCATCCCAACATGAGAGCCAGAGGCCCCAAGGGAGATGGGCATTCCCCACCCCTCAGCTTCCTCAGTGCCTTTTGTGGAGTGGAGGTGACATGAGGCTGCAGGTTGCAGGGAGCCACGTGTGGGCTGCATTTCAGAGCAAGTGTGTGGGAGTGGAGCAGACACGCAGAGTAATGGGGCAGGGTCAAGAAATAATAAATCTAAGTCTAGCGTTGGTGGGATAATGTCGGTGTCACTAAAAGAAATGGGGAATTTGGAAGGTAAAGTAACTGGAGGTAGGAATGAACCCAAGATTTACTAAGCACCTTCTGTATACCAAACTCAACACTAGGAGTTTATACAATCTTTAAAACAGCTCTAAGAGTAGATATTATAATTCCCTTCTGCCAATAATAAATAATAAGTGACTAAGGTGTTTTTGAAGCTCAAGATTGCTTGATTCTGCAGTCTTGTTTTAAATTTTGGACATGGAGAGTTTGGAGTTCTGAGATGAGGGAAGGCATCTGTCATAGTGAGAGAGCTGAAAACATGGAGCTCAGGACAAAAGTCAGTGCTAGAGAGATCAGTTGGAAGAGTTATCTTTATTGTAGTGAGACATTGAATTTTTCAGTGGAAAAAAAGCACAGAAAAAGACTACAGAGGGCCAAGAAAAGAAACTGAGGCTGTCAAAATGAAAAGAGGAGGAGGAGTGGGTGAGAGACAAAGGAGACACAGGCAGAGAGATGTGGACAGCACAGCCCACAGACACACACTCTACAAGGGACACAGACTCTCGGATCCAGGGCATTTTAACCAGCAGATCAAGACTCATTTGCCAGTCATGAAATCAACTCAGTATTTTTTTTTAAAAGAGTAGAATCAAATAGAAAACTTTGTACTAAGTACTGTATTTTAGGAAATACTAATAAATACTATTTCTTGAAAGTTGGCATGTATGTGTGTCCTGGCACTTCATAAATTGTACTATTATAGTTTGTAATTGAAACAGCATCACCAATCCCCACATAACAAAGAGCAGAGACCTTAAAGACGAGTGGGGCCAGGCTGAAGGGGCACAGCTTGAGCCAAAGCACAGAACAGTGGGCTGAAAGCACCCTAGGGAGGGAGAATTCAAGGAAGGGGGCTTGGGTGGCCAGGCTGAGCCAGCGTGAGCATGTGAGGAGGCTGGTGAGCTGATTGGGTGGGATGTGTCTACTTCTCCAGAGAAGGGTGCATGGGTCTAGAGCAGGTGCCTCATGCTGTACCTCATAGAGAACTGGGGGGAGGGGGGAAATGGGCATTTCCCTCCACAGCCCCCAAAGTGCCTGAGGAAAGTGTTGATAAAGAAGCCAAACTCTGTAAAATATTTGAAGAGATTTATTCTGAGCCAAATGTGAGGACCACGACCCATGACACAGCCTTGGAAGGTCCTGAGAACATGTGTCCAAGGTAGTTGGGTCACAGCTTGATTTTATGTATTTTAGGGGGACAGAAGTTACATACAGACACCAATCAATAAGCATAAGTTGTACACTGGTTCGTTCCAGAAAAGGGGAAGGTGGGGGCTTCCAGGTCATAGGTGGCTTCAAAGATATTCTGATTGGCAATCAGTTGAAAGAGTTATTATCTAAAGACCTGGAATAAATGGAAAGGAGTATCTGGGTTAAGATAAGAGGTTGTGGAGACCAAGGTTCTTGTTATGTAGATGAAGACTCATAGGTGGCCACCCTTAGAGGGAATAGATGGCAACTGTTTCCTCTTCAGACCTTTAAAAGGTGCTACACACATGGCCAGGCGCCTTGGCTCATCCTGTAATCCCAGCACTTTGGGAGGCTGAGGCAGGTGGATCACTTAAGGTCAGGAGTTCAAGACCAGCCTGGCCAACATGGTGAAACTCCATCTCTACTAAAAATACAAAAATTAGCCGGGTGTGGTGGTGCTTGCCTGTAGTTTCAGCTACTCGGGAGGCTGAGACAGTAGAATCTCCTCCTGAGGCAGGACAATGGCTTGAACCTGGGAGGCAGATGTTGCAGTGAGCTGAGATTGTGCCATTGCACTCCAGCCTGGATGACAGAGCAAAACACCATCTTAAAGAGAAAAAAAAAAAAAAAAAAAAAAAAAGGTGCTAGACTCTCAGCTCAGAAAAAGACCTGGAATGGTAAGGGGGTTCTCTACAGAATGTGGATTTCCCTGAGATAGCTTTGCAGGGCCATTTCAAAATATGTCAAACAAATACAATTTGGAGTAAAATCATTTATTTTAGGGCCTGCTATATGTCATGTGATCCTATACTAGAGAAGTCAGGTTGGAAACTGGTATCTTATTGCTACAAAGACTCTGTTTGGTCAGCCTCAAGGTCTCTTAACGTGAATGCTGGTCAGCTGTGCCCGAATTCCAAAGGAAGAAATAATGAGGCGTGTGGGACCTGCTTCCCCTCATGGCCTCAACTAGTCTTTCAGGTTCCTATGGAATTCCCTTGGCAGAGAGGACGGGTCCACTCAGTGAGTTGGGGGCTTAGAATTTTATTTTTGGTTTACAAGAGAGTGATCCGCCTTTTGTGATCTGGATATGGCAAGGGACATGGCAGTCAGGGAGCATAGGTGAGGGGGAGCCTGGGTGAGGGTGACCAGAGCTTTTAACCCTGTCCTCCCTGCCTTCCAGTGTTCATCCGCAGGGAGCAGGCCAACAACATCCTGGCGAGGGTCACGAGGGCCAATTCCTTTCTTGAAGAGATGAAGAAAGGACACCTCGAAAGAGAGTGCATGGAAGAGACCTGCTCATACGAAGAGGCCCGCGAGGTCTTTGAGGACAGCGACAAGACGGTAAGGGCTGGGGATAGCCTGGCTGTTGGTAAGGAGCTCAGGCCACAGCGCCCTCGCTGGCCCCGCTGCTCCGTCCATCCAGGGGGGCGGCCTGGAGGAAGGGGCAGCGTGCGCGAAGGCTTTCAGGGGCGGGGCCCAGCAAATCGAGGCCTCGGCGGAGTCCTGCCCACAGGGACATCAGTGCCGCCCCCGCGCTGACTCCTTCCCGGCGAGGACTCAGCGGGGAGGGATGCGCCCAAGTCCCTTGAGGGTCACAGGGCTTCTGCCAGAGTTAAGTTCTATTTAAAAATAAAATGTTAACCTAAAAACCAATAGTCATGGTCTCGGCCAGCGCCTCGCCGAGTTGCAGTGAGCTGAGATCGTGCCCTCCCACGCCCGCAGCCCGCGTCCTGCCTTGGCCTCCGTAGTCGCTGAGAGCCACAGCCTAGAGCGCCAGCGCGCAGGCGCACAACTGACGCCAGGCCACGAACCCAGTACTGCTCCTGCACAGCAGAAGCACTAGCACTGAGGCCGGGCGGCGAACCCGGCACTGCGCCTGCGCAGCAAAAGGACACGCACTGAGGCCAGGCCGCGAACCCAGCACGGTGCCTGCGCAGCAGGAAGACCGGCATCCACACCGGACGACGAACCCAGCATCGCGCCTGCGCAGTAGGAGGAGAGCAATGCCACCAGGCCGCGATTGCGCAGCCGCAGCAGCCCCGCGCGGAAGACGCTACCCTCCTCTCCCCCGAAGAGGCGGGGCTTCGAACGAACCTGGAAATGGCCGAGGGGTCTCGACTTCCTCACCCCAGGCATCAGGAAAGGTGCCTGCAGGACAGGGCTCTGAAGTGGAAGTGGGCGGTGGTGATGCCGAACTGACAAGAATGAGCTGAAGAGAAGAAAGTAGCCGAGAAGGGGGCCAAGCCGGAGCTCAGTGAGCAACAGCTAGGCCAGCCGCGGCTGGTGCCATCAGCCACACCACTAACTGTGGACCCAAATGGAAACTTTGAGGCCCCTTACAGGTCCCCCAGCGCAGGCCACCGCCGAAGGTTACTGGGGAAGACCCCTGCAGCTTCCATGTGGACATTACTCGCTTGCTTCATCCCGGAGTGCAGTCACCTGCAGCCTGGGACCACCTGACTGATGTCACCCTGGAGATCCATGCCAAAAGAGCTGGGGAAAGTTCACCTTCTAATGACCCCTGCGGACCAGGGTGAAGTTACAAGTTATGGCCAGGTCAAGGAATTATAAGTCAATAAATAAACTGCCTCAGGGAGACGTACTCAGAGTCCAGGAAAATCTAGGAAACACCAAGAAGGGCGAGCGCAGCATCAGCCCCTGCAAAATTGCACTGCTGCCTCCTGGCTCACATGTTGCCCCATCCTTACTTTAGCCTCAAAGGCAAGGAGACCCAATATTATTTGAGTACTTGGATTTGATCCTGAGTGACTTTCTGAGAAAGCAGTGTATCATCTGCCCTAAGATCACCACATATATGACAAGGTTTTTGGATGAGTTGAGATTTCTAGACATTGAAACCCTCATGATGAACGTCATCCCGGGTAGCAGGGGCTAAGCCTTTCATCACCTGCTACAACAAGCTGGACATTAACTTGTATTTGAGAATTGCTCCAGGACTCTACCTTCAGATGCTGGTTAGTAGCATTGACTGGATTTATGAAATTGGATGCCAGTTAAGGAATAAGAGAATGTATTTGATTTGCCACCCTATATGGTCTGTGCAGACTGTCATGATCTCATTGAAATCCAAGAAAAGATTATGTCAGGGATGAAGCACATCACAGGTGGTTACAAGGTCACCCACCATCCAGATGGCTCAGAAAGCCAAACCTATGGGTTGACTTCTCCTCACCCTTCTGGAGAATCAGTGTGGTAGAAGAGCTTGAAAAAGTGCTGGGTGTGACGCTGCCAGAAACTAACCTCTTTGGAACTGAAGAAACTCAAAAAATTATTGGTGATATCTATGTAACAAAAGCTTTTGAAAGTCTTCTACCTCAGAACATATTCAGGCGCCTTGATAAACTTGTCAAGGAGTTCCTGAAAGTGACTTACATCAGTCCCACATTTATCTGTTATCACCTGCAGATAATGAGCTCTTTGACCAAATGATCTCTCTAAGAGGGTCTCACTGAGCACTTTGAGCTATTTGTCATGAAGATAGCTGAATGTTTCCATGCAGCAACAGCAGCAGCTGTTGACAAACAAGACAAGGCCAGCAAAGATGATGAGGCCACATTCATAGATGAAAGCTTCCATGCAACCCTGGAATATGGGCTTCCGCCCACAGCTGGTTGGAGCGTGACAATCAAATGTGTTACCATGTTTCTCACAGACTCCCACAACATCAAGGAAATATTTCTGACTCCTGGCATGAAACTTGAAGAAAGAGAATGTAGCAGCCACTAATACAATGGAAAGCGCAACATTGACACGTCTATCTAGAAAATTTTAATTGTCTAAGTTGTGTGACTCAGATATCTTTGCATTTCTGCAAAAGATCAAGGTCTACTCTAATTCTTAATTAAATTAAGAATTCCTTTTTATTACTTGTTAGCAAATAAATGGCTTGTCTCTAACAGAAAAAATTTAGAATTTTCGGAAATATTTTCAAATACTTCTTATATATACATATATTTTTTTCCACTGGTAGAATTTTTCTTTAGTAAAAGTAAATAATGCTGATCCAAGTTTATGTTTCACTCAGCATCGTTTCTCAAACACTCTTCTTTACTTATATATAGCTACCCTATAGCTAAGCTATATTTTATTGTATGATGCATTTACTCTTTTCAGAGTTTGGCCATATAAGTTATTTCTAAATATTGCTATTAGGAAAACACATATGCATGCATTTCTTCTAGATTATCATCTAAGAGTGGCTTCTCCAGAGAGAGACGACTGAATTAAAGGTTATCAACAAGTTCCAATTCCAGATAAGATGAAGAAATCACATTCCACACTGCCTCTCCCACTGAGTGTAGCTCCAAAACATGGATAGAATGCATGTAGCAGCTATTTGACGACCCTAAAAAGTAAATCGCAGTGTATTGCAGAATAAGACTACAATTAGATGTATGATATGATACAACTGGCTGTGAGTTTATCATTTTTTCCTCCAGTCTTCCAGACATCACTTGACCTGAATCTAATGGACATTTATAGGATTCTCAACAATAGCAAAGTACACTTTCCTTCCACATATGGAAAATTCCTCAAGGTAGACTATATCCTGTGTCTTAAAGCATACCTCAATAAAAAGATTGAACTCACATAAAGTATGTTTTCTGACCATAATGGAATTAAAGTAAAAATTACTAACAGAAAAATAACTGGAAACTTCCCTAAGTACTCGGAAATTAAGTCACACATGTATAAATAATCTGTGAGTCAAAGAGAAAATTTTAAGGGGAGTAAGAAAGTATTTTGAGCTGAACAAAAATGAATATGTAACATAAAATCTGTGGGATGCAGCTAAAAAAGCAGTGTTTCAAGGGAAATTTATAGCATTAAATGCTCACATGGGAAAAGAAAGACGGTCTCAAATTGTTTATGTAAGCTTCCACTTTAATAAACTAGAAAAAAAGAAAAAAATAAACCAAAAGGAAATTGAAAAAGCAGAAATCAAAGAAATTTAAAACAAAAATAATAGACAAAATTAATAAGCTGATGAAACTCAAACAAGACTGACAGGAATAAAAACAAACAAACAAAAACAAGAAAAAGGACCTATGTTGGAAATGGAAGAGAGGGGACATCACTACAGAAACTGTAGATGTTAAATGTATAATAAGAAAATACTTTGAACAACTCTGCATATATAAATTTGCATGAGATTTGAACTTGGATGAAATGAGCCTATTCTTCAATACCACAAGCCACCAAAACATACACAAGGTGAAAGAGATACCTGCCAATTCAATTCTTAATTTAAAACCTTCTGAAAAAGTAATGTTCAGGTACAGATGGTTTCACTGGTAGAATTTTACCAAACATTTCAAAAAGAACACCAATTCTATACAACTCTTCCAGAACATAGAAGAGGGAACACTTCTTAGTTTGTCTTAGGCCAGCATTACCCTGATGTCAAAACCAGACAAATACTGAAAACAAAAACCACCCTACGTAACAATATCTCTCATGAATCTAGACATAAAAATCCTCAACAAAATATTAGCAAACGGTGCAGCAATATATTTTTAAAAGAGTAATAATACACCATGACCAAGTGAGTTTTTCTGGGGCACACATGACTGGCTCAATATTTAAAAATAATTATGTAATCCACCATATAAACAAAAGAGAACATCCACATAATCATGTCAATTGATGCAACAAACAAATCTGGCAAAATTTAACATCCATTTATGATTTTATAAAAAACCTATCAGCAGAATATGAATAGGAGGGAATTTTATGAACATAATAAAGTTCATCTACAAAGAGTCTACAGTTGATATTATACTTAAAGGTGAAAACTGAAGGTTTTCTCCCTGAGACTGGAACAACACAAGAATGTCCATTCCCAACACTCCTAATTCAACATTATACTGGAAGTCCTAGCTCTAAGGAAGGCCTTCAGTAAGTCAAGAAAAAGAAATAAAGTTATCACTATTTGAAGATGACATGATCATGCATATAGAAAATCCTAAAGAATGTGAAGGGGAAAAAAGCTTGTTTTAGTCCCTTCTCACGCTGCTGTGAAGAACTACCCGAGACTGGGTAATTTATAAAGGAAAAAAGGTTTAATTGACTCAGTTCTACATGTCTAAGGAGACCTCAGTAAACTTACAATCATGGCAGAAAAGGAAGCAAACGTGCTCTTCTTCACATGGCTGTAGGAGGGAGAAGAATGAGAGCCGAGCAAAAGGGGAATCCTCTTAAAAAAAATCAGATCTCATGAGAACATACTCCCACGAGAACAGCATGGAGGAACCACCCTCACGATTCAGTTACCTCCCACTTGGTCCCTCTCACTACACATGGGGATTATGGGAACTACAATTCAAGATGAGATTTGGGTGGGGACAGAGCCAAACCATATCAATGCTCCTAAAATTTGCAAATGAGTGTAACAAGGTCACAGAATACAAGGTCAGCACATGTGTTAATCACATTTTTATGTAATAGCAATGCACAGTTATTTGTAAGCCAAAAATTTTTAAATGCCATTTACAATTGCTTCAAAGAAAATTATATACTTATATGTAAAGCTAATAAAACATATACAGGATCTTTATCCCAAAATCTACAAAATTCCAATGAAAGTATTTAAACAGACCTAAATAAATAGAGACACATACAGTGTTCATGGATTGAAAGACTCAACATATTAAGATATCAATTTTCGGCCGGGCGCGGTGGCTCATGCCTGTAATCCCAGCACTTTGGGAGACCGAGGTGGGTGGATCACCTAAGGTCGGGAGTTCGAGACCAGCCTGGCCAACATGGTGAAACCCCGTCTCTACTAAAAAAATACAAAAATTAGCTGGGCGTGGTGGTGTGCGCCTGTAATCCCAGCTACTCGGGAGGCTGAGGCAGGAGAATCACTTGAACCTGGGAGGTGAAGGTTGCAGTGAGCCAAGATCAAGCCATTGCACTCCAGCCTGGGCAACAAGAGCGAAACTCTGTCTCCAAAAAAAAAAAAACAAAAGAAAAGAAAGAATTGTCTTTTTCAACAAATTATATTAGTCTCAGTCTGTTTGTGCTTCTATAACAAAATAGATCAGACTGGGTAAATTATAAACAGAATAAGGTTATTGCTCACAGTTATGGAGGCTGGGAAGTCCTCCAAGATCAAGAAACCAGCAGATATGGGGCCTGATGAGGGCCTGGTCTCTGCTTCCAAGACGGTGCCTCATGGCTGTATCCTCACCTGACAGAAGGCAGAAGCACAGAAGGGACAAACACTGTGTGAAGCCTCTTTTATAAGGACATTAATCCTATTCACAAGGGCAGAGCCTTCATGGCCTAATCACCTCCTAAAGATCTCACCCTTAATACTATTACATTGTCGATTAAATTTTAACATATGTATGGGGGGCATGTTGAGACCATAGCAGTGTTGGAACAATTATATATTTATATGCAAAAAAATGAACCTGACCTAAACTTCACAATTATACAAAAATTAACACAATATAGATAATAGATCCAAACATAAAATACAAAACTATAAAACTTTTAGGAGAAAATACAACAAAATTTATGACATGGAGCTAGGCAAAAATTCTTAGACATTGACACCAAAAGAATGATTAATAAAAGAAAAAAGTCATAAATTGGACTTTATCAAAATTAAAACCTTTTGCACTTCAGAAATAAACACTGTTAAGAGGATGAAAATACAAGCTACAAACTAAGAGAAAATATTTGCAAATCACATATCCAACAAAGGAATCATATTCGGAATATATAAAGAAATCTTAACAGATCAGAAGAAGAAAATAAACACTCAGTTAAACAAAAGACCTTAACAGCCAACTCGCCAAAGAGGATATATGGATAGAAAATAAACATGTGAGAAGATACTCAACATTATTAGCTCTTACAGAAATGCAGATAAAAACCACAATAAGAACGACTATATACTCATAGAGTAAAAAACACTGACACAGAACAGCGCTGGTTAAGACACGGAGAAAGCAGAACTTTGATACACTGCTCGTGGGAATGCAAAATGGCACGGCCACTTTGAAAAGGAATTTGACAGTTTCTTATAAAGTTATATAAGGTTACCACAGGACTCGGCAATCCCATTTCTGGGCATTTACCCTAGAGAAATGAAAACTTATTTCCACATAAAATCCTGTACATAAATGTCTATAGCAACTCTAGTCTTTTTTTTTTTTTTTAATTTTTATTTTTTGAGACAGAGTCTTCCCGTTGCCCAGGCTGGGGTGCAATGGCACAATCTCGGCTCACTACAACCTCCTCCTCTCAGGTTCAAGTGATTCTCCTGCCTCAGCCTCCCAAGTAGCTGGGATTACAGGTGTGTGCCACCATGGCAGGCTAATTCTTGTACTTTTTTTTTTTTTTTTTTTTTTTTTTTTTTTTTTTGAGACGGAGTCTCGCTCTGTCGCCCAGGCTGGAGTGCAGTGGCGGGATCTCGGCTCACTGCAAGCTCCGCCTCCCGGGTTCACGCCATTCTCCTGCCTCAGCCTCCCAAGTAGCTGGGACTACAGGCGCCCGCCACTACGCCCGGCTAATTTTTTGTATTTTTAGTAGAGACGGGGTTTCACCGTTTTAGCTGGGATGGTCTCGATCTCCTGACCTCGTGATCCGCCCGCCTCGGCCTCCCAAAGTGCTGGGATTACAGGCGTGAGCCACCGCGCCCGGCCAATTCTTGTACTTTTAGTAGAGATGGGGTTTCACCATGTTGGCCAGGCTGGTCTCGAACTCCTGACCTCAAGTGATCCACCCGCCTCAGCCTCCCAAAGTGCTGGGATTATAGGCGTGAGGCACCACGCCTGGCCAGCAACTCTATTCTTAATTGCCAAAAGCTGGAAGTAAGATAAATGTCTTTTGCTGGGTGTACCCATACAATATAACAGTTGTCAGCAACAACAAGTAAGAAAGTATTGATACAACTTGCATGAATTTCAAAGGCTTTGTATTGAATGAAAAGCTAGTTTCACAAGGTCCTATAATAAACACTTTCATTTACATGACATGCTCAATAGGTTGTTATCATTGTGATAAAGAATAGATTAGTGGTGGGACAGGGTTTGCCAAGGGTTGGCAGGTGGGGGAGATGGCATGGGGTATTTGGGGGGGAAGGATGGACCTGTACTGCATCCTGATGATGCTGGTGGCTACAGAAGTCTCTCCATGTGTTGAAATTCATAGAAGTGTACACCAAAACATTGGTTTTGCTGTGTGAGAATTTTAAAAGTAAAAAAGTAAGAAGATAGTGTATTTGCTTCCTAGGGCAACCATAACAAAGCACTACAAACGCCTTAAAATAACAGGGATTTATTGTCGCAGCTTTGGAGACAAGTCTGAAATTAGGGTGTCAGCAGTGTTGGTTCCTTCTGGAGGCTCTGGGAGAGTCTCTGTCCCAGGCTCTCTGCTCGCTTCCAGGAGCACCCGGCAATCATGGGCATCCTTGGGCTGCGGACGCGTCGCTCCTGTCTCTGCTTTCATCTTCGCATGGCCTTCTCTCTCTGTGCCTCTGTGTGACTTTTTCTGTCTCTTATAAGGACTTTCTCCTTTATTTAGGGCCCACACTGACCCAGCATGATCTCTTCTACAGCCTTGGCTTAGTTAACATCTGCAAAGACCCGATTTCCAATTAAGGTTCTATTCTGAGGCTGCAGGTGGACCTGAATTAGCAGGGAGGGCACTATTCAACCAACTGTAGAGAGTTAAAAAACAATAAGCCTGTGGACATTTTTTAGCGTAATCTAGGCTCTTGATGACCTGTTTTAAACTAATCAGCAATGAATATTTTTCAGCTAACGTAATGACTATTGACAAGCACGTGACCCTTGTCTGAATGTTAACTCAGGCATAGCAACTAAAAACCATCCATTGACCAGCTCGGGAGTAGCAAACAGAGCAAGCCATTCTTGGTGCAACCTGTTTCTAGGTAATTAACTTGAAAATATTTTCAATATTCAACAAAGATGGTTCATTTAAGATGACTGAAGCCACATCTTCACAGATGCAGAAGATCTGAATAGCTTTCCTCTTTAGATTGAATAGTTCTAGAACAATTCATTCCTAAAAGTGACTTCCATTGGGGAAAATATCCTATTCAGCTTGAGTCACTTAATTATGGTTGTTATTGGTATAAAATGTCTCTGTTTTCCCTAATATATTTTTAAATTTCTTTTTTCCTTTTAGAATGAATTCTGGAATAAATACAAAGGTCAGTATTTTTTCTGTTTTAACCTTCAGTGAGAGGGGTTCATCAGGATATTTGAATTTTGAAAATAGTTCCTGAATTTCCTTTCTGCTTTTGTTCTCATTTTACTCATTTAAGACTTTTTCCCTCAGGGTGTTTCCATAATAGTTATTGTAAAAGAGTTTTTAGAGTAATTTTATACTAATCCTAGTTTTGTTATTGAGTTAGAGATATATATTTAAATCAGTTCATTCTCATTTGAGGATACCAAATTCCATGATAACTTTTCTTAAATAAAAGTGTATTCGGTAAAAGCAAAAAACAGAGTCTGAAAGATTAGATTCCCGACTAAGGTAACCACCTTGATTTAATGCTTAATAGCATCTGAAGTGGCCTCAGTCATGACTACCTGGTAACAGTATTCACATTTCTCAAAATGACAACTGGGCCTATCTCTAAATGAGATTGTGTAAATCCTCCAAGAAATGGGAAGCCCCGTGTTAGTGTTTGCCTTCTCCTTTTGCCCCAGGATGATTTGGAAAGAGGAACCCTAACCTCCTCTCCCGTCAAGGCCCAGCCCAGAAATGAGCATCAGGCTCTCACCTTTCCTCCATCCTTCCAGTTGGTCCCTGTGGTCACCTCTGACTGTAAACACACTGCAAAACACCGGCAAAAATCAAAAAGCTGGGCCGGTGATCCACCTAGATAAAGGCATCACGTACACATGGCCACAAAAGGGGGTGGATCAAATAAAGTCCAAAGAGGGGGAGTTGTTTACAGAGAAACCGGAAGACTCTTCCAGTTATCTGAACGGCAGGGCCAAGGTTAGCACAGCAAAACTGTTTCCATGATGCCGGAAACAGCTTGCAGACTCCAGTTTCGAAATCCTCTCTTTGCAGATGGCGACCAGTGTGAGACCAGTCCTTGCCAGAACCAGGGCAAATGTAAAGACGGCCTCGGGGAATACACCTGCACCTGTTTAGAAGGATTCGAAGGCAAAAACTGTGAATTATGTAGGTTCCTCTGCTTGGTATACCTTCAGATCAGATGCCCCTGAAGAGTGGCAGGTGGGCGGGGGAAGAAGTGAAAACGCCTAATGAAACAATCTTAAGTCATTTCTGATTTACAAAGTCTGGGCTCTATTATACCTATTATACTGTGCCACTATAGCAATAGAAAAAAAAGCCCCAATATGTCCCCCAAACGATTCGGTTTGGGGGCATGATGAGAGAGACACAGTCACTTCTCTGCTCCTCCGAGAGAGACTGTAGAACATTGATGAAGCGTGTGATCCATTCATGTGTAAACAGGAGTGGACTCTCTGTTTTCCTTGGGGCCAAGTGCATTGCCCTGTTATTCCTGCTCCTTGTGACCCTGTGCAGTGATTCTAAATCACCTCTTATTTATGTGTATGGATGCAGGTGTCAATATTTGTGAATATTTGTGATTGGCCAATTATAAAAATTTGATACATTTAATTAGTTCTACGTGGAAAAATCACTAAGTGCTTTCTCTAATGTGGTGATTAAGTTTTAAATAAAAAGTTAGGCTACTGTTAGATCAATTTCCCTAAGGAAAAAGATTTGCATTTCTTTTAAAGTACTTAATTGATCATCTTTTTTTTTTTTTTTTTTGAGATGGAGTCTCGCTCTGTGGCCCAGGCTAGAGTGCAGTGGCACGATCTCAGCTCACCGCAAGCTCCGCCTGCCAGGTTCACGCCATTCTCCTGCCTCAGCCTCCCAAGTAGCTGGGACTATAGGCCCCGGCCACCAGTCCCGGCTAATTTTTTTTTTTTTTAATTTTTTAGTGGAGACGGGGTTTCACCGTGTTAGCCAGGATGGTCTCGATCTCCTGACCTGGTGATCCGCCCGCTTCGACCTCCCAAAGTGCTGGGATTACAGGCGTGAGGCACAGCGCCGGCCTAATTGATCATCTTTAGACTGTGTTCTTAGATTGGATTACTTTTGAGTTTTCCCTGATGAGAATATCAATTACGCATCATTCCATTCCAAGTCCGCAGTCGCCTCCCTGGAACACCATTTGGTAACTTATGAGGCATAACCCTGTTCAGGCTCCCAGGGCTATTATGCACATTTTCTAAAATTTCAGGCATGTTGATCTTTGCACTGTGATTACTTTTTCATCAAAAGCCACACAGAGGGATGTGGAGTGACCGTAATGTGAGTGCTGCTGGGGCAGGGGGTACCGGCCATCCCGGAGGTGTGAGGGGCAGGTACCTGGAGCCTGGCTTCTGGCTACACCGGGCACTGCACCATGAGCTCCCCGTGACCCGTGAGGTTGCCCTTCAAGGCAAGTGTACCTGTCGCCTGGCTCTGGCCCTTTGCTCAACCCAATGGCCGCTTTGTGGCTGACAGGCAAGTGGATGTAGCTGGCACCCTTGGGCCAGCCCAGCCTCCATTTCTCCAGCTGTCCCCAGAGCCAACGTGCCTCTCCTTTGCAGTCACACGGAAGCTCTGCAGCCTGGACAACGGGGACTGTGACCAGTTCTGCCACGAGGAACAGAACTCTGTGGTGTGCTCCTGCGCCCGCGGGTACACCCTGGCTGACAACGGCAAGGCCTGCATTCCCACAGGTAGGAGGCACGTTGGGCCACAGCCACCCGCTGCCGCTGGGCCGGGCCAGGGAGGACAAGCCCGTGCCAGGGGGTGGGGACACAGGCATGTTCTGGGCGGGCCTGGCAGGTAACAGTGACACCAAGAGGACAGGACTGAGCCCTGGGCTCCGGGCCCAGGTGGTTCAAACATGAAGACCATGAGGTTTGGAAACAGACCCATTATTTCTGTAAGCCAGATCTGCTGTTTAACCTCAGCTTCCCCATCTGACAAATGGGACCAACACTATTGCCTGACTGCTTGGGTGATCCCTGGAGCACTTTGCATGATGCCTGGCCCACCGCAGGCCCTCAGTCTGCATTGGGACTGTGGGGGGATCCAGTGCAAGGGCTCAAAGCACCAGGGCAGGCAAAGGGCAGAGCTGGCCCGAGGAACTGGAGCTAAGGTGCGGGGCTGGGATAGGAGTCAGGGGACGCTCAGGCTCTGAGCTCCTTTTACCAGGACCAGTGTTCATTGAACGTAGTTTTTCTTTTCCTTGATGAATGTGGACAACAGGCGGCCAGAGGGCAGTGAGCACAGGACAGGCAGGGGACTGGGCAGGGTGGGGACGAGCCTCCCTGTCCTGACCCCGTGGGCATTGCCTACGCTGGGCTTGCCTGGCTGCCGGCACTTCCACACGGCCAGCACACATGAGGCCCTCGAAGGCGGGGCCTAGGCGTCACAGCTGCACCTTGCACAGCAACCCCACTCCCACTCATAGCTGGCCCGACCCGCAGCGTTGGCCTCACCCGGGGGCATATTCGAAGGGCAGAGTTCCAGGCCCGCCTTTTCAAGAGCCTGGTGACCCAGCTCACCTTCCGGCTTCAGGTGCGGCTCAGCCCCCAGACCGTGTTCTGCCCCCGGCTACCATGACTGTCCCCTCCAGACACAGGTTACTCCCGAGTGTTCTGTCACTCTTCCTTTCATATCCTTCTTACCGAAAACAATTTACTTCCAAAGATGAGTGATCACGAAAAGACCGGGTTCCATATGCATCCTTCAAGCGCTGCTTCAATTATGTGCCTGAAACATCTCAGCAAGTGAAAGACACTGTGGCTGACCTTGCTACTGGCAATGACATTCAAGCTTAAGCTGGTTAAAAAATATTTTAACTGAAGTCATTTCTTGACATACACACGAATATTTTTTAATTCTAGAAACAATCACAAATCCATTTAAAACCAAGTGTGGGCCGGGTGCAGTAGCTCATGCCTGTAATCCCAGCATTTTGGGAGGCCAAGGCGGGCGGATCATGAGGTCAGGAGATCGAGACCATCCTGGCCAACACAGTGAAACCCCGTCTCTAGTAAAAATACAAAAAAAAAAAAAAATTAGCTGGGCATGGTGGTGCACGCCTGTAGTCCCAGCTGCTCAGGAGGCTGAGGCAAGAGAATGGCGTGAACCTGGAAGGCGGAGCTTGCACTGAGCACTGAGCCGAGATTGCGCCACTGCGCTCCAGCCTGGGCAACAGAATGAGACTCTGTCTCAAAAAAAAAAAAAAAAAAAAAATCAAAAGGCAAATGTGATGTGTGAAAATAAAATTACATAATCTACTTTGTAGTGCAAAAAGTTCAGGCTGGGCAAGGTGGCTCACGCCTGTAATCCCAGCACTTTGGGAAGCCAAGGTGGGTGGATCACCTGAGGTCAGGAGTTCAAGACCAGCCTGGCCAACATGGTGAAACCCTGTCTCTATAAAAAAAAAAATACAAAAACTTAGCTGGGCGTGGTGGCGCACGCCTGTAATCCCAGCTACTCGGGAGGCTGAGGCAGGAGAATCGCCTGAACCCAGGAGGTGGAGGTTGCAATGAGCCAAGATCATGCCATTGCACTCCAGCCTGGGAGACAAGAGAGAAACTCCATCTCAAAAAAAAAAAAAAGTTCAGTTCCAAATAATGGATGAACTCAGAACTTGGAAGGGTGGTGACTGCACACATGGACAGAGCTGAGGCACGGCGGGGTGGAGGCCCCTGCGGCTGGCAGATTCACCGGAGCCTCCTCAGACTGCGCAGGAGCACAGCAAGTAAACAGCTAAGCTGTGCCCATCTGACCCCAGACACGTGTGGCCACAGAGAAGCCCCTTGCCATCCATTCCCCCCTCCTCTCCTCTCCTGCTCCCCCACACCCCTGCCTTCCTCCAACATGTTTCAGCCATTCTCTTGGCCTTGGTGCCCTAATTGGCCGTTATACAAAAGGAAGCTTCCTAACATCTCGGCGTGGCCTCTCTGGGAGCTGTGCTATTCCAGACGCTCTCCTGTGCCTCCAGTTGTTTGCGTGCGCCATTCCTTCTGCCTGAAAACTTTTTTTTCTTCAATGTTTCATTAGGAAAAGTTTTCCAACACACAGCACACTGGAAAGAATTTTGCAGGGAGTCGCACACGCCCAGCACTTGGGTTCTCCTGTTGGCATCCTCCGGCCAGATGCATTCATCCCATTTCGCCCGGCCCGTTTGTCTCTGTCCATCCGTCAAGCTTTCTTGACTTCTTGGTGCATTTTCAGGCAAACCGCAGACGCCAACACTCCCCTCGCTGCCTGGGTTGCTGCCTGGCGTCCATTGTTCACAGGCGGTCACCTGAGGGGAGGCCAACGCTCGGACAGCTGCGCTCACCTGCAGATCCGACCCCTGCCGACGACGTGGGGCCTCGCCCTGCAAGCCCGCTGCCCCTCCGGGTGCCCCTGCGCTCTGCCTCCCGGCTCTCTGACTCTTCTCCCTCAGGGTGAGCTGTGCAGGCTATGGGGAGCCTCTCTCTGTGCTGAAGGCCCCGGCCGTCCTCTTTCTTTCAGGGCCCTACCCCTGTGGGAAACAGACCCTGGAACGCAGGAAGAGGTCAGTGGCCCAGGCCACCAGCAGCAGCGGGGAGGCCCCTGACAGCATCACATGGAAGCCATATGATGCAGCCGACCTGGACCCCACCGAGAACCCCTTCGACCTGCTTGACTTCAACCAGACGCAGCCTGAGAGGGGCGACAACAACCTCACCAGGATCGTGGGAGGCCAGGAATGCAAGGACGGGGAGTGTCCCTGGCAGGTAACAGTAGGATGTCCCCTCGGGCCTGCTGGAGAGACCACCTGTCCCGCTGTGCACCTCGGGGAGGCCAGCCTGACACTTGGAATAGCAATCCGGGAAGGAACTGTTCCGAACTAGGACAGAGGGGCTCCGCCACCCAAGCCTGCCTGCCTGTCCCCTCCCTCCGGGCAGCCAAGGAGGCTGTGAGCTCCACAGGGAAGTGGCCGGGGCTGAGGGAGAGGCTGGGCCCAGGCAACGCCCCCCTCAGCCCCTTCCCACTGGGCATTTCCATGGCTGCCCGTGGCATGCCCAGGACGATGCTGTCCTGTGAAACAGAAGAGAGGGAGAAGGCGCAGCCACACGCTCAAGTGTCCTCAAACCTCCCCTACACCAGGAGACAAGGCTAAAGCCAGGGAGCCACCCACACTGCAGGGGCATCAGCGGGCAGGAGGACGGTGCCGGGTGGGCAAGGCCTCCATCTGCTCTTCTGTTTGACGGGAGGCAGAAAGAGTTGGTGTCCTCGCTTCATTTCTAATTTTGGAATTTTTTTACCCAAACACCTAAATCCTATGGAGGTAGATAGTACCTTAGAGAAAAACACATCTACTTATTTTCAAAGGTAAAAAAGAAAATCACTCTTTGAGGCTTTTTTGTTAAGAGACAGTACCTTGCTCTGTTGCCCAGGCTGGAGTGCAGTGTCGCGATCTCGGCTCACTGCAACCTCCACCTCCTGGGTTCAAGCGATTCTCATGCCTCAGACTCCCAAGTAGCTGGAATTACGGGCGCCCGCTACTTACGCCTGGCTAATTTTTTTTTTTTTTTGAGACGGAGTCTCACTCTGTCGCCCAGGCTGGAGTGCAGTGGCGCGATCTCGGCTCACTGCAACCTCCACCTCCCAGGTTCATGTCATTCTCCTGCTTCAGCCTCCCGAGTAGCTGGGACTACAGGCGCCTGCCACCACGCCCAGCTAATTTTTTTTGTATTTTTAGTAGAGACGGGGTTTCACCGTGTTAGCCAGGATGGTCTCCATCTCCTGACCTGGTGATCTGCCCACCTCAGCCTCCCAAAGTGCTGGGATTACAGGCGTGAGACAATGTGCCCGGCCATGCCTGGCTAATTTTTTTATTTTTAATAGAGACAGGAATTTCACCATGTTGGCCAGGCTGGTCTCAAACTCCAGGCCTCATGTGATCCACCCTCCTCAGCCACCCAAAGTGCTGGAGTTACAGGTGTGAGCCACTATACCAGGTCCTAATCTTTGATTGTTGATTTGGACTAATGCTGCCAGATTAAACAAATAAAAGCACAATACTTTCAATTAAATTTCAATTTCACATAAACTAGAAATACATTAAACAAAAGCACAATACTTTCAATTAAATTTCAATTTCACATAAACTAGAAATACTTTCAGTGTAAGTATGTTCCAAGTATCGCATGAAGCATACATATGCGAAAAATTATTTGCTGTTTATCTGATTCAAGTCAAACTAGGTGTATTAGTCAGTTTTCACACTGCTGACACATACATACCCGAGACTGGGTAATTTATAAAGAAAAAGAGGTTGAATGAACTCACAGTTCCACGTGGCTGGGGAGGCCTCACCGTCACGGTGGAAGGCGCAAGGCACGTCTTACATGGCGGCAGCAAGACAGAGAATGAGAGAACAAGCAAAAGGGGTTTCCCCTTAGAAAACCATCAGCTCTTGTGAGACTTATTCACTTCCACCAGAACAGCATGGGGAAACCGCCCTCACGATTCAGTTACCTCCCACCAGGTCCCTCCCACAACACACGGGAAATATGGGAGCTACAGTTTGAGATGAGATTTGGGTGGGGACACAGCCAAACCTTGTTGCTGGGCATCCTGTATTTTCTCTGGCAATCCTCACTTGGACTTGAATTTTCAGCGCCCAAAACCAGAATGTCCTCTCCTACAAGCAAGAATCTCAGAGCTGCCAGCGCCCCCATGAATTCCCCCAGGTCTTCCCCCACCCCAGACCGTGTGGCGGGTGAGCCTCTGTCTAACTATAAAGAGCCAAGCGAGAGAGGGATGCACTGAGGTGGCTCTGCAATGCATGTTTGTTGAGGGCCTTCTGTGTGTCAGGCACTGAGCCGGGTGCTGTGTAGGTGGGATATGAAACCATGAAGCCTCTCTGTGACCAATACACAGAAATCTCAACCTAGTTAGGGAGCTGAGACCGAAATCCTCCCAGTCCCAGGCACTGTGTGGTTGGGGCAAGAACCTCGATGCAGGAGACCCCACCGAGGATGAGCAGGAAAAGCCTCTTGTGGGGCTGAGGAGCTGGACTTGGAGCTGCAGGCGGGGTTTTGGAGGGGTTCCTGGGCTGGGGGACCAGGGTGGGGCGCCCTGGAGGGCTCACTGGAGGGGCCCTCGCCCAGCCTGTTGAGGTTTGCGATTCTTGTTTCCTGGTTCGAGTCTTGGCAAGTGGGCCTCATCTGCATCTTTAGGAAGAATGGTTGGTGTTCGTGTCTTAGAAAGCCTGACTTTCCCTCATGTAAGCTGGATGATGAGTTGACAAATTATGCAAAAAAGAGGCAAAAACATGACCCCTTTTCTAGCCATGAATGTTTTAAGAAATGTTTTAAGACTCGGTATTGTCAGTAGTTTCATTGGTCTGTACATGTGCCCAGCCACTATCACAGGACGGGAAACTCCCCAGAGAAAAGAAAACCAAAATATGCCCGGGCTCCAAACTTGCAAGTCCAGCTCCCTAGGGACAGCATGTGGCACCCCTGTCAGTGCTTGCTCCCCTGGGACCGTGTTCCAAGTCCTGGCAGGTAGGAGACCCTTCACAGGAGCTGCCACAGGGACCCCCAGGAAGTCACCTGGGATGGAGGTGTCCGTGCACCATGGGGGACAGGCTCACACTGCTGAACCGTCGGGACACCAGGCAGGCACACCGGTTGAGGCAGATGATGTTTCTGCACAGACTGGCGTCTCCTGGTCCCAGGTAGAAATCCTGCCACAGAGACGGGAAAGGCTGCTCCCACAGGGAGCATCTTTTCCAAAGCATGGACAGATGTGTCGTGTGCATGAGACTTTAGAGAGCTCTGTGATGGAGTTGGTAGAAAGAAGAGATGACTCCCTATATCAGTGAGTGTGTGGCACAGGCAGAGAAAAGAGACAGACAAGGAACTGTCCTTGGGTGGATGGCAGGAGACCGAAGAGGACAGCTTGGCATGGGGAGGGCCGGGCAGTGCCACCTGAAGAGCTGGCTTCTCAGTCAGGCAACACCTGTCCACCTGGCCAGCCACACTGAGCCTGTCACGTCTGTCACAGGCCCTGCTCATCAATGAGGAAAACGAGGGTTTCTGTGGTGGAACCATTCTGAGCGAGTTCTACATCCTAACGGCAGCCCACTGTCTCTACCAAGCCAAGAGATTCAAGGTGAGGGTAGGTAAGTGACCAACAGCCCCCAGGGCCGTGGTGAGGGGCACCGTCACTGTCTGCTTTTCAGAAACCACTAAAGCTGATGGAATTTGTTGGGAACACTGGTTGAAATCCTGAAATCCTATTTGTAGGGGTTAGGGGCATTTCACAGAGGAAGAAGATGAGGAAGCAGAGGAAGGGGAAGAGTGGGGAGGAGGACGGGGAGGGGAGGCGAACCAGCCCAGCCCTTCTCCCACTGGGTGTCCAGGTCTCGGGTCTCCGAGTCTCTGGGTCCCGGGTCTCTGGGTCTGCATGTCCAGCTAATGTTCTGTGTCTCAGTGTCTTTTATTGGGAGCCTTCCAGACCTCCCTTTCTCTTTAACATACTCTGAACACCAAGCACCTCTGTCTCTTCTATTTTTATTTGTGGGATTGTTTCATTAACATCTGTCTTTGTCCACTAGACCCTAGAGCTGCTCAGTACAAACCCAACACAAGCTACAAATGCAAGCAATATATGTAAACTGATATTTTTCTAACATTAAATGTTCTATTATACATTTTAAAATATAAAAAAACAGGCTGGGTGTGGTGGCTCATGCCTGTAATCCCAGCACTTTGGGAGGCTGAGGCGGGCAGATCACCTGAGGTCAGGAGTTTGAGATCAGCCTGGCCAGCATGGCGAAACCCCATCTCTACTAAAAAATACAAAAATTAGCCGGGCATGGTGGCACGGGCCTGTAATCCCAGCTACTTGGGAAGCTGAGGCAGGAGAACCACTTGAACCCGGGAGGTGGAGGTTGCAGTGAGCTGAGATTGTGCCATTGCACTCCAGCCCGGGCAACAGAGCAAAACTCTGTCTCAAAAAAAAAAAAAAAATATATATATATATATATGTATATATATATGTGTATATATATATACATATATATACACACACACACACAATTTCCATAATATATCTTATTTAACTCAACATATTGAAAATATTACTTTTTCCATGTGTAATCATGTTAAAGGTGTAATAACACATTCCGCACATTTTCTTTCATGCTAAGTCTCTATTTTACGTTCATGGCACAACTATTTTACACTCTCAGCCAGCGGCCACACCGCACAACCTGGGTCTGGGATGCCAAAAGCCTTCGGTCCTGGGACGCCTCGTTGGTGCCCACGACTGGCACAGACGATGCACCCGCCAAAGGACACAGGAGTGGCGGCCGTCTAAAGAACCAAACGTGTGAGACAGGACCAGTGGTTCCCTGGGCAGCAAGGCTGACAGGCACTTTTATTTGCTGCTTTGCACTTCCCTCTATTTTTCAAATTTTCAAAAGTGATCACGTGCCATTTTTAATTTAAAAAAATATATATAACTTCCTTAAAAAGCAACGGATGTGCGAGAGCATGTCCCTGGCTGAGCTGAGCACAGTCCCACTCGTCTGTCCCAGGGGACCGGAACACGGAGCAGGAGGAGGGCGGTGAGGCGGTGCACGAGGTGGAGGTGGTCATCAAGCACAACCGGTTCACAAAGGAGACCTATGACTTCGACATCGCCGTGCTCCGGCTCAAGACCCCCATCACCTTCCGCATGAACGTGGCGCCTGCCTGCCTCCCCGAGCGTGACTGGGCCGAGTCCACGCTGATGACGCAGAAGACGGGGATTGTGAGCGGCTTCGGGCGCACCCACGAGAAGGGCCGGCAGTCCACCAGGCTCAAGATGCTGGAGGTGCCCTACGTGGACCGCAACAGCTGCAAGCTGTCCAGCAGCTTCATCATCACCCAGAACATGTTCTGTGCCGGCTACGACACCAAGCAGGAGGATGCCTGCCAGGGGGACAGCGGGGGCCCGCACGTCACCCGCTTCAAGGACACCTACTTCGTGACAGGCATCGTCAGCTGGGGAGAGGGCTGTGCCCGTAAGGGGAAGTACGGGATCTACACCAAGGTCACCGCCTTCCTCAAGTGGATCGACAGGTCCATGAAAACCAGGGGCTTGCCCAAGGCCAAGAGCCATGCCCCGGAGGTCATAACGTCCTCTCCATTAAAGTGAGATCCCACTCAAGGCCTGGTTTGTCTCTCGATTGCCGCCTTGCCCTGGCTTCTCCCGCCCTGTTGAGGTGGGAAGGTGAAGTGTCTGTCTGGAACACCAGCTTCCGCCCTTCCCAGCTAGGCTGGGGATTCCTCCAGGGAATATTCTAGTCTGTGGGGGCAGGATGGAGGCTCCAGGGATGATACTGTGCCATGACTGCCATGGGCATTCCTTTCCCCAGATACCTTCCTGCATCTGGGTCACGCCCAGAGGCAGATGGGAGCCTGTGCAGGCCCCGTGGCGTCGGGAGGGGCCCACACGTTGGCGCAGCCTCCCCAAGACCCCCCACTTGGCCTGGTCTCTCTTGTTCCTCTTGGGAATTGGACACCTCCCCGGTGACTGCCTATGACCCGCAGACTCCCTGGGAGGGAAACGTCCAGAAAGCTTCTCATTGGGGCGGACATTTTACATTAACTTAAACAACCAGGTGCTCTTCAACTGCACGGTGCCAGGCCCCACCCCAGCTCAGGCTTGTGTGGTGGGGGCCACAGGCATCCCCCGGGCAGGTGACCTGCTCACCAGGCAGCGACCTGACCTGGCACAGTTGGCCCCCACCGTGGCCACCCTTAGAACCCCCTGTGGGCTTTAGCATGCCTGCATCCAGGCCACAGCCTGGCCACTGAAATCAGTCTCTGGAGTGAAGCTGGCCAGGAGCTTCTGGAAGCTTCTGGAGCTCCTCAGGTGCTGAGTGGTGGTGGCGTGGCAGGCGGGGCTTCGGGGGGCTCCTCCTCTCCTAGGGTCCAGATGTTTAGTCCTTGCCCTGCTGCAATCCGGCACTGTCCCTAGGCCTCAAGTTAACTGGCCATGAAAATCAAATGAACTTTCGGTAAACAGAAAAGATTCCGGACAAGGCCTGCCGTGTGTCTCCCAAACGTCTCCTGCAGTTTGCGTCTTGTGTAATGTCCCTAAGCAAAGTTCAACAGTTCTAGTACAAAAACTCCCCAAAAAAGTCATGAGCTGGGCAAAACCGTTCGTAAACAGATGTTGCGAAGTCAGGGAAAATCAAAGTGGACAGGTGTTCGACCTCCCAGAAACGGTCTGAGGAGGGGCCGGTCTCCCAGGGTGGGCGGGAGGGCATTCCTGGCCTGCCCGCTCTGAGGCCTTCTCCGTGGAGCTGGCTGTCGGGCTCCTCGCCGGCCCTTCCTGGAGAAAAGGCTTCTGCCTCGGAGCTAGCCTGCTGTTGGGCTGCGTTTCCTAGGCAGCCACGTGGTCCCCAGGGCCCCAGAGGTAAACCCTGGACTTGGATTCCCGTTTCTGGAAATCAAAGGTTGAGTGGGGTCCAGAGAGAACTCTGGGAAAATAATTACAATTGAAACCCCCCATCGCCATCACTGTCTGCACCCTGGTTCCTGCCGCACTGGGTGTCTGGTGCCCGTGCCCGTCTCAGGATAGAAAGGAAACTGGAGGCTGCAGAGAGAAGGACCTGATGGGTCGTAGCTCAGCATCTGCCGAAGCCCCATCTAGAAATAGGTTCTCGTCCTGGGAGGTGTGGGAGGGAGCCTCGGGAGGGAGACAGCAGGAGGAGAGGCCCCAGTCCTGGACACGCGCTGGGGGTTGAAGTCTCGGCTCTGCAGGCTCCTGTGCTGCGTGGCAGGGATTTTCTCTCTGCCTAAATATCGTCTTCATAAGTAAAGGCAAGTGGGCTAAACCTATGTCATCTCCGTGTTAACTCAGAATAGTCTAGGCCTGGGCCAGGGGACACTTTGTGATCTGAGACCCCCAGAATTCCCTGAGGGAGGCCCAGCTCTGTTTCGGGAAATAACTGAAGCGGCTGTTTGTGCGAGGTGAGACCCTGAGGACCGAGAGCAGCAGGAGGTCATGGTGGGGAGCAAAAACGGGAAAAGTGATTCCGCCTGAGACTGAGGGAGAGAGAACCCAGGTGAGACCCTGAGGACTGTGAGCAGCAGGAGGTCACGGTGGGGAGTAAAGATGGGAAAAGTGATTCCGCCTGAGAGTGAGGGAGAGAGAACAGAGGTGAGACCCTGAGGACCGAGAGCAGCAGGAGGTCACGGTGGGGAGTAAAGATGGGAAAAGTGATTCCGCCTGAGAGTGAGGGAGAGAGAACAGAGGTGAGACCCTGAGGACCGAGAGCAGCAGGAGGTCACGGTGGGGAGTAAAGATGGGAAAAGTGATTCCGCCTGAGAGTGAGGGAGAGAGAACAGAGGTGAGACCCTGAGGACCGAGAGCAGCAGGAGGTCACGGTGGGGAGCGAAGGTGGGAGAAGTGATTCCGCCTGAGAGTGAGGGAGAGAGAACCTGCAGCAGCCCCATCGCCTCCCCCAGTGACACCTCCCCTCCCCCTGAGCAGGAAGGGGAGCTTTGGGGCGTCCACCTCTGGAGGACGAAGGTGAGAGCGGGTGTCGGGGGCCTGGTGGGGCAGGGAGGCCCTTGTGGGTGCTGGGAGACCAGCCTGTGTGGGTCCAGAGCTGCGCTTGGATGGGGAGATGGGCCTGCCGTCTGGGAACACGCAGCCCAGGCTGTGAGGAAGAGGAAGCAGGAATGAGAGCTTCAGCCAGGACAGCTGGTGGACGGCAGACCTCGGCCCCACCATCACTGTCATGGAGCCATCTCAGCAGGGCTGGGGGTTAAGCTCCCGTTTAGAAGGACCCCACTCCACAGCCACGGGGTAGCCACTGATGTGGGCAAGCGCCCGCCATGAAGACCCCACCTTGGTGGAAGGGCACTGAGAAACTGGACACCCTCGAGACTCAGAGGATCACCTCAGAACTGGCCTGTTAACTATGCCAGGAAAGCATGCCTTTAGCGTGGCAAAACCTGGGGACCCAGCCTCCTCCTGAGCCGAAGGCAGGGGGCTGCCAAAACACTGTCTAAGCAGAGCCCGATCCTGAGTCAGGCAAGTCCAGATGGAGGAAACCATAGACTCTTAAAAAACGTCAGCGTCAGCAAAGACCAGAAACAGCCAGTGACTCTGCAGTCAGTGAGACCAGAGGAGTCTGCAGGCTGCCAGGAGAGCGAGGGAGACTGCTGGGGGTTCCCGTCAGACAGCGCTCAGCGGGGGCGAGGGGAGAGGGAGAGAGGCAGAGCCAGAGAGACAAAAAGAAAGAGAGACAGAGACAGAGAGAAAGAGAGAGACAGAGACAGAGAGAAAGAGAGAGACAGAGACAGAGAGAAAGAGAGAGACAGAGACAGAGAGAAAGAGAGAGACAGAGACAAAGAGAAAGAGAGAGACAGAGAAAGAGAAACAGAGGGGAGGGAGTAAGTCCAGGTAAAAAACAAACAAAAAAATTGAGAATAGAACAAGAGAGAAACAGAGACATGGAGACACAGAGAAAGACACAGTGAGACACAGGAGACAGAGACAGAGAGAGATGCTGAGAGACAGACAGGGAGAGGGAGAGAGAGAGGAGACACCAAGACACAAAGAGGGCGGAGAGACAGACACAGAAAGAGGGAGACAGCGGGGCTGGATGGACGTGTGGCCGGGCCAGTGGGGAGGAGAGACGAGTCCGCAGACAGCGTTCAGAGGCCGCGCTGCCTGGGTGCTGAGCCGTCCCGGGGTTCACGGTCGCAGTTTGTCCTTACAAAACGCCCAGCCGCCCCGACCTGTGGTGCTTAGGGAGGACCTACCTGGCTGTGCCGGTCTGAGAAGGGGCCAGTGAGGCCCGGTGCGGGTACGGGCGGGTGCAGATGCAGCCAGGAGGACGGGCGGGAGCGGGGGCCTGTCCCACACGGGGGCCTCGGCAGCACCGGCATGGCTGGAGGCCAGTACGGCCAGGTGTGGCGGGAGGGAGCGCCGTCTGGCTTGGGTCGTCCATCCTGACAGGACGCTGCAAGGGCAGGAGCCCCGCGCCCCGTGTCCTGCGCCCCCGCTCGAGGACAAGCCCCAGCCGCCGGTCTCCGCTGGGTTCCGACAGGCCTTGCTGGGAGGCCTTGCTGGGAGCTGGGGGTCGAGGCTCACAGACTGCGCTGACCCCAGCAGGCACAGCTGGGTCCAGGGACTCGGGAACTCGCAGCCTGACGCGGGCCGGACCCCCGGGGTGGGTGCTGAGGGCCTCGGATGCCCTCCCTGGCTGGACGTTGTGGCTGTGCTGATACTGAGCGGTAACCCTAGGAAGGAGAGTCCCCTGGGCTCAGCTACCCGGGACAAGGTCAACAGGGACACCGGCCCCAGTTCCAGGAGAAAAACAAGCACGGCCAGCGGCGAGTGTGGGCGACAGCAGCTCAGGGAGAAGCAGATTATCAACAGCGAATTCACTCAGGGTCAGCCAACTGTACGCTTAAAAAAAGATTCCTGCGGTAAACTGTATGTCTATTTTACCACAATAAAAAACTTATTGTTTTTAATTACCAATGACTTCTAAAAAATGTTTTTAAAACCCAGATCACAAATCCTGAACATAGGGCCTGAAAGGCGAATTCAGCCACCACGGAGGACTCCCGCACCGTGGAGCCGGGACGCAGGGACTCCATGCTGCGCGGAGGGCAGGGGCACGTGACGCAGGGCGTGGGGGAGGCGGGGCGTGGAGGAGGCGGGGCGCGGGGGGCGGGGCGTGGGGGAGGCGGGGCGTGGGGGCGGGGCGTGGGGGGCGGGGCGTGGGGGAGGGCAGGGGCACGTGACGCAGGGCGTGGGGGAGGCGGGGCGCGGGGGAGGCGGGGCGCGGGGGAGGAGGGGCGTGGGGGGGCGGGCCGTGGGGGAGGAGGGGCGTGGGGGGGCGGGCCGTGGGGGAGGAGGGGCGTGGGGGGCGGGGCGTCGGGGAGGGCAGGGGCACGTGACGCAGGGCGCGGGGGAGGCGGGGCGCGGGGGAGGCGGGGCGCGGGGGAGGCGGGGCGCGGGGGAGGCGGGGCGCGGGGGAGGCGGGGCGCGGGGGAGGCGGGGCGCGGGGGAGGAGGAGGAAGGGTTCTGAGTGGACGCGGGGACTCCATGCCACGCGGAGGGCAGCCGCTCATGAGGCGGGGTGTGGGGGAGGAGGAGGAAGGGTTCTGGAGTGGCTTTTCTACTCCAGAAGTCTCCCCGATCCTGAAAGAAAATCTAGACAGGTGGAAAAAAGAGAAACATGTCCAGATAGTGTCTTCCACATTAATGGTCTCCCAAGCTCTGAGGAAGCCCAATGAGTTGAACAGTTTCTCATAAGCTTGCGGGTCCCTGTCAGTGCTTCTGAGATGCTAAAAACGCCAGGCTGTGGGCTGCGTCACCATGTGTCTCCTCTTTAATTTCTTCAGGAGCTCCAGGTGATAAGCTGCCACCTCCATCCACAATGTGGACATCAGAGGATGCAGCATGCTGTGGTTTGAATGTGTCCCTATAGTGCACGTGTTGGAAACTTAATCCCAAGGCAACAGTGTTGAGAGGTGGGACCTTTAAGACGCATTCATTGTCAGAGCCCACGTGAATGAATTGATACCACTATTGTAGGAGTGGGTTCGTTATTTTGGAATAAAAGGATGAGTTTGGCCCCCTTCCTCTCTCCCCTTTCTCTCTCTCTCTCTCTCTCTCTCTCTCTCTCTCACGCGCATCCACCTTCCACCATGGGATGACGCAGCAAGAAGGCCCTCGCCAGATGGGGGCCCCTGGACCTTTGATGTCCCAGCCTCCAGAACTGTAAGAAATAAATTTCTGTTCTTTATAAATTACCCAGTCTCAGATATCCTGTTACAGCACCACAAAGTGGACTAGACCACACTCTACTCTGTGAATCTAAGACGCACCATTATTGATGAACCTGAAAGAAAGAGCATATACCCAAATTAGCTGTGGGTCAGCTCAGCCTGGAGGCAAGAGGGGGAAGCTCAGATAATCTAAACCACAGGCCAGCCAGGAACCAGCTTTGCAATACATTTACACTATTCACATGGGCTCCCAAAACTCACACAAAAAAATGTATTTAAAGGGATTGCAAAGTGGCAGTGCCCCCAGGGGGCAACATAAAGCACAACCCCTTTCAGGAAGAACTCGGCCTTGTCCAGGCTGACATTAGAACATTGGCTGTAGGGAACAGGCCAATTCAGAGATGTTGAAATCTAAAACATAGGTCCCAGAGTTGATTGAACAGGTATTTAAATAGGGACTGCGGCAAGATCTAAGTATTCAATGACCAGGTTCTCCATAGGCTGCTCATTTCAGGTTCCACACAAAGTTGTGGGGTCAGTTGATTTAAGCTGGGGACCCCCACAGAGGACACCCCAACATCTGAAGGACACGACAAAGACCCCAAAGGAAGGAAGATTCTCCTCAGGTATACAGAAGGAAAGTAAACCAGTCAATGGAAAAAGTGTCCCAATGTTGGTTGGTTTGTTTTTCAGAACAGAAGAGGGTGACAGAAGAACGATTATTCATATGAGAGATGAGGAAGATGAGTAGAACGAGGTGAATCTTAATGTTTGGACAATTTATTATTGTAGAATTTTTGGTCCAAAGGTGGTATCTTTGAGAAGGCAGATGAGAAAATTAAATCACCACATACAACACGGTCAGTCCACGTACAACACAGTCAATCACAGCTGTGGCCTCGATGTTGATGCCTTCCTGTATTAGTCTGTTCTCATGTCACTGTGAAGAAATACTTGAGACTAGGTAATTTATAAAGAAAAGCGGTTTAATGAACTCACAGTTCCACATGGCTGGGGAGGCCTCAGGAAACATAATCATGGCAAGCAGGCACCTCTTCACAGGGTGGCAGGAGAGAGAAAATGTGTGTCAATCACAGGGGGAAGCCCCTTATAAAATCATTAGCTCTTGTGAGAATGCACTCACTATCACAAGAACCACCTCCATGATTCAATCACCTCCACCTGGTCCTGCCCTTGACCTGTGGGGATTATTACAATTCAAGGTGAGATTTGGTTGGGGACACAGAGCCAAACCATCCCCCAAAACTCACGTTGAAACCTAACCCCCTGTGCAATAGTACTAGGAGGTGGGGCCTCTGGGAGGCACTCTGCCTTCATGGATGGATGACTGCCCTCCCAAAAGAGGCTCCAGGGAGCACCCACATTCCTCCCTTCCACCATCCAAGGACACGTCTATGAATCATGGGCCGTCACCAGACACTGAGTCTACTGGAGCCTTGATCTTGGACTTCCCATCCTCCAGAACTGTGAGCACTACGTTTCTGTTTATCGTAAATTACCCACTCTAAGGTGTTTTGTTACAGCAGCCCCAACAGACTAAAATGGTCCATGAGGGAAGAGGTTGTAGCTCAGATACCCATGTCAGGCATATAGGATGTGCTTAATTAACACTTATTGATCGAATGTGTATGTCCCTGTCTGCCTTTCCATTTTTAGGCAGCTATTGATGGTTTTTAAACTATCCAGCAGAAGTATTTTTAATGTAAATTTCCATGTGGGAATACATTTTCACACAAAAAAAGGCACCTTTTCTTAAGTGAAGGCCACGTAGATTGCCAGGCTGGTGCAATTCACCCAAGAGCTATCCTATACAATCAACTTCTGGCTTTCAAATTATTTTAACTCACTCACTAAAGATAAACTTTATTTTCTTTTCCCAGCTTTTTAAAGCAAACTTCACAACTTCAGTGTATTTGCGGGCATGCCCTCTTAATCAAGGGTGTCAGCTTCTTAGTTTTCTTCTGTTCCCACTTTAACAAAATTGTATTTAGAATCCTTTCATTGAGTTTTGCCACCTTTGAGTGTCATTCAATCGAACAATATCTATATGCTGACAATGCTGTCATTTCATCTGTTACCACCTGAATCTCCACTGTGAGTCCCAGCTTCTCGGATGCCCACTCCTGTCTCCACCTGGACATCCCACAGACACCTCAAATTTGCCAAACCTCGCTTCCCTCTGCCCTCCTGGAGCTTGGCCGTCTCAGCACACGCACTGCCATCCTCCCAATCGCTCAGCCCAAACCTTGGAGCCGTGCTGCCCGACACAATTCATCATGAATCCCATCAGCTTTCCCTTCCTGAAGCATCCAGACTGCAAACGTGCTTCCTGCTGCATGGCTGCACCCTCACCCCCTCCTGGACTAGCCGGCAGCCTCCCTTTTGACTTCTCTGGAATGTTCTGTTCTCCACACAGCAGCCCAGTGATCCCTTCAGAGCACAAATCTTTCCATGTCAATTCCTGTTCCCTCCAATATCTTCCCAACACAGTGAAAATGAAACACCAGGTTCTTACCTCAGGCTTCAAGGGCTGATATGGTTTGGCTGTGTCCCCACCGAAATCTTATCTTGAATTGTAATCCCCATAGTCCCCACGTGTCCTGGGAGGGACCCGGTGGGAGGTAATTGAATCATGGGGGTGGTTTCCACCATGCTATTCTTGGGATAGTGAGTGAGTCTCAAGAGATTTGATGGTTTTATAAGGATCTGGCATTTCCCCTGCTTCAGTCATTCTCTCTGCTGCCACCCTGTGAAGAGGTGCCTTCTGCCATAATTATAAGTTTCCTGAGGCCTCCCCAGCCATGTGGAACTGGGAGTCAACTAAACCTCTTTTCTTAAATTACCCAGTCTTGGCTATTTCTTCATAACAGTGTAAGAAGGGACTAATACACAGGGCCTACATCTGAAAGCAGCAAACGACAACCCTGGGGCCAAATCTGGCCCCTTAATAGCTCTTATAAATAAAGCTTTATTGGCACACAGCCAAGTGTTCATTCATGATTGTCTATGCTGCCTCTGCTACAATGGTGCTGAGCTGTAGTGACAGACACTATTTGGCCCTTCCCCGCTTTCTCCCTCCTCCCTCCCTCCCTTCCTTTTCTCCCCTTCCTTCTTTCCATCCTCCTGCTTTCCCTCCCTCACTCCCTCCTGTCTCTTTCCCTCGTTCTTTTCTGTGTATTCCACACACACCTAGAACGTAAGCTGCATGTGACTTTGTCTGTCCCGCCCAGTGCTGTGTCCCCAGGGCCTATCTCACCTCCATTGACCACACACGGGCATGGGTGCCACCTTCCACCTTGCACCTGCTGCCTTTACCTTCTGTTCTCTGTCTCCCTAAATATCTCCCAGGGTCCTCTGAGCCTTCACCGTTCATTTCTCTGCCTGGCCTCAAACAGAAAACGTCAGGAGGGAAGCACACAGCTGCACAGGTCGTGCCCCGAGGCTCCTGCTGCCGGCACCTCCCCCAGCCTGGACTTTGGCTGTGTTTGTAGCCCTGTCCCAGCGCTCCGGGTGGGAATGGCAGGCTGCGTCCCACTGCTCCAGGGCCTGGTCCTGGTCCTCGCCCTCCATCGTGTGGAGCCCTCAGGTAGGCATCTGGCTTACCTGTCTGTTGTGCCTGTGCTGTGTCTTTCTTGACTCGGTCCATGGTGGATTTGTAGATGAGGCTTTTTCCAGGAGCCAGAGGAGCCCTGAGTGCCCAGACTAGTCTTAATTCCCCTGAAAAAGCTGTTTGGATCTTTATCATTTGGTGACAAGTATTTGGGACATGATAGTGTCACTTGGGGTCCTCCCAAGAGATGCCCAAATGGAAAGAAGCCTGTGTGCAGGGGATTCAGCCGGGAAAGGCCGGGGAGAGGGGAGGGGGAAAGGGGGAGGAGTGGGGGGAGGCCTGGGTTGGGCATTGGACGAGGGGAGGGGGTGGGGCAGGCTGAGCCCAGACTGCAATGTGGGCAGAGAGAGCCTTGGCCAGGCCAGCCAGGAATGCCCAGTCTTGAGTCAGGAGACATAGCCAGGGAGCAGCCACCCTGCCTGCCTGCCACCCTTCTACCACCAGCCACTTCACTGAAGGAACGACATGGACTCCATTCTGACTCTGCCTGCACAGGCGTCCAGGAAAGCTGCAAGTCAAAACACCCAGCATCCCCGCTGGCCCCATGGTCTCCCGCTGGCCCCATGGTCTCCCACCCTGAGAGGGTGATCCCCCCGCCCTGCCCTGCCCAGCACTTACCGTAGCCGGACTTAGCTGAGCCCCCCCTGCTGTAACCCTCAGCACCGAGAGAAAAGGAGGGAGGATGGGAAGGGCCTGGGCTTTGACCCTCCCGGAGAGGGAGAGAACATGCTTTGGGACCCTCAGGTGGGAAGAGGCTCCAGAGACCACTGCCGCGGGTCAACTCATTTGCCTTCTCCTCCTGGAAATCGCAGAGCCTGCTGCAATGTATAAGTTTCTTCTTTATGTGTTTTATCAAGATGTTAAATGCTGCGCACAGAGGCAGCACAGGAGCTGATGGCTCTTGGTCCCCAGTTCTCAGTACGGGGACCTTTGACCCCAGCTCAGCCTTCCTTCGCACTCAGACCCAAAACCCAGTTGGAGCCCTCCCTCCTCCACTTTCCTGACTGAGGCCCGTGGCCTCTCTGCAGAACCTTAGTGTATCCGCACTGATCCTGGGGCTGATCCATTCGCCCAGAGGATGAAGTGCTTGCCTACCTCGGGGGAGGGAGTAGCGGGGTGGCCCTGAGGCCCTCGCAGGCTGAGAGCCTGTGGAGACGGACGGGGCTGGGGCTGGCGGCCGGCCGGGGAGGAAGCCAGGCAGCTCTGGAAAGCAGGGCCCTCGGTGCTCCCAGTCACCTGCCTTCTTGTCTCGTCTGTAGTATTTCTCCCGGCCTCCAAAGCAAACGACGTTCTGGTGAGGTGGAAGCGTGCGGGCTCCTATCTTCTGGAAGAACTCTTCGAGGGAAACTTGGAAAAAGAATGTTATGAAGAAATCTGTGTCTATGAAGAAGCAAGAGAAGTGTTTGAAAATGAAGTAGTCACTGTATGTACCCCCACCACAAACCACAGGCCTCCTCATTATTTAGACTTCTGCTGGCCCAGGGAGCATCATTTCTCAGAGATTAAGCTTAATTAATTAGCCTATTTACTTACCGATGAGGTTGACACAATCCCAGTTTTACAGATGAGGAAACAATTTAGAGAATCGACTTAATCCACCTTTCCCTACAGCAGTGAGTGGGGCTGGAAGTCAGCTCAGAGCCCACTGGACTCATTTCTTCAGGTCAGGCAAGGCCCACACACTGATCAGACACCCAGCATACATTTTCTTTCTAGGCTTCAAGTCTGAATAATTCTCCTAATTTTAGATACTCCTACCCCAAACTAAGTGTCCCCACTCCCTACAGAGGTATATATCTTTAAAATTCAACTCGGTTTATAAAAAGCGAAAAGGTGATGTGACTTCTATATCATGTGCTTTTGTGGAGGGTGGCGTGGAGATTGGCCCTAGAAGGGAAGGGCCACGTTAGGGGCTGTGGGTGGTGGGTTTGTGCCATGTCATAGACTCTGGCCTTCCTCAAATAGGTGGTGGTAAGCACATGTTGAGTAATATATCTTACAGATACATTTAGTTACTATACATTTAACATAAACAAATAGGCTGTAAAACAGGAAAATTGTGCATTGTTTCAACCACTATTGTCCTATTAAGTGAATAAAATCAACATTTTCTTACCTTCAAGTTCATCTACAGGAAAGAATATAGAAAAACAAATATCCCATTTGTAACATTTTTATGTTTTAACTCTAAAGGATGAATTCTGGAGACGATATAAGGGTAAGTGGTTTCCTTCGTCTCCTCAGAAGTATTAATTCCTCGGGATGAGGTGCGTGGGTGGGCTTAGGACGCTTCACGACCCCAGCTCAGCGGATGCCAAGCCTCTGGCTCCAGGACCCACGGTGTCTCTCCAGGGAAGGGCAGCTCCGACTCTCCCCAAGGACCAGGTCAGGAAGCCCCCGGGCTCTGCCACCAGGGCCACAGGCAGTGCCTGGTTTGTCTTGCCCAGTGTCTGGGTAGTTTCTTGGCACTCTGGGACATGGGCCACAGGCCAGGAGGGCCCCCCCAGAGCAGCTCCTCCAGCCGCCTGGCTCCTGGGCTCCTGGGAAGCCTCATGCTGCAGCAGGGTCAGAACTCGTCTCAAATTTTGGAAAGTCATGGCCCCGATGGAGACTTTGGTTAGGAGACTCCTCCCAAGGGAGGAGCTCTAGGTGGGCAACTGCAGAAGAGCATGGGACAGAAGTAACACAGATGGAGACCCACGGGGCTGGGGGAGGCCAGGGTAAGGACCCACCTGGGAATGAGTAAGCAAAGAGCTGCAGCCACCACCAGACAAGCACGGGGACAACTGGGCACAGAAGGAAGCGGGAGAGGCAGGGAAGGCCGGAGAAGGGCTGATGGGGCGGGACAGAGGGGACCGCGTGCGGACGAAGAAAGGGCACCCAGCAGAGTGGGAGGCACTGGCAGCCAGGCCTTACATCCGGAGCGGGGAGCGTCCTGGGGGCCAGGCGATGGCATGGGGAGCAGCATGAGCAGGCTCAGTCCCCATTCCTGCCACCCCCTGCCCCCCCGTCCTCCTCCTGCTCAGGTCCCCGTCCCTGCCACCTCCTCACATCCTCCTCCTGCTCAGGTCCCCGTCCCTGCCACGTCCCCCCATCCTCCTCCTGCTCAGGTCCCCGTCCCTGCCACGTCCCCACATCCTCCTCCTGCTCAGGTCCCCGTCCCTGCCACCTCCCCCCATCCTCCTCCTGCTCAGGTCCCCGTCCCTGCCACCTCCCCACATCCTCCTCCTGCTCAGGTCCTCGTCCCTGCCACCTCCTCACATCCTCCTCCTGCTCAGGTCCCCGTCCCTGCCACGTCCCCACATCCTCCTCCTGCTCAGGTCCTCGTCCCTGCCACCTCCCCCCATCCTCCTCCTGCTCAGGTCCCCGTCCCTGCCACGTCCCCACATCCTCCTCCTGCTCAGGTCCCCGTCCCTGCCACGTCCCCACATCCTCCTCCTGCTCAGGTCCCCGTCCCTGCCACGTCCCCCCATCCTCCTCCTGCTCAGGTCCCCGTCCCTGCCACCTCCCCACATCCTCCTCCTGCTCAGGTCCCCGTCCCTGCCACCTCCCCACATCCTCCTCCTGCTCAGGTCCCCGTCCCTGCCACCTCCCCACATCCTCCTCCTGCTCAGGTCCCCGTCCCTGCCACGTCCCCTCATCCTCCTCCTGCTCAGGTCCCCGTCCCTGCCACCTCCCCACATCCTCCTCCTGCTCAGGTCCCCGTCCCTGCCACCTCCCCACATCCTCCTCCTGCTCAGGTCCCCGTCCCTGCCACCTCCCCACATCCTCCTCCTGCTCAGGTCCCCGTCCCTGCCACCTCCCCACATCCTCCTCCTGCTCAGGTCCCCGTCCCTGCCACGTCCCCTCATCCTCCTCCTGCTCAGGTCCCCGTCCCTGCCACCTCCTCACATCCTCCTCCTGCTCAGGTCCCCGTCCCTGCCACCTCCCCACATCCTCCTCCTGCTCAGGTCCCCGTCCCTGCCACCTCCCCACATCCTCCTCCTGCTCAGGTCCCCGTCCCTGCCACGTCCCCCCATCCTCCTCCTGCTCAGGTCCCCGTCCCTGCTCCACTCTGTCCTCCTCCTGCTCTGGTCCCTGTTCCTGTCACCCCACCCTCCTCCTGCTCAGGTGCTCAGGTCCCCGTCCCTGCTGCCACCCCCCACTCCATCCTCCTCCTGCTCAGGTCCCCATTCCTGTCACCACCCCCACCCTCCTCCTGCTCAGGTCCCCGTTCCTGTCACCACCACCCCAACCCCCATCCTCCTCCTGCAGGCGGCTCCCCGTGCATCTCCCAGCCCTGCCTCCACAACGGCTCTTGCCAGGACAGCATCTGGGGCTACACCTGCACCTGCTCCCCCGGCTATGAGGGCAGCAACTGCGAGCTGGGTGAGGCCCCGGCCGTCCCCTTCCCCCAAGGGCCTCCCTGGGCAGGTGGGCCTCACATCCTCGGCCAGAGTCCCAATGGGCCCCTCCTGAGGTGTAGCCATGAAGGTGCCTGTGTGAACCGCGATTTGGCTCACCCCAGGGGATTCCTCTCATCCCAACCAGATTCTCCTCCAGAAACCACGCCGGGGGCTGGCTGCATTCTGAGCTGCCCCTTCCAGACAGGCCCCCATACTTTTCATAGCAGGGGCCCCTCTCCTCCCCCCACCACCTCAACCATTCACAATCTGCTCACAGGCTGGGGGGGTCACACACAGGCGTCCTCAGTGCCAGACTCCCAGTGGGAGACTGCAGACAGGGAAGACGCAAAGCACGTAAACAAATATCCTTAAATACCCGCCAAATGTCAGTGTCCATCATCGCCAACTACAGCAACAAGCGTGCTCCGCTCTCAGCACCACTGGTCAACTTGGAGCCCGTTTCTCTGGGGAAAACCTTCCTCCCAGCCGAGCCCTCTCCTCCGAAGTCCAGATTTCTGCTCCATCTGCCTCCTTGATGCCCCAGCTAATGCCTTCACAGACACCCCAAATTTACCACGTACCAAAGGGGGCTTTGACCTTCACCCACCATGTGCCCCTTTCTTAATCTTCTCCCTCTTGGTGGAAAGCCCCCATCCCAGCTGCTCAGCCACCACCGATGTCACACTAACCCCCTCCCATCCCACGTCCCCTCCTTGAAGAAGCAGCAATTTAAAGGGAATAGCCAATGCAAGCCGGCAGACAAAACAGGCGCGTGGATTAGTCCATGTGGAAAAAGGACAAATAGAAGTGTCATCACTCATGGAGTCTTTTTTTTTTTTTAATTTTTATTTTATTTTTGAGATGGAGTCTCGCTCTGTCGCCAGGCTGGAGTGCAGTGACGCGATGTCAGCTCACTGCAACCTTTTGCCTCCTGGGTTCAAGTGATTCTCCTGCCTCAGCCTCCCGAGTAACTGGGACTACAGGCACGCGCCACCACGCCTGGCTAATTTTTGTATTTTTAGTAGAGATGGGGTTTCACCATGTTGGCCAGGCTGGTCTTGATCTCCTGACCTCGTGATCCGCCCACCTCGGCCTCCCAAAGTGCTGGGATTACAGGCATGAGCCACCGCGCCCGGCCTCACTCACGGAGTCTTTGTTCTACATGCACATTCCTGAAATACGGACATGTGGGAAACACTGACACAGAGGACAACGATCTGAAGAGAATGAGAACACATGGACCAACACACCAGAACTCTTGTGTGCAAGGCTGTGATAAAATGAACATGGACCAACACACAGAACTGTGTGCAAGGCTGTGATAAAATGACTATTTCCAAGCTAGCATTTCCTTTTTTTTTTTTCCTTTTCAGCTAAAAATGAATGTCACCCAGAGCGGACTGATGGGTGTCAACACTTCTGCCTCCCAGGACAGGAATCCTACACATGCAGCTGTGCTCAGGGCTACAGGCTTGGTGAGGACCACAAACAGTGTGTGCCCCACGGTGAGTGCTCAGACCACAGCGGCCTCCAGCTTCCAATGCCAGCGACCCCGTCCACATCCTCCTTCCTTCTGTAGTACTGGGTGAAGCCCGCGGATTTGTGATAAGCAGTTGCCACGACTCAGAAGGTGGTCCGCGTCTCCACGCTGGAGCAATGGCCATGCTAGAAAGTGCAGTTTCTGTCACTAGTGCTTGCTCGGACCACTCTGAGCTAAACCATGAGTGCTGTGAGGGGTGGTTTAACTCCAGTCTGTGTGTCTGTGAATTACTGCACATTCATCAGCATTAAGGATAAGATTATAATGGTTAGTACCATAGACGGAATTATGCAACGGTTAACACCATAGACAGAGTCCGATATTCGCTGAGAAGGCGCTGATTTTTATTCTCATGTTGCTGCCGCAAATGCAGACCAGTGTGCCTGCGGGGTGCTGACCTCTGAGAAGCGTGCACCGGATCTACAGGACCTCCCGTGGCAGGTAACAGAGCGCTCTCCGCGTGCTTCAATTTATTGTTATGACTTTCACCTCACTTGTCATTTCCTAAATAGAAATGTTGACAACTAAGTGAATCAGGCATCCTGACTTTGATGGGCTACTGACTGCACTGACCAACCTCTATTCACACTTCCAACCATGTTCTAATGCCGAGTTCATAACTAATACAAAAGGACAGCATTATTTACAGCCCCCAAGACCTTTCCTCTGCAGTTCCAAACTGTTACCAATGTCATTTTCTCAGAACATAAGCATCTCAAAATCTCTGCTCTCGGCTGCTGGCCTGGCATTCTAGCTTTGTTACTTTGTTCACTAAATTTCTCTAGTTTGGCATTCATTTTTGTTCTCCTTTTCCCCTCCTTGGCTGGTTTAGAAGTTAACCATTCATTTGTTTTTGGTTTGTTTTTTTTGAGATGGAGTCTCAATCTGTCACCCAGCCTGGAGTGCAGTGGTCCAGTCCCGGCTCACTGCAACCTCTGCCTCCTGGGCACAAGCGCTTTCCCTGCCTCCACCTCCTGAGTAGCTGGGATTACAGGAATGTGCCACCACGCCCGGCTGATTTTTATATTTTTAGTAGAGACGGGGTTTCACCATGTTGGACAGGATGGTCTCGAATGCCTGACCTCAAGTGACCCACCTGCCTTGGCCTCCCAAAGTGCTGGGATTACAGGCGTGAGCCACCACGCCTGGCCTCATCATTCACTTTCTGTTTACTTAATGGTCACTCTTGACACATAAACATCCATATTTAGCACAAGTAGTCAGCTATTTCTCCCTCCTCAGGCTAATTCCCAGCACCTCATTCTGGGTCCATTTGCTGTCTGGCCAGTATTTTATTCTTTTCTTGCTTTCTGTATATCTTCACAAAATAGATATTACGATTTTTGTTATTATGGTTTTATACCACCCACACTGGCTTTGATTTACTTACCTCATTTTCCACTTTCCTTGCCTTTCAGGCCTCTAACACAATTATCTCCTGCCTGAGTATATCCTTCAGAACAGCCTTGTCCAATAGAAATGCAGTGTAAACCACATAATTTAAAATTTTCTAGTAGCCACAATAATGTAAGTAAAAGCATGTGAAATTTGGATATTTAACCCAATATGTGTCATTATTTCCCCATGTAATGAATATAAACATTATTGAGGTTATTTGCCTTTTTCCTTTACACTGAATCTTTGGAATCTGGTGTGAATTTACACTGAGGTGCAGCCCTCGTGTCCACAATGCTCCGTACCCGAGTGTGGCTGCCGTGTGGATGGCACAGCCTCAGGGGCCCCCCTTGTGAGTAATAAGCCCCTGAGGTTTCTGTGTGTGACACCCGTCAGTTTCACCCGACTCTTACAAGACAGCTGTGCCCAGCCCACTCATTCTGGCAGTTGTGTGGACTGGCAGAGAACAGGATGGAGCTCAAGGACTTGAAGCCACCCAGCTCCAAGGTGGAGAGGAAGAAACCGAAGGGAGGCAAAGCAGACGGAGTGATGGAAGGCGGGGATGGAAGCGGGAATGGTCTATCACCAGCTTTGCAAACTTCCTCTCAATCTTTTATCACTTTTCCTGCCCAAGCTTTCTAAGACAGTTCTTCCTATCGCTGTCTGCCCCATGAGTGCGCTGAGGGTCGGTACTTGGGAGGCCCAGAGTGCAGTGGTCCTCCATAGGTAGTGACAGGGTCTGGCTCTACCACCTGCAGGCTGTCTCCAGCTTCCCAGCTTACCCAAGGGAAGAGAGGGTGCGGTTCTAGTCTGCAACCGTAGCACTCATACCAGCAAGGCTAAGAGCCATATAACCAGGGAGGAGGCATTCTCTAAACACAGCTGGTGTGTTTAAGACAGAGGACACTGACTTAGGCAGGCTACATACTATTAGATTTTTTACTTCAGTATTATAAATTGTTCTGAAGTTATTTAACTGAATATATGGAATTTTCCTAAAACAAACTTTGAAAAGGAGAATAATTAAGTGACCTAGCAGGACATAGGGTTGAAGATTATCTTTAGAACTTCCTTGTTTCTTACATCCTAGGGAAGAAGTATCACTAAAAGTCTGGCAGACTGATGGCGCAAGTGCCGTCTTCTCTCGAACTTGGTTTTATCCCCTTTAAAGTGAGGATCTCACCCCTAGAGGTGCAGTGAGGATTACAGATAACGTTCTTGACTTATGGTAGGTATTCAACAAGTGGCAGCTATTATTCATAAACACATGAAGAGTTCCAGGAACGACGCCACGGTAAAGTTGGAAAAACACTTTCTCACTTGGCTCAGCATTTTGCATTAGACGGTTGAAAACTGCAACACTTAACACTTCCAGAGCCAGTACCCGTGCTATGTGGGCACATGCTTTATTTCATTTAATCTTTCAAACAACTTCTCGTTTTCTCCTTTTGTATCCCTGGTAATATTATTTGCTCTAAAATCCCCTTTGTCTGATATTGATATAGACACTTTACTTTCTAATTATTAGTGTTAGCATGACTTATCTTTTTCCAATCTTCTACTTTTAGCCTATTTGTATTTTTATAAAGTGCATGTTTAAAAAATAAATAAGGTACATGTTTTATAGGTAGTATATAATTGGCTTTCATTTTTATCCAGTGTGAAAAACCTCTGCCTTTTAATTGGGGTATTTAGGCCATTTTACATTTATTGTAATTGTCGATATGTTTACGGTTAAAGCTATCATCTTGCTATCTTTTATTTTTCTTATCTGTTCTTTTCCCCTTTTTCTGCCTTCTGTTAGATTAACTATATATTGTTATGATTCTGTTTTCTCTCCTTTGTTGGTTTATCATCTCTGGTTCTTTGTTGGCGGTTGCTTCACAGTTTGGAGAATGCATCTTTACCCTATCACAGTCCACTCCACTTTCGCCGACGCCACATCCGCTCGCTGTAGCATGAGTCCTTACAGCAATCATGCCCCATTCCTCCCCTCCTGACCTGGGTGCTGGTTTTGGCATAGGTCTTACATCTACAGATGTTATAAATGCCACTCTATACTTCCATTATTTTTGTTTAAACAGTATCCTGTAAAGAAGTTTAAAGAATAAGGAAAAAAACCTTACATATATAGTGGAATGCGGATAAATATTTAATGGGATGTCATAACCTTTTCCAGTGTTCCTTGCTGCTTTGTGTAAATCCAGGCCTCCCTCTGGTATCGTTTTCCTCCTGCCTAAAGGGCCCCTTTGATATCTGCTGTGCTGTGAGGCGTCTGGGGAAGAAGCCTTCTTGCGTTTGTCTGGAGGAGTCTTTGTTCATCTTCATCTATGAAAGGCATTGCGTCTGGCGCAGAGCCCCAGGCTGGCAGCAGTCCTCTCCTCTCTGCACTTGGGCCTGCCCCACTGCCTTCCTGTCTGCCTTGTGCCACAAGACGGCTCCCATCACCCTGCTGCTGTTCCTCACATGTCCTTACCTGTGGCACTTTTAAGATTTTAAATGCTTTTTAATTTTAACTTTCTAAGATTTCCTCTATCATGGATTTTGAATTTAATTATACTGTGTATTGTTTTCATGTTTCTTGCACATAGGGTTTGTTGAGATTCTTGTATTTGTGGGCTAATATCGCTTGTCAAATTTGAAAAATATTTGGTCATAATTTTCTTTTTTTTGAGACCGGGTCTCGCCCTATTGCCTGGGCTGGAGTGTAGTGGTGTGATCATGGCTCACTGCAGCCTCAACCTCCTGGGTTCAGGTGATCCTCCCACCTCAGCGTCTTGAGTAGCTGGGACCATAGGTGTGCACGACCACACACAGCTAATTTTTAAATTTCATGTAGAGATGGGGTCTTGCTATGTTGCTCAGGCTGGTCTCAAACTCCTGGGCTCAAGCAATCCTTCCACCTCAGCCTCCCAAAGTGCTGGGATTATAGGCGTGAGCCACCATGCCTGGCCCATTATTTTCAGATTTTTTTTCTCTCCTCCTTCTCCCTGCTCTGTTTTGGGACTCTAATTACATGTATCTTAAGCTGTTTGAAATCCCATAGCTCAGAGATGGTCTGTTCATTTTTCAAAAATCTCCGTTCTCTCCGTGTTTTACTTTTGATAGTTTCTGTTGTGATGCCTTCAAGGTCATCAATCTGTTCTTCTGCAATGTCTAATCTGCCATTCATCCTGGCCAGTGGATGTTTAACCTCATATATTGTAGCTGTCATCCAAAAATTTAATTTAGGTTTTTAAAAATACGTATTTTTGTCTCTACTTAACTTTTTGAACATTTGGACTACAGTTACAATCACTGTTTAATTGTCCTTGTCTACTAATATCTGTCAGTGCTGACTCAGTTTTGGGATATTTTTCTTCTCATTATGGGTCACATTTTCCTGTTTGTATGCCGTAATGGATTTCCAGACATGTGAATTTTATCCTGTTAGGTGCTGAATATTTTGTGCTCTATACATACACTTGGATATTGTCCTAGGACACAGTTAGGTTGGAAATACTTTCATCCTTTGGCACATTGCTCTTAAGATTTGTCAGTAGGACCAGGGCAGCGCTCAAGTCTAGAGCTAGTTATTCTGACTACTGAAGTGAAACCCTTCTATGCATCCTGCCCCGTGCCCCACTGAGTCAGGGATGTTTTAACTCAGCTGGTGGAAGCAATTGCTATTCCCAGCTTGTGTGAGTGTCTAGCACAGGTCCCTCTCACACTCTTGGGTGGTTCTTACCCGGCCATAATTAGTCTCCATGTACACGTGATCACCACTGCTCTGCTGAAAACTGCTAGGCATGTGGCCATCCTCCAGCATTCTCTACCAAGCTCTCTCCTCTGCCGGACTCTGTTCTGCAGGACTCTGTTCTGCAAACTCCAGCCACTGTGGCCTCCCTGGGCTCTCAGCTTTCTCTCTTCAATTTAGGGAGTCAGCAGGGCTCCAACTGAGATGCCCCGTCCTGCTCTGCACCATGGAAATTCTGGACAGTAGCTGAGACCGTTGTTTCTTGGGGATTACGATTCCTGAAAACCATCATTCCATAGATTTTGTCAATTTTTTGCTTCAGGTGGGAGGGTAAATCTGATCACTGTTACTTCACCTGGGCCGAAAGGGGAAGTGCCGGCCCCATTTAATCCCTAAGCAAACAAAAGCTTAGACTGTCAACAATTCGTTAACAATCCTGTACCATTTGAGTGCTGGGGCAAGAATCAAATACGGCTGTCTGCCTTTGGCGGGGGGTGGGGGTGGGGGTGGGGGGGTGGTCCATATCCCTATCCAGTAGACTTTACTGCCCCTAATCCTGCAAATTGTCACCAGCTATTTATTGTCTGTTTTGATTTTTAAAGGTAAAGTTAACAAATTCCGAAGGAAAAGACTTCTGTGGTGGTGTTATAATACGGGAAAATTTTGTACTGACAACAGCAAAATGTTCACTGTTACACAGGAATATTACTGTAAAAACATGTAAGTATTTTATCATGAGTTTTTATAAAACCACATTGGAAATACACTATCCTATGTAAGAATGAAATGACAAATTTAAAACTGGACTGTTTCTAATGCAACATAGAACTGAATTTACTGTCAATAAAACTGAGATACTTATCAACTCAGGAAGCATATGTAAAATACCAGCAGAAGCCTGGGCCCAGCGACAGGCAAGTGCTAACTCACACTCGGCAAGGGAGGAAATCACAGCCTACATAAGGATGACTTCATTTCCCACTGAAATTGAGCAGTTGTGGCATAAGAGATGGATAATTGGCTAAAAATCGGAAGAATGGGGCTCGAATCCCCCAGCAGTTGAGACCTCAGGCTGAGGCAGTGGCCTTCTCATCGGCTTATCTGTGCCTATTTCTTTCTTTTTTTTTTTTGAGACAGAGTCTCACTCAATCCCTCAGGCTGGAGTGCAGTGGCATGATCCAGGCTCACTGCAACCTCTGCCTCCTGGGTTCAAGCGATTCTCATGCCTCAGCCTCCCGAGTAGCTGGGACTACAGGCATGCACCACCATATCCCACTAATTTTTTGTATTTTTAGTAGAAATGGGGTTTTGCTATGTTGGAAAAGCTGGTCTTTACTCCTGGCCTTAAGTGATCGACCTGCCTCGGCCTCCCGAAGCGCTGGGATTACAGATGTGAGCCACTGTGCCTGGCCCTTAAATATTTTTCAATCAACAAAATAACGTGAAAACCACTTCTCAACAGCCAATGTTTGACTGGCCTGGAGACGTTCCACATCACTGCTTCCTGCTTTTTAATCATTTCACCACACCCCACTGCACTCCAAAACAGAAGAACTAACCTTGACTGTTTTTAAAGGCTGTGGCACTTGGTTGCAATCGTGCAATCTGTGAGTGGCCTTTCTGTCCGCAGAAAGGCACAGTGTCCACACCACGGGGCGGTGAGCCTGCGGGTCCTCCAGGGCCGGTCTCTCCCTCCTCACGTGGCTCCCTGAGAAGCTCGTTTGAGCATTATGTCCCCTTGAAAATCAGACTGTAAAGAACTGACGATTGTTCATGATTTCAGATTTTAACAGAACGAGCCAAGACCCGCTGATGATCAAGATAACGCACGTCCATGTGCACATGCGGTATGACGCGGACGCGGGGGAGAATGACCTGTCACTGCTGGAGCTGGAGTGGCCCATCCAGTGCCCAGGTGCGGGGCTCCCCGTGTGCACCCCTGAGAAAGACTTCGCTGAGCACCTCCTCATCCCACGCACCAGGGGCCTCCTCAGCGGCTGGGCACGCAATGGCACTGACCTGGGCAACTCGCTGACCACGCGGCCTGTCACACTTGTGGAGGGGGAGGAGTGCGGGCAGGTCCTGAATGTGACTGTCACCACCAGGACCTACTGTGAGAGAAGCAGCGTGGCGGCCATGCACTGGATGGATGGAAGTGTGGTCACCAGAGAACACAGAGGCTCCTGGTTTCTCACGGGGGTCCTGGGCTCGCAGCCAGTAGGAGGGCAGGCTCACATGGTCCTTGTCACCAAGGTCTCCAGGTACTCACTCTGGTTTAAACAGATCATGAACTAACTGAAACTCAGCTAGCCAGAATGAACAACACAACCGGAAGCGGGATTCCAAGCTGGCACTGCCACTGTGGAGGGCGCTGAAACTTCATCACACACTGAGAGGCCGTCACAGCCCCAGACCACCCGCTTGGCCCACGCAGCAGCAGAGCCGCCGTTTGCTGGGTTGTTTACCGAGCACTGTGACCTTTCTTTCCCTGGAACTCTTTATCTCAATAGAGACCTTAAAAGAAAACATGAGATACGTTAAATAATAAAATAAGATAATCTGTCAGTCATAAAGCAGCCTGGTTTCCAGAAATTCTTTCCTTCTCCAAGTCCAGTGTTCCCTGTGCTCAGGGAATAGCCACCCCAGCCTGCACACTGGTGAGTGTGTTCTGGTGCAGAAGCGACAACAATCTCCGGTTACAGCAGAAAGTGACCTCCTCTGTTGGTTTACCAATTGCCACTGTGACTGAGGACCATGGCTCAGTGCAGAAGCAGCCACTAGAAGCAGGTTGGCAATGGAGGAGAATGACCCTGTGGGTATCCCAGAGAGGCAGCATTAGAGGAAAGGGCCAGAGAGCACAAGAGAGGCTGAGGAGGCACGCCGGCGTCTCACGGGGTTGTGCACCCGCCCTTCTCTGGGAGGGTTCCCACGGAAGGTTCCGGGGCCCGAAGTCAGGGCTGAGCACTGAGACCCAGCTCTCTGCTCGTCCCACCAGGTGGCTCTTGGACAACTGTTCCACCTCTTCATGCCTCAGGGTCGCCCAGGGTAGAATCCCAGCACCTCACCAATGGGCTGATGGGCAGCTAGGGCAACGCCCAGCACTGTTGTGGCTGGAGTGTGTGTCCCTTCAAAACTCCAAAATTGGAACTTACCCCAAGATGATGATATGGGGAGGTGGGGCCCTTGGGAGGTGACTAGGCCATGAGGGCTCTGCCAGCCCCTTCCATCTCTTCTCCCATACGAGGACACTGCAGTGAGGTGCTACCCTGGAGACAGAGAGCCCTCAGCAGACACCAAATCTGCCGGCACCCAGATCTTGAACTTCCCAGCCCCCAGATCTGTGAGAAATGAGTTTCTGTTATCACCCAGTCCATGGTATTTTGTAGAACAGACCAGGACAGCACGTGCTGAATCACAGTAAACACCTGCTGTCATGAAGGCTGCAGCTGCAATGCAAGTACCAAAGACAGAGCTGCAGTCCAGCCCCCAGTGAAACGTCCTTGGAGACTGGAGCTCCTAGCAGGGTCTGAATTTGCACTGAAATGGACAGAAATGGCATAAATGTTCACATTTTAACTCTTAGTTAAGGAAGGGGCACAGCTGCTTCTCCACCAGTGTCCTTGAGTGACACAGAGCAGAGCATCGTTGAAGAGCAGAGAGGACTTTTAAAAAGAGGAATTAAAAATGTAGGTGGACAAATATTCTCTTGAGTTGAGAACAATTTACACATAACTTGGGTTTTTAAGCCTTACTGTTCTTCAGCACACTCTCTTTCATTTACGCTTTAACCCCAGAATTAAACTTTTCTCCAACCTGTAGATGAAATGGCCCATTTCTCTGAAAGGTCCTTGGCAAAAAGCAACACTGTAATTTAAGGCAAATTAATGGGGAGGGCAGTTTAAAATTCACTAGGGTGAATTTTAAAGTCTTAGTGAAGTTTGGTTGTATTATTCTCAAACTACAATAAGGTAAGTAAGTCACTGCTTTAAATGCCTACTAATGATTTTAAAATCAGCTAATGAACATGGCAGGCTTTCTGTACATAATGCTGCAGAAATGTCTGCAATCTTGCTTCTGGTACTTCTATTACAAATTTGGATTTACTAGAGTGGAAGCCCTGCTTGAAAACTATTCCAGTCCAGGCGCAGTAGCTCACGCCCGTAATCCCAGCACTTTGGGAGGCTGAGGCGGGCGGATCACGAGGTCAGGAGTTCGAGACCAGCCTGACCAACATGGTGAAACTCCATCTCTACTAAAAATACAAAAAAAAAAAAAATCTTTGCCAAGCGTGGTGGCTCACGCCTGTAATCCCAGCTACTGAGGAGGCTGAGGCAGGAGAATCACTTGAACCCGGGAGGCAGAGGTTGCAGTAAACCGAGATCATGCCACTGCACTCCAGCCTGGGCAACAGAGCGAGACTCCATCTCAAAAAAAAAAAAAAACCTACTTCAAACACAGCTGGGCAGAGGCAAAGCATATGAAGACCCTCCCTCCGTAATGGTGAAATCTGTGAAATCAGGAACAATCAGAGAAAGCTACAGGCCCAGACTGTCAGCAGAGACATGAGGGGCCTTCAAAATGAAGTAACTACTCTACTGGCATTTAATGACATGCTTAGAAACTACACCATAAACAAATCTAACAAAACAGTAAAACTCAAGAAAAGGGAAGCTAGCTATGATGACTGTTTTTCTTGTTTTTTGAGACAGGGTCTCTGTCTGCCACCCAAGGCTGGAGTGCAGGGCACGATCCTAGCTCATAGTGGGCTCAACTTCCTGGGCTCAATTGACCCTCCCACCTCAGCCTCCTGACTACAGGTGTGGACCACCATGCCCAGCTAATTTTTGTATTTTCTGCAGAGATGGATTTTGCCATATTGCCCAGGCTGGTCTCGAACTCCAGGGCTCAAGCAATCTACTGGCCTCAGCCTCCCAAAGTGCTGGTATCATAAATGTGAGCCACCACGTCCAGCCTGTGATGATGTTTTAAAAGGGCCAAACTAGTTCACACTTGGGCAGAGATTATTAAGTCCAATATTTGAATCCATGCAAACACACTGATACATGCCCATGTGTACGCCCGTGGACTTGAATGCTGCCATGCTGGACACAGGCCTTGACTTTGCGTCTCCACCCAAATTCCATCTTGAATTGTAATCCCCACGTGTGGAGAAGTGATTGGATCACGGGGGCGGCTCCCCCACGCTGTTCTCGTGACAGTGAGGGCGTCTAACGAGAGCTGATGGTTTTAAAAGTGGCAGTTTTGCTCATGCTCACTTCCCCTTCCGCCATGATTGTAAGTTTCCTGAGGTCCCCCGAGTCATGTGGAACTGTGAGTCCATTAAACCTCTTTCCTTTACATATTACCCAGTCTCGGGCAGTTCTTTATAGCAGCGTGAGAACGAACTGACAGAGGCCTGAACACCAAGAGGTAAACGTAAGGACACCTACACTGAGGTTGTTTCTTTCATCGCTAAGAATAACCATCCAATTACCTTAAAGTATCAATCCTTGACTTTAGGTGTCACTATGGACGGTTCAATACGTTACCCAGAAATGTTGACAAACCTGAGCTTTCCACCGCTATTACATCCAGAATGAAATTCAGGTATGCTGGCAGAAATTCCAATATTCAAATTACTGCAAGAAAATCATTTAAGTCAAAAGTTGAAGGATGTTCAAGGCCCATGCAGAGCAGCAGGGAAGATCAGATTTCCGTACCCAACACTGCAAGAGAACGGGGCCCCACTGGACACATGGGTAGCTAGAAAACAGATGCGCGCCCAAAGCCTCCGCCGGCATGAGTTTGCTCCGTGTCTGCCCCACAGGACATAGGAGGCACTTGTCACGACTGCCAGCGCTGAGGACCTTGCTGCTGCTGGGGAGCAGCTACGTAGGTCAAGAGGATCCTTGGCATGAACTCCACAGGCACAGGCGCTTGCCTTCGTGCATTCATCTCTCGCGTGTACGTGTGGCAGTCCACGGCTGGAATCCGGGTGTGACTTAGGAGAGCAGGGCATAAAAGAGATCTGGCTTCCCTGGCTCTACTGGGATCTGCGCTCCCAGAATCCAGCTCCCTACGTGTGGAGAGAAACAGGGGAGCCCACCCACAGCCCTGCTGAGCTCCAGGTGAGAGCCCGGGCCAATACACGGGAATGAGTCACCTTCAAAGAGGCCCATTCGGGCCCCAGAAGAGCCCACAAGCTTCCCCGCCCAGCCCGGAAGAAACTGCAGACCTGCAGATGTAGGAGCGAGCTAAGGAGTGCTGCTGAAGCCCTGGGGCAGCTCCTGCATCCAGGGGAACCTGAGGAAGGAGCCACACAAAGTGAGTCCTGCGCCGCGCGGCCCGGAGAGAGAGAAAGAGGGATTCACACTTTGTAGAATAGCCTCTCCTTGAACAAGCAGCTTTCAAATGCAGTAACTTTGCAAAGATGAGCTCTTATAGTTTGTGTTCTTCTTTAGTAAATTTTTTATAAACGGGGAAATGTGCATAGTCTGAAAAATGGCAGTGCTGGGGACTAAACTGTGTCCCCCAAATTTCTTACATTGAAGTCCTAGCCCCAGTGTGACTGTATCTGGAGGTAAGGTCTTCAGGGGGTAACTAAGGCTAAATGTGGTCATAAGGGTGAGGTCCTAACCCAACAGAACTGTGGCCTTATAAGAGGAAGAGAGCCGGGTGTGGTGGCACATGCCTGTCACCCCAGCACTTTGGGAGGCCGAGGTGGGGGAATTGCTTTAGCCCAGGCGTTCCAGACCAGCCTGTGCAATATTAGCAAGACGCTGTCTCTACAAAAAATAAAAAAATTAGTTGGGTGTGGTGGCATGCACCTGTGCTCCCAGCTACTTGGGAGGCTGAGGAGGGAAGATCACTTGAGTCTCGGAGGTCGAGGCTGCAGTAAGCACTGACTGCACTGCCGCACTCCAGCCTGGGTGACAGAGTGAGGTCCTGTCTCAAAAAAGGAGGGAGAGAGTCATCTCTATCTGTACCATCTCTAGCACAGCAAGAATACCACCTTATTCTTAAGTGTGCAACTCAGAAGAGAGCCCTCCCCAGAAGCCGACCGTGCTGGCAACCCCATCTCAGTCAGACCTCCAGCCTCTAGAACTGTGAGGAAATACATTCCTGTTGCTTAAGCTGCCTGTGGTATTCTGTGATGGCAGCCCCAACAGCCCAATGTGAGTGGCCCAACTTAGCGACTGTCAACCTCGCCGTGGTGCCGAAGGGACGCGCTCAGGGGCAGCCATGCCTCAGCGTCCACGCAGCCCTTCAGTTTCCACTCTCAGTGTAGCACTCGGTAAGCTACACGAGGTATTTACACTTTTATTTTTATTTATTTATTTTTTTGAGACAGAGTTTCGCTCTTGTTGCCCAGGCTGGAGTGCAATGGCATGATCTCGGCTCACTGCAACCTTTGCCTCCCGGGTTCAAGCGATTCTCCTGCCTCAGCCTCCTGAGTAGCTGGAATTACAGGTATGCGCCACCACGCCCGGCTAATTTTGTATTTTTAGTAGAGACGGGGTTTCTCCATGTTGGTCAGGCTGGTCTCCAACTCTCAATCTCAGGTGATCTGCCTGCCTTGGCCTCTGAAAGTGCTGGGATTACAGGCGTGAGCCACCACGCCCGGCATCTACACTTTATTATAAAATAAAATCGGCTTTGTGTTTGATTTTGCCTAAGAGTGGAGGCTTCTGAGTATGTTAAGGAAGGCTAGAGTGAGCCATAATGTTTAGTAGCAGGTGTATTAAATGTATTTTCAATTTAAGATGGTTTTTTAAAAGAAATTTTTTTTTAACCAACAAAGCAAAGGCAAATAAAATAAGTTTATTGGGATGTAACCCTATCATAAATTGAGGAGCATCCATACAGGCAAGCTATAAAATCTGGAAAATTTAAATCAAATTAAATTCTGCTTTTAAAAAGGTGCCTTAAGTTAACCAAGCATTTTGATAACACATTCAAATTTAATATATAAAAATAGATGTATCCTGGAAGATATAATGAAGAACATGCCATGTGTATAAATTCAGAATACGCTTTTTACACAAAGAACTACAAAAAGTTACAAAGACAGCCTTCAGGAACCACACTTAGGAAAAGTGAGCCGAGCAGCCTTCACGCAAAGCCTCCTTCAAAGAAGTCTCACAAAGACTCCAGAACCAGCCGAGTCTGTGAAAAAGGAATTCCAGGTTTTCATCAGGCTGAAATTAGTTACAAATGAAGGAGATTAACTCGGGTGTGCTGAAAATCTCAGCCTCAGCATCCCTGGGAAAAGCGCCTCCAAGAGTTCCGGCTTCAGGGAGCCTTGTTGCAGTACCGGACCGGTCTCATCAGCACAACCAAAGTGGAAAGAAACAACTGCTCACCCGTCCTCGGGGCTCCGTGTACTTTCAACACACCGTGGACAGGGGAGGAAATGGGTTCTGCTTGCTGACCACCAGCTTCTGATGCTGATGCGATATGTAGCCTTTGACGTGTCCCTGCGGGGCAGAAAGGGAGGAATGCGTTTACATTTTTGGATCTGAGTCATGTCAAAGATGCTGGGTGATCTAATTAATTTGGCATTAGCATTCTTCCCCAAGAGCGGCACAGTTCAGTTCAGCGGGAAGACAATGAGTAAAAATAAATACAATCAACCCTCTATATCCACGGTGGGTTTCATATCCATGAATCTAACCAACTGTGGACTGAAAATATTTGGGGAAAAAAAATGCATCTGTAATGAACACGTACAGACGCTCTTCCCTTGCCGTGATTCCCTAAACAATACAGTACAACAGCTATCTACAGTGCACTGAGTATTTTAAGTAACCTAGAGATAATTTAAAGTATACAGGAGGACGTGCATAGCTCATATGCAAATACTACGTCCTATCAGTGACTGAAGCACCTGTGGATTTTGGTATCCGAGGGGGGTTGGAGAATCGACAGATACCGAGGGATGTACCGCCAGTAAAGAATATGCAAACATACAAGAGTATCCGTCCCCTCATGCTCCTAAGGCCCTGGTGAATGGTATTTCCTGGGCTAAAATTAGTTCTATCAAAAAAAAAGCAGAAGGCCTTTTAACAATTTTAACACCACCACACTGAAGCTTCAAATTCTGGGCTGAATCTTGCTGTGAGTAGCTGCTTAAATTAAAACCAGGACTCACACACCATGTATATCAAGTTAGCCAGAATACACTGAACTTCGTCAATGTCCACGTCCTCCACCTGCATGAACTTCAAGGCAACCAGAAAAGCATCCAGAGACAGCTGGTGTGTTTTCAGTAACAAATACCTGGAAGAGGGGAGGAGAAGGGCACTGTGGTTACCGACAGGATGCAATACTCCACAGCCAAGAAAAGGCACCTCTTAATAAGCCGGTGTTCTAAAGGAGTAAAAAAATTCCCACCTATTAGATAAACTCTAAACTACACTCTCAGAGCTATTAAATCTAATTTGACTTTTCAATCTTTAAAAAGTCACTAGTACAAACACAATTTTTAATTATTTTCTAAGTATTTCATTAAGGTTCGGTTTTTTTTTTCACATTTTAATCTCCCTGAAATCAGGAAGCACCTGACAATGGGCTGTGTCTCACAGACTCAGCGAAATAGGGTCCCTACTGTTTGTGACGTGCTACCCACAGCTCTATACAAAGTTGGCCTTTGCCTGAAGTTTACACAACTGAGATCCTGCTGGGACGAGGCCTCAGAAGACGTGTGAGGAAAGGAATGACGATCTCTGCATCTGCCTTTGTGACAGGCAGAAGTGGCTGGGAGGGCTACTTGGTCAGCACTAAGGGAGGGGAGTGAGTGGCGAGTCCTGTGTGCTCTGATGAAATGTGGTACCGCGGCTCTCAGGGCTGATGTTCTCAAGTTGTCTTCTCACATAGAACCTGCTTACCTCCCCCACAAGTCCAGGCACAGCTTGTGCTACTCACGTGTCTCGCGCAGGGTCCCCAGGAGGCAGTGGGCGGAGGCTTCATTTTATCCCACACAATGGAAGGAAGATAACGACCCCACCCACACGGTGGCCTTCTCTCTTAGACTGCAACAGCCCTGGATGTCTGACTGCTCTGCCGAGAGCCACACTGGGAGCCCAATGTGCCGGGGAAATGCTTACACTTTCTTAAAGAGGTTCCTGTAGGTGATGATCTTCAGCTTCTCCAGGATGAGGAAGATTCCGCAGCGAATGAAGAAGGCCTCGTGCTTCGCCAGCGCCTCGTGCAGCAGCAGCAGGTTGCCCTCGCTGGTGAGGGGGGAGGCGCGTCAGAAGGAGGGTGAGTTTCTCACAGAGCGTGCACGTCAACTCTCATCAGGCTTGCATTTTTAAAACCCCAAACAGGAAGGATGGCATACTCTACCTCACAGCTCTGGTTACTTCCGCAAACTGCATCAGGTGATACTTTTTCAGGAGCTCCACAGTGGGCATGTGACCCTAAGAGTCAATTTTCCAGAATGAAAATGCTTTCATTTTTGACAAAATTGTCCTTGATAAATATTCATATCAAGGAATTAAGTTTTAAGAAAATTGCAACCTGAGTTTCTTAGAATGTCCATGGATTAAACACATCATAGTACACTAGGAAAACAACACAGGTCTAGAAATCAGAACACCTGGGTACAACACACTTTTGTCATTCCATGACACGTGACCTTGATCTTGACCTTCTCACATTTCTTCGAATTTCTATAACAGGAGAGTGATAACTGAAGAAATGCTAGTATAAGCATGAGATGTAGGCATACGGAAGTAGCTTCCAGAAGAATCAGCTAAGCATTTGAAACTGGCTGTCAGTTAAATGGGGTGAGAAGTGAGGAGGGCAAGGCCACAGCAGCGCTTCTCCATCACAATCCATTCAGAGCTACAGAAGCTTTAGCCACCTGTGTGCAATGCTTTTCTCATTAGTCAATTAACTTACCAGTTATTTCAAGTATCAAAAATACATTTTAGTAACTAAATGAAATACCCACAGAGAGGGTGAAATGACATTTTTCTTTCTTGGTGAATCCACTGCTTTTAACTTAGGTTTTAAGGGAGGAATACAAATGATACGTACTTATTTTGTCACATGAACGTTAAACTCTTGAGTTAAATACTTTTAAGGGAAACAAGACACAGGGAGAGCTTTTCTAGAAGGACCTGGAGGCGTAAGGCATGAAGCTCTGGGTTTGGGCCACACACAATGCATGCGCCTTCTTTATTTTGGGGTGTGCTCATACACAGCTCAGGCTGTGATCAACTACAGACTGTCTGCTAGGTTTTAAAAAAACCTATCAGCTGTCAACTTTGTGAAAGCACCAGGATCTATAAACATGGAGTAATAATCACTCACCAATAGCATTTTTACTGGAAGCAAATAGATCAGAATCATCCTTTTGTTCTTCTGACTAGAACGGTGACAATGCTCAAAGGCAAATGACAGGTACTCCTCAGCTGCAAAGAAGGCAGAGCCAGCACGCATGAGACCAACGCACCTGCTTCAGGCCCCTTCCTGCTCCATTTTCTACCACTGTCTCCTGATTTAAAAGGCAAAAGCCCCCTCCCTTTATTATCTCAAAAAATATCATCCCAGTTTCATTTCTGTGATCAATGACTTTCCTTAAGTAAAATCCATACCCCCAAATTCAACAGGAACTGCCTGGGAAGTCCTACTTAACAGAGGAAAACTGAAGAAAATAACTTTCACAGAGATTCTGATTTGCCTAAGGTCAGCTGGCAAACCATTATGATAACATTTTAAAAGTCTGACCCTGCTCAGATGATTTCTACATTCATGAAAAATATAAAGACATATTTAAAAATGTACCTCCACAATACATTTTAATCACCCATAATTAAACAATGAAAATAACTTAGTAAAACACCATCCTCCAGCTTAACATATAATTAGTGATCATATATCTTCCATTTTAAATGACCACATGCTTTAAAAAATTAACTTATTATTACTAACACACAACATATTAATTCTGTCCTGAGAGCAATATTAAAAAACAGATTTGAATTTAATAGATTTCAAAATACAAAAGTAATTCTATTTGTCAAGATTAATCCCACAAACTGCACGACAGGCCTGCAAAGAGTTCAGCACATGCTAACAAGGAACTCTCAGAACAGGCAGGCAGGAGCTGAGCCTTGTCCTGAGGCTGGAAAGCTGAAGGGTCAGGGGTTTCTGGACAATGATTCCACATTCTCCCTAGGTGAAGAGAAGAGGCTTCACTAAGGCTGAGTTTGGGTCAAGAATTAGGAAAGTGAGATGTTCCTGTTTATGTAAGTTCTTCCTGAACAGTGATATTAAGTCCCAAATATAAGAGAACAGAGATGCTCAGAGCTGCAGAGGCCCTCCCTTATGCAGAATGGGTCACCAGAAGCAGCAGGCCCTGGGGTCTGGGTCGAGGCCTAGGGAACCCACACTGAGACCACACACTGCCTCTGCTCCTAAACTATGTGGCCACATTGGCACAAAAAACATCCAGTCTTGCACAGTGAGCGTGAATGCTGTGGGGCCAGCGTCTCTTCCAAACCACAAAGCCATGACCCACGAGGAGCCCTGTGGGGCTGAGACCAAAGAACAAGGATTCACTGAGAGTCTGCAATATCCCACCAGCTGCCAGTTTGACTTTTGCAAACTAGCCTCTAAAAAGTGTACCTTTGCTACTGCCCAAGGTAATCTCAAATTCTCCTGGATGTACAAAAAATGCATTTTTTCTTTTTCTTTTTTGAGATGGAGTCTTGCTCTGTCGCCAAGCTGGAGTGCAGTGGCGCGATCTCAGCTCACTGCAAGCTCCGCCTCCCGGGTTCACGTCATTCTCCTGCCTCAGCCTCCCGAGTAGCTGGGACTACAGGCACCCACCACCGTTGCCCAGCTAATTTTTTGTATTTTTAGTAGAGACGGGGTTTCACCGTGGTCTCGATCTCCTGACCTCGTGATCCACCCACCTCAGCCTCCCAAAATGCTGGGATTACAGGCGTGAGCCACCGCGCCCGGCCAAAAAATGCATTTTCTAATAGTTAATGCAAGCTGAGATTTTTCTGCTGTCTTTGAGGGAACCTAAGTCATTTTGCATCAAATAATATATTTCGGTTGGAGTCAAAAATATGTAGAGGGGTATAAATCTCTGAAATTAATAAATTAATAAAAGTATACATACAACAACTGAGATACTCCAAATACTCTTTCTTACATAAATAATATAAAATCACAGGAAAGAAAATCACCACAATCTCTGCAGACATTTTATCCACTTAAATACAATCAGGGCTCTAGGAATTCCTAGCAGTAAAATGGAAAACAAAATCTCTGCGAGCTACAAGGCAGAAGATCTATGGCCAGCGCTGGCTTTTTGGGGACACAGAATTACTCAGTAATCTCAGAGCATCACACTCTCAATGGCTTCCTATTTCTTTTATAGTCAAACGAAAGGGTTGGATGATACAGACTTAAACAAACTTTTTAGCTCTAAAGATGTCAGAAACTATGACTATGTCGCATCAATATTAATAACAATTTCTGGCTATGTTAGGTATTCAAAAATACCACTTACTGAATCCTCAGAAGAAAAAAAATCAGTATCTTAATAAAATCCAATAGGATAGAATTTAAAAGCTTCTCTACCTTTATGCTTCATATTAAGAGAAAAAAAAAGAGACAGATAAGAAAAGCCCTTCTTTAAAAGCCCTAGATCTACTAAAAACTGAAAGGAAATGGTCAGTCCATACAAGCCCACAGAGTAAAAACTGTGAAAGGAAATGGTCTATACAAGCCTATAGAATAAAAAGCCAGAGCGTCCTTATGAAAGGGCTATTATTTATCTTGCATTGCCTAAAGTTATGTTGCTTCATGTACTTGGGACTGTGTGCTCCACAAACAGCTGAAGAAGAGTTTAAAGTCTGGTTTGAGCACAAGAGAAGAGATCACCAAGAATGATGCCGTGACAGCCGATAAAAATTACAAAAAGAAGACTAGTTTCCTGTTCTTGAGAAAGTTACCAACGTAAACTAATACAATAGTGTCAGGTGTGGCAGCGACACGCCGTGCGAGGCTGTTTAAACAGGAGCTCTGTGGTAGCGACACACTGCACGAGGCTGTTTAAACGAGAGCTTTGACACCAGGTCCAAGGGCATATCCCCTGCTTCTAAGTCATCTCCATGCGGGATGTGTAGGTCATGAAGTCAGTCGCTGAACTAAATGTTGTCCTAATCTCCATTTCCTATGTCAACATAACCAGCATCTATTACAGGGTCAAAAAGCAAATAAAGAAAACAATGATTTACATTCTATTCTGAGAACAGTCATGCTCAGTGAACTCAGAAACGATGTCTGTAATGCCTGTGAGACTCCAGCATGCACTTCAGAGACCCAGTATGGATTAAGAATCTTCAATATAATTTCCCTTTAATCAGCTTTAGTGTCAAATATGTATATATAACTTGGTCCACATTTAAAAATAAAATACAGTAATTGTGTTCTCTGAAACTATATTATTCAAAGTTGTTCAGAATGCAATGTCTTATTTAAAATACTGGGAAAAAAAGATTAGCAACATACCTTGCTTAAAATCGCTGTCAAACATAGCCTTGCGTCCAACGTAGTATTTGTATGTTACTCTCTGTGCAGTGCTGTAATCGTCTTTCAGGTTTGAGCTGTCAATTGCTCTAATTAGGGGTTTACATAAATGGAGTTTGTTGATCTATAATGAATAACAATCCATTTAAAATATTTAAAAACAACAAAAACAGGTGGCAAAACAAATTACTAAGCATGTCTCCTTAAAATGCAAATTACAAAACCTATTATATCATAACAATTATTTATATAATAAAACCAAAACAGAGAGCAGCCAGCATAGATGGCATTCACCCTGGGAGGCTCTGCAAAGCCGTTCCGGGGGCGCAGCCCTGCAGGAGCCCATGCTGGTGGAGGCTCTGGGAAGCTGTTCCAGGGGGCGCAGCCCTGCAGTGGGAAGCCGTTCCAGGGGGCACAGCCCTGCAGGAGCCTGTGCTAGTGGAGGCTCTGCGAAGCCGTTCCAGGGGGCACAGCCCTGCAGGAGCCTGTGCTAGTGGAGGCTCTGCGAAGCCGTTTCAGGGGGCGCAGCCCTGCAGGAGCCCGTGCTTGTGGAGGCTCTGGGAAGCCGTTCCAGGGGGCGCAGCCCTGCAGGAGCCTGTGCTTATGCAGCACCGGCAGGAAGGTGGGGTGCTCTACAGGAGTGGAAGGCACTGGACAGAAGGCACAAGTCCCAGCTGCTGACACGTGATGGGCTGCTCTTCACCTGACTGACTTTATGTGGCAATGGTTTCTTTATCCATCTATCCATCTACGTGCCTGCTTTTCCATAGTTAATTATGACCACAGAAGACAAAACGCTCTGGAGTGAAACCGCCTGCACTGAAAGCCCAATTCCACCACACTGGGACAGCTGCTTCACACACAGGGGCCTTCGTTTCCTCTGGGGCTGGGAGCGCTAACCTCAGAGGGCTGATTGTCAACAGGAAGACATTTGTAAAGCATTCAGAATAGTGCCTTGCACCTAGTAGGCATTCAACAAATGTTTGCTATTAGGACTAGGAATACGGTTATGATCATTTCACAAGCAACGCCAGGGAGGCTAGCTGATATATATATGATATGTGGGAAGCCCAGGACAATCGAAAATTGTAAAGACAGAAAGGATTCAAACAGAAGCACACCTTGAAGTAGATTTTAAACAGCTGGTTCACCAGAAACAGCATGCCCCACTTCTTAGAGTCCTCTATACCAGCACGGCTATGGGGAAATAATTTTTTTTAAGTTACATAGGAAATAAAAATTTTATTTATAAATCACAAAATAAACTGCCTAAACAAATTAATATCTTGAGGTAAGTCCCAAAGCTCAAGTCATATTCATATCAACTTATTCATATCAAGTCATATTCATCAAACAAAATAACATTATGAAAAAAGATGTCTTACCTGATGGGTAAAAATAAAAGAGAAAACAAACCAGGAAAATCCCAATTAACTACTTGAGTAACATCCTTCCTCCGCGGCACCAGCTAAAAACTGCCTCATTTGCAGCAACAATGCGTAAAAGTTAATTGTTATAAACCGTTTTTGAAAAATGGAAAAATAGGGCATGGTGGTGTGTGCCTGTAATCCCAGCCACTCAGGAGGCTGAGGCAGGAGAATCACTCAAACCCGGGCCAATGCACTTCAGCCTGGGTGACACAGCGTGACTCCGTCTCAAAAAACAAAAACAAAAAAAGAAAAGAAAAATGGAAAAATACTTCTCATCAGTACGACAAAACAAACCAGTAAAACACACAAAGAGGATGAGTCCCACCAAGGCAGACACAAAAAGTACACACTGTGGTGGTCCATTTACATGAAGTCACCGAACAGGCAGGAAGCAACCCACAGTGGAACAAATCCAGACAGCTGAAAGGGCCTGCCCCACATGAGGGATGAGGGAAGTTTCTGGGGTGGCAATCATGTCCTATACCTCAGCAGCAAGCAGACAGATAATACTGTAGGTAGTTCACTGCATGCAAATTTTACCTCAAAAGACTGAAAAAACAGAAACTGAAGAACCTAGGGGAGGGTGTGCCACTGTCTGCAATTAACCTGGAAACAGTCACATGTTACACAACATTTCGGTCAACTACAGATGACCACATGTGAGATGGGGCCCTACAGAGTCTCACACTTGACCACATGTGAGATGGGGCCCTACGGAGTCTCACACTTGACCACATGTGAGATGGGGCCCTACGGAGTCTCACACTTGACCACATGTGAGATGGGGCCCTACGGAGTCTCACACTTGACCACATGTGAGATGGGGCCCTACGGAGTCTCACACTGTATTTTTACTGCATCTTTTCTGTGTTTAGATCTGTTTAGACACACAAATAATTCCCACTGTGTTCCAGCTGCCTACAGCATTTAGTGCAGCTCTTGCTCCTCGCAGCCTAGGACCCACAGGCTGCGCCACACAGCGGGGGTGTGTAGCAGGCCACGCCATCTCGGTTTACGAAGTACACTCTGTGGTGTTAACAAAATGATAAAATCACTCAAAGTCAAGGCACAAAAATACAAAAGTGCCCAGTACAGAAAACAAGCAGGTGGTTTACAAGCCACAGAACATAAAATTACTCTTAAAGACCAAAATGTGTCCATATAGAAACACTTAAAATAATGTAAAAATACAATTTTAAAATATCAAACCCTGTTTTATAACTGCCTGTGAGCTGCTCTAAGCAGGTCTATGACTTTTATCATTCCCTACGTGCATGACCTCAAACAAAAGTCTCTCAAGGTCTCGTTTTCCTCATCTGAAAACGGAGACAAATAATAATACTGTTCTATGACTTCAAAGAGCTATGGAAAAACCAAACAAAACACACAAGTACTCCGTAACTCACGTAAAACGCTACACGCATGGTAATATCGTAGCTGGTCTGGCACCAGGAATGATGACCTCTATTGGAGACTGTGACAAAAGCAAACCCCAACGGGAAAGAGATGTCACTGGGGATCTGCCCTGTCTTCTGAGTGTCCCCTCAGGGTGGAAATGCTGGGTCACATGGTAGCTCTACGTCCCACTTTCAGGAACTGCCTTCCCATTTCCGCACAGCAGCTGCACTGTTTTTGTTCCCCTGGCGATGTGTACGAGGCTCCAGTCTCCCTGCATCCTCACTGGCGCCGCCCGTCTTTCTGATTACAGTCATCCCACTGGGTGTGGCCTGGCAGCTCTCAGAGGTTCTGATGTGCATTTCAAGTGACTGATGCATTAGTCATTGGTGACTAAGTCACTGGTGATTAATGACCTTGAGCATCTTTTCATGCACTTACTGGTCACTTGCGTATTTTGTTTGGAAGATTTTTCAAATTCTTTAAACATTTTAAAGAATTTGAATTGGATTGTCTTTTTACTGTTGAATTGTAATAATTCTTTATATATTCTGGATATTAGGCCCTTATCAGATGTATTATTTGCTAGGTTATGGTTGTTTTTTACTTTTTTGAGAATGTCCTTTGAAGTCTAAAGTTTTTAATTTTGATGAAGTCCAATTAATTTTTTCCTTTGGTTGCTTATGCTTTTGTTGTCGTATCTGAGAAGCCACTGCCTAATCAAAGGTCGTGAAGATCACTGCTGTGCAAAAATATACGATCAAGCGAAATGTCAAGTATTCATTTAGGAAACACGGATTGAGCTCCTGGGGTGCAAGGAACGCTAGTGATGGAGAAGGCCCACGCCCTGACGCACTTCGCCATCAAATCGTTTGGTAAACGCAGTGAAAGAAATGTACAGTCTGCTATGAATGTTTATAAAAGGGAAATCTGATCCACCGTGAAGTCCAGCAGTGAGAGGCTTTAGAGAAGGCGGAAACCTTTAAATGAGTATAGACTGCCAGGAGTCGAGGAGAACCTTCCAGCAAAGGAAACGGCACCCATGGGAGGCCTCAGTGGGAAAGTGCCATGGCATAGGAAGGACTTTTCTACAGTCCAGCCTTGGTACGAAAGTTCTGAAGCGAGGCTGGGTAGGGAGGCCATGTTACCCCCACAGCACTATACATCTTGTAGGCTTGGCTGAACAGTTGCACAACTCAAACTCTGCCTATCTTCAGCAATAGGATGCCTGAGGTCAGAGGCTCCCCTCTTGGTTAAACCAGCTAAGACCAGCAGGATGCTAAGTGGAAGTCCACCTGGCCTTTGCAGGGCCTCCAACTTCATTACAACCTCATTTGCATGCTCCGTGACACTCCCACCAGTGCCACAGCGGCTGACAATCACCATGACAATGACGGGAAGACGCCGTAAAAGGACAAAAAGATGGCAGTGCTTCAGCTCCCAGAAGTTCACCGTCCATTTCCAGAAAAGCCATGAATATTCTTCCCCTTGCTTTCAATGTCCAACCCCTTCATTCAAGAAACCCTCTATTTCAATCCCCTCACCCCTCAGGAGTAGAGAAGTTGATTTGTGAGCCACACTCCTGCTTCTTCATTCCTTGGCCTTTACATACAGCTTGCTCTGCTCAACACTTACTTTCGGTTTCATGGATGGGATCCACAACACCCAAAAGGAAAAGTTCCCATCTTTTGAGGCTACAGAGTTTATTGGCAACAAACACAATGAGTGAAAAGAGAAGCTGGGCTACTGCTATGGTTTGGATGTGGTTTTTTGGCCACATCAAGCCTCATGTTAAAACCTGATCCCCGTTGTTGGAGGAGGAACCTAATGGGAGGTTTTTGGGTCATGGGGGTGGACCCCTCATGAATGGCTTGGTGCTGTCCTTGCCATAATGAATGAGTTCTCGCTCTGAGCTCCTGTGAGCGTTCCCAGACAGCTGGTTGTGGAAGAGCCTGGCGCCTCCCCTTCTATCTCCTGCCTCCTCTCTTGCCATGTAGTGGGCTCCTCTTTGTCTTCCAGCATGAGTGGAAGCAGCCTGAGGCCTCACCAGAAGCAGATACGAGCACCATGCTTCTTGTGCAACCTGCAGAACTGTGAGCCAAATAAACCTCTTTTCTTACATTCCCCAGCCTCAGGTATTCCCCTCTTTTCTTACATTCCCCAGCCTCAGGTATTCCCCTCTTTTCTTACATTCCCCAGCCTCAGGTATTCCCCTTTTCTTACATTCCCCAGCCTCAGGTATTCCTTTATAGCAACACAAGAGGACTAAAACAACTACTCTCTGGGAACAATAGTTTTTTGTTTATTTATATATGGATACCTTTGATAATCTTTCTTTGCTTTAAAATTTCCTAAATCTCATAAATAAATGTGATTATATAATTGGTGAAGAGATGGGAGTTTTAGAAGAAAAAATGGAAATTCTAAAGCAGAATCAGACGGAAAGTTGAGAATTTAAAAATAAATAATGGCAGAAAAGATCAGTCAACTTGTAAGCAGGTCAATACAAATTACCTAAAATGAAGGAGAGGAAAAAAAAAAAAAAGGATTGAGGTCAGGTGCAGTGGCTCACGCCTATAATCCCAGCACTTTGGGAGGCCGAGGAGGGTGGATCACCTGAGGTCAGAAATTCAAGACAAGCCTGGCCAACATGGTGAAACCCCATCTCTACTAAAAATACAAAAAGTAGCCGGACGTGGTGGCATGCGCCTGTAATCCCAGCTATTCAGGAGGCTGAGGCAGGAGAATGGCTTGAACCCAGGAGGCGGAGGTTGCAGTGAGCTGAGATGGCACCACTGCACTCCAGCCTGGGCGACAGAGCAAGAGTCTTGTCTCAAAAAAAAAAAAGATTAAAAAATAAACAAAGACTAACAGCGGCCTGTGAGGGATAATATCATGCACTTAACACACATGCAGTTGAAATCCCAGAAAGAGAAGAGAAAAAATGGGGCCAAAAGTAGTTAAAGAATGTAAAACATTAAATTTTTAAAAACATCAACTTACAAATACAGGAAGCCCAATGAACCCTAAACAGAAGAAATTAAAAAAAAAAAAAAAAACCAACTATGCACATCAGAGCCAAATTACTGAATGCCAATGATAAAGAGAAAATCATAGCCAGAGGAAAAAGACCCATTCTATACAGGGAACGATGGCAAGGACTCATCAGAAGCAAAGGAAACCAGATGGAATGACATTTTTAAAGTGCCAAAAGGAAAAAACTGTCAACCCACGAGACTCCATGTAGCAAATGGAGCCTTAAAAATGAAGGTGATCAGTGCTGCTTCTTCACTGGTAAAGAGAGAACATTTCTTAAAAAAAATAACGAGAGTTTCAGAAAAATGAAAGCTTAAAAGATTCACTGCCCTCAGACCCTCACCAAACGCAAATGTGGAAGAAAGTGCCTCAGGAAAGGGAAATGGCACTAGACGGAAACTGGTTCCTGCAGAGAGGAGCTCCAGGCATGGTCAAATGTGGGCAAATGAAGACTCTTTTTTCCCTCAGCTCTTATTTCCTTTACAAAACAATCAACTTTTTAAAGCAAAAATAACAATGGTTGTGGGATTATAGCATGTGTAGAAATGAAATATGTGTCAACAATAAACACAGGCCAGAAAGGGTGAACGCTGCAATGAAAACACCACCAACAGCGTCTGGTGGTCGGTCCTCAAGTCCTTACTCACGTGTCGCTGGCACAGACCCGGAAACAGCTCATCAGTAACTCTGCTGCTTTTTCCAACATGTCCCCAACTTTGCTTTTTCCTTTCTTTACCAACTGTTGATCTGCCTAATAAAATATAAGAACTTTTATTTCATTTTTCCGAAGCAAGATCTTGCTGTGTCGTCCAGGCTGGACTGCAGTGGCACAATCACACCTCACTGCAGCCTCAACCTCCTGGGCTCCACTGATCTTCCCATCTCAGCCTCCTGAGGAGCTGGAACCATGGAACCAGGTACTACCATGCCTGGCTAGTTTTGGGTTTTGTTTTTTTAAAATTTATTTTAATATTTTTTTCTTTTTTTTTTGTAGAGACAGGGTCTCACTTTGTTGCTCTGGCTGGTCCTGAACTTCTGACTCCAAGTAATCCTCCCATCCTGGCCTCCGGAAGTGTTGGGATTACAGGCATGAGCCATTGTGCCCAGCCAAAACATTTATTTCTTGAAGCAAAAAATGGGTACAATTAAGACTCAAAGTCCCGAAAGATCCTGGAGAAATCAGCTAGCATGTACTATAATATTTTTAAAAATTGAGAAGTCTGTATTACTCCAATTCTTTCACAAACCAAATCTTTCTTCAATTATTTCAAGTTAAGTCAGTCACCAATTTTTCAAACCTGCACTGCATATGTTACTAAGCAACTAAGCTCTCTCTTCAGTCCCTGAAGTTGGCTAGTCAAAACACTTGAAATAAAAACGTTTAACAAATATTAAAGTCATCACTGAGTTTGACTTTTCCCTCGCATTTGGGAGGATGGCCTTGGTTAAAGAAGAAAGAGTCTGTTTCTGCCACTTGTGTTCTCCACAAACCCGAGGCCTGCAACAGGCTTGCAGATGACCCACAGCTCAAACTATATTCACAACAACACTAAGCCATTATGGTCTTTTTTTACTGTATTAACGTTTGCACTGATGGTGCAAAAACAGCAATAGGTAAAATGCTGGAGTGCTCCCACCGGCACCAAACTACGCAAGTAATCACCACGTTCTTAAACACCAGACACTCTGCAATCAATCAGTCAATCAACAAACCAGTAAAATTAGTTTCCTTTAAAAAATGTCCTCGATGAGCCAAGCACAGTGGTTCACACCTGTAATCCCAGCACTTTCGGGAGGCTGAGGTGGGAGAATCACTTGAGCCCAGGAGTTTGAGACCAGCCTGGGCAATATGGCAAGACTCTGTCTTAATTAAAAAATTTTAAATTAGCCCGGTATCATGGCGTAGACCTGTAGTCCCAGCTACTCAGGAGGCTGAGGTGGGAGGCTTCAGCCCAGGAACTCAAGGCTGCAGTGAGCTATGACTGCACCATTGCACTTCAGCTTGGGTGACAGAGCAAGACCATCTCTAAATAAATAAATAAAATGTCCTTGATAATGCAGTAAATATGAATTTTCTTAAATCTTGGTCCTTGAGCACACGTTTTTTATATTCTTTGTGATGAAATGAGAAGCATACAGCACTTCTGTTGCACACGGGTGTCTCATGGCTGTTTACAGAAAAGCTCTGGGCAGCTGTCTGAGCTGTGAGCTGAACTAGCTGCTTCTTGCAGAACAGAAGACAGGCAGACACAGCTACCCAGGCTTGGGCATCTGGCTGACCATATTCTCCAAAACGAATAGAACAAATCTGTCACTTCCAGGCAAACAACTGATGGTACTCGTTGCCAATGACAACATTTGTGCTTTCAAGAAAAACCAGAATTCTGGAAAACTTTTATGAACTACTGTGAGCTTAGCAGCTTTTCCTTACTCCAAGGCTTTTCTGATGAGGCCCCTGGAGATGTTAAGGAAGGTAGGGGTTTGGGGGTTGGGTTTTTAACAGTGGTATATCAGCACTTGGGAGGTGCTGCATGGCTCAGTAAGCTAATATACTCCAAATGGTCTGCTATGGTCTGAATGCTTGTGTCCCCTCCAAAACTCATGCTGAAATCCTAACCCTCAAAGTGACGGTGTTTGGAAGAGAGGCCTTTGGAAGGTGATGAGGTCATGAAGGTGAAGCTGTCATGAATGGGAAAGAGAGATCCCTTGCCCCATCTACCATGTGCAGACACAGCAAGATGCTATGAGCCAGGAAGCGGCCCTCTTCATCAGAAACTCAACTTGATCTGGACCTCCCTGCCTGACTTGATCTGGACCTCCCTGACTTGATCTGGACCTCCCTGCCTCCAGAACTATGAGACATAAATGCTTGTTGGTTACAAGCCAACCCAGTTTATAGTATTTTCTTATAGCAGCCCAAATGGACTAAGACATGACTAACACAAGATATTACGAAATCCATTCAGTGCTTTAGGCAGACCAGTGGATTTCAGTGTAAAGGTAGAAAAAGTTTATTGGTACACTTCAGAAGCCACATTGTAACTAACCTTTTTAAAAAAAAAAAACTGCCTCTTGGAGTTTTCCTATATAGAGTCAAAGAATTATCTCAATGGTCTGGAAAGCCTATGAGAATATTCCTCTCTTTTCCATCTACAACTTTGTGATGTAGCCTTTCACCATCAGGCAGAGAAACACTTTACTCAAAACAGTGTACTGCAACAGAGTAAGTGCAGAAGCAGGCAAGGGGACCAGATTGCCTCTGCTGAACTAGACATCAAAGAGGTCAAAAGTGATGTGACACTACTTTTCTTAGTATTTTGTTTTGGAAATATAGTTATTTTTTATTTAAAAAGTCAGTTATGTTACATGTAAAAGGTTTATTATTGTTGCTTTAAAATGAATATTTTAAAATCTTTTCTAATTAAAATTTCTAATACAGTAAATATAAATAGATATAACAAAAATAAAAGCTTTCTGAGGTCTTCAGTATACTTTTCAGTTCTAAAATTTCCATTTGGTTCTTCTTTATATCGCCTATTTCCTTGTTGAGACTTTAAATGTTTTCATTTGTTTCAAGCATGTTCTAAATTGCTTGCTGAATCAAGAGGGCTGTTTAAAACTCTTGTCACATAATTCCAACATTTGTACAATCTCAGCCTTGGTGTCTTCTGCTGAATGTTTTTTCTCATTTGAAATCTCTGAAAGTTGAGATTTTCCTGGTAATCAGTGTCGATTAGATCCCGGACATTTGAGGCACTACCTGACGAGACTATGGACTTTATTTATCTTGTTTAGCAGGCCTCACCATGCAAGCAGAGAAACAGGTGCATCCCCTTAGCCACTGAGTCGGGGAGGTCTAGGTCCCCTGCTTAGCCTCTGACATCCACCTGGTGGGGAGGGGGACTAGCTCCTCATTACTGCTAGCCCAGGGTGGAGGTCCTGGGCCACCCCCAGTCCGCACCACTTTGCAGATGGGGTGGGACGGACCTGCTGACTTCTTTGCGCCTGGCACTGGAGTGAGGCAGTGACGGTCAGAGTTCTGTCTTGCTGGATTGGACTGTCTTCCCAGCCTCCTGGTTTCCTTGGGGCTTTTTGTCTCTGCCTGATGGTGAAAGGCTTCAGGTTTCTAACGCGCCCAGTCCAGGACAGACAGGAGACAAAAAGGAAACCTGGAGACTCCCTACACGTGACTCTGAGCCCCATCCCCCTCTTCTCTCCACCTCCCATAGCCATGCCGGCCTGACAACTCCCAGGGTTTTAACTGTTTCTAGCAGGCACAATAGGGTGAAATCCATTGCATCCTGACTGGAACTGAAGTCAACAATCATTTCTAAAACTGTAAAGGGGTCGTCCTAAAACCAAAAGGTTGACAAATGCTGCTCCATAATGGGGACTTCCGTGGGTCCCCATGGGGACGTCGCCTCCATAAAACCCAGGATCTCCCTTCACCCCAGGGAAGCCCCCTCCTACTGCCCAAATCTATATGAAGCTGAATTCTTTTTGGTGGGGGAGCAGGCCACATCTTAAAGGTAGAAGAGATGCAGAATAAGCTCATTTGTTGTTGTTCCACTCACTTCATAAAAATAACACATACCATAAATGGTTAACCACAAAATGGAACCTCTCCCTCTATATGAACAGTGTGGAAATCTGAGCAAATGTTTATATAAATCTGTTGGTGTTAACCCAGAAAGAATAGTCAATATCTTTCTTTTGCTCCCTATACCAGACACATCTCAACTCCAATTTGCTCCTCAAAACTTCTGGGAAGAATGACATGAAATTAAACAACAGATAGTCACCAAGTTTTAGTTTTAAAATAATAATGACAGCAAATTAAACTTACATTATTGGCAAACACTCGAAGGTCAAGCGCTACTGCATACATGACAGGCAGAGCCCTGCAGGGCAAAAAAGTAAACAAGTGTGAGGGGCTACGTGGGCCAAGATTCCATCCCCAGAGGTGGGAAGAACACGGACACCCAGGGCTACTATCCAGAATGGAGTCCGCACTTATCCAAAACTCTGACAGTTGTCTGCTTCCTCACCTTCTGTCCAGGCAGGCTGCAGGCCTCAGACTTCCTGATCATCCTGGGGCCCCACAATGCGGTGCTCCACACCCCTGTCCCCAACCCTGTCAGAGACCTCAGCCCTGCTTCAGTTCTGGGCTCCCAGGATATCCTCCTCCCCTCAGCTTCCCACCAGTATCCAAACAGCACCACTAAAAAAGAAGTGGTTTGATCAGATTTCCTAACAGGAACCAGAATATGTAATACACAAAATGTCACAAAACAACTTTTACAGCCAACTGGCAAAACTGGACTGTTTTCATGTGCAAGTTTTCACGTTAAAAGATAAAAGGGTGGCGGGAGGCAGAGGCTGCAGTGAGCCAAGACTGCGCCACTGCACTCCAGCCTCGGCGACTGAGCAAGACTCCTTCTCAAAAAAAAAAAAAGATAAAAGGGCGGGTTTGTTTGCAAAAGGCCTTTGGTTATTTCAGTATAAACAAATTTCAGTATTAACCTATAGTTTGTTAATAAATCATAAAATTTAGTTTGGCAAGGCATTTAAAAATACCACCATTATTATGTATTAGAACACCCCAAATGAACCGTAGTTGGTCTACCTCTTTTATCTAAGGTTTAAAACCAAAAGTTCAAAATTGACAACTGAAGGAAAAAACAGTATTTAATAAATATCTAGGGAAATGGACATCTGAAATAAAAATAATACTATATTGACATAGACACACTGCAAACAATGTGGCTGATCTACCATTTCAGTTTACTAGATTTGTGACTCCACTCATCTGTGTAGATATTACCATATGTCAACACACTGATTACCAAATATCCACATGGAAAATACAATACACATTTATTTAAAGCAAATTTGTAAAAAGATTCTGCTAAAAAAATTGCCATTTGCTAATTCAGCTGTTTCTGTTCACACTTACCAGTTTTCTTCTTTGTGGGCCTGGAATGCTCGCAAGAATGATGTACTGTATTAAGGAAGATATGGCATACAAAGTTCAAATAATGCTACGTACGATAAAAGTAAAGAATAAGAATCTAAATTTTAAGGAATGTAGATCACCCTTGAGCAGATTTATGTTGCAACAATAGTAAGTTCTTGAAGGAAAAAAGGTATAAGCTCACATTACAAATATCTGTATCTCATTAGGCTCAAGTATACTAAATACACTTATTTCATACACACTGTCTCCTAAATAAAAAAGACTTACAAGATTTTTTAAAATCAGCCCTTTCTGACATTTTATTTGGTTTCTCTGAGCCCAGATGATCATGAGTTATATTTAAGTGCTTTAGAATCTGTAGCATAAGGCTGATTTTATCAACTCTAGAATTCTTGAATTCTAAGGAGGCTGTGAGCAAATAGCCCAACTCTCTTCTGTGTATATTTAAACAAGGTGGTTAAAACGAAAAGACAAAATCTAGAGATACATACAAATCCTTAGCACACTCACTGACTCAGGCCGTAACTAAAGATACCCTTTAAATGACTGAAGTATGAATTGGTTTGATTTAAGGTCTTCAGCTGCCACAATTCAATGCCGATGTACATCTGAGGCCACTCTTGTCCATCTCTGCCTGAATTCTGGATTTCTGGTATTTCACCAACAGGACTTAACCAGTCCCTGTAAATATACTTACTACCTTACTAAAGGCAACAAAGCATTCTTCTTCTCAGCAGAGTAAGATCCTTCTTCCTAACCAGTGTTCTTCCTTACTAAGTACTGCACGAGTCTTCAGATCCATGCTAAATTTAAGTACCCAAGTGAAAGAGCTGAAACGAGCTTCTGTTCCAAAACACTGTCATTCCTTTCTAACTGCAGAAATGAGCAACTGGCCCAGTGTTTCCGGGTCTCAAGTCCCAAGTAATCCACTGCATGTGTTCTATGCGGGACAGCTGCCATGAACGACAAAGGATATTGGACTATCACGGTCTGGCACTTGTATGCCTCTATGAAGTCATGATTCCCCACTGCATAAGTGCACCTGGAGGAGAAACAGAAACATGCTGTCACACAATAAAAACCTAGCACTAGTTATGCAGCCCACACAGCTCACTTCATTGCACAGGTCCCAGTGGTCCTGGGATGAAAGGAGTGAAGGAAGAAACACACAAATGGCTGAACACAAACAGGTGAGGATAAGAGGAAGTCCCACAGTAAGCTTGGAGACTACTCTTTCAAGTCCCAGAAGGACCTAGCACCAGCAGGTTTATGAGTAACACATGTTGATAACATAGTATGACCCTTCCACTCTAGCAGGGGCTGACAATGACATTCAAACTAGATTCCCAGCTGGGTAATGTCAGTGTTAGTTCATCGCCAAATCTGGAACCTATCGCACACTGCACAGAGCTAGGAAATCACAGGTGCTTTGTACTACAAGGAACACGGTGGTGCCCCAACTCTTCCAAAGACCCTGTGGGGTTCACAGAACATTCCTGCTCACAGACCCCACACTGGTCCTGTAGCCCAGGCTGCTCTGAAAGACAGTAATCAAATCTCACATGGCTATAAGGACACAATCTTCTGCCTGAACTGATCCTTTAGAGATAAAACAGTAGATATGAAGTGTACATAAAAAGTAGCATTGTTTGCTTTGCTCAACTCTAATTTCTTTCCCAGTAACGTAAAGAGCTTCAAAAACAGACATATTTCCACGAAAAGGGTAAGTGAACAGTTCGGCTCCAAACTCTACTAAAAAGACCACTAAGCAGGCACTCTGCTAAATACTGTGTGATGTTAAAAATAGTATTATATAACTGATGTTTACAATTTCCACAGGCTTTACCAAACTGAAGTTACAAATGCATTTTCCCACTTTTTCAAAGTCAGTTATTCACTGCTTCAAGCACAAGATAATGCAAGATAAAATCCCCAGTTAATTCAGCAATTTCCAGATGTGTGTGTTTTTCTTCCTCCCCAACAGATTACCTTAAATGAGCTGCAAACATTTCATCATAAGGGGGTTCCAAGACTTGTTGACACTTCTCCTCTGGAGAGGCCATCTGATTTTAAAAAAGAAAAATAGCAAAAGTAAAATTAATAGGCACAGAAAGAATGCAACATATAGAAAGAGATTTAAACCTCTGTTTCAAGAGAATTTATGCTTTACAGTTCACAGTAACACTTTATATTTACCACTCTAAATAAAAGGTTCAGGCCGTGAGCACAGTGGCTCATGCCTGTAATCCCAGCACTTTGGGAGGGCGAGGTGGGCAGATCACTTGAGGCTAGAAGTTCAAGACCAGCCTGGCCAACATGGTGAAAGCCCGTCTCTACAAAAAAAATTACAAAAATTAGCTGGATGTGGTGGTACACGCTGGTAATCCCAGCTACTCAGGAGGCTGAGGCATGAGAATCGCTTGAACATGGGTGGGGGAGGTTGTAGTAAGCCAAGATCGTGCCACTGCACTACAGCCTGGGTGACAGAGGGAGACTCTGTCTCATAAATAAATAAATAAATAAATGGTTCATTACTTCAACAAATATTTATCAATATTTCAGGGGAAAAAGAAGCCCATGAATATAATTTGGTCTCGCCTTCTGCAAGTCAGAAAATATTCTAGGCACTTTCATATACATTTCAGTATATTAGTATTCTTGACCAGTCAGTCAAGAAATACTTGTTAAGTAACTGTCATAGGTTTAGTAAGTGAGGTCTAATGAGTTACAGATGGTGCTATGTTAGGACTCGTTCTTCTCGGCTTCCTGCTGAGACCACCAGTCTCATCTCCTGGGCTAGTCTAGCTGACATTTCTTTCTAAGTTTTCCTTTCCTCCTAACAGTCAAATTTTAGATAATCTGAACATCTCAACAGGTGATGGTTAATTTTGCCAACTTGACTAGCTGTGGAGTCCCCAGACAATGTTATTTCTGGGAGTGTCTGTGAGGGTGTTTCTGGATGAGACTGGCAGTTGCACTAGTAGACTCAGGAAAGTAGATGGCCCTCCTCAGTGTGGACGGGCAATGGCCAATCTGATGAGGGCTTGAATAGAACAAGAGGTCGAGGAAGAAAGAATTCACTCCTTGTGTGGGATTTCTTGACCTCTACAATCACAGGACCCAGTTCCTCATACTAAATCTCTATAAATATTGATATATCCCACTGGCTCTGTTTCTCTGGAGAACCCAGACTAACACACAATGGATTATAAGCACACTGCGTTTTTTTGTTTTGTTTGGTTTTGTTTACAAAAGCAATGAGCCCATGCTGATATGGTGAGAGAGAAGAATGACAGTATCAGAAAAATCACCATTCTACAGTCCCTGGTGAATGAAACCACCGAAAGAAAGTTTACTGGGGAATTTTACAATGAAGGGATCTGTCTCAGATTGCAAACAGGACAGTGTGTGTCCTCTCATGTCATACAATACAAAGCACAGGGCACCAGCCATGGGGTGTTCTGGCCAAGGCAAGCCTGAGTCTCATCGAGTCTCTAGCACTAACTCCTACTTAGAGCAATGGTTTTCAACACTGTCTACACATAGAATCACCTAGGTAACTTTATTAGAAAAACAAAAACAGGCCTGCTGCTACTTCAGAGACTGATTTACCTGGTCTGAGTTGCAAGTCTGTACACCGCCAAACATAATCACCAATAGATAAGCCCATTTTTCTTCCAAAAGAAAAATGCTGCTTCCAGTAGGAACACACTCCAATATGATAAAGGGTGTCAATGAGGAAACAGGGCTTTACCAAATGTCCACAAGATTTTCTATAGAAAATACTGCCTCAACATCATCTACGCCACAGATGACATGGAAACTCCATGTACAACCCCAGGCTGGGCCTTGGCTTGCCAGCCTTTCTGACTAACAACTTAAATGGGAGACACCTGTGGTACATGACGTCTATGGGGCTTTGGGGACGCACAGGCCTAGACAGAATCTAAGCTCCACCGCCTCTCCACCATCTAACTTCTCTAAACCTCAGAGAGCTGTCTAGGAATCAAACACAAGGGCAGGAGGTCCACATCACCACAGTGTGCGTACATAGTCAGTGCTCCACAAATGGATTGAAATTACATAAATCATAAAGAAACTTTAAAATTTTCAAATAAGAGTGACAATATTAGTTTTCTTCTTACTCAAACTCTACGCTTCTCTTAGGAAAGTGGTTACCCTGTAATTGTCTGCAGACACCTGTGTGCACAGCTCTTTCACCTACTTGAAGTCGTGGGTTTGCAACATGAGGATGTTTAAAAGACACCAACTCTGCACAAGATGCTCCATCTCTGCTGTCGATGGCTTCGTACACCTGAAACATTTGAAAGGGAAACCTAAGTAGAAAATAAAATATTCTGTTCGAATAGAACCTACAACAATACACTGAATGCCACACAGGGGAAAATTCATTTTCCCCTACTTTGAAAGAAGACAGAACAATCAAAATGTAACAGATGGTCACTACTCTCTGCAGTGGGTAAACAATAATTTCTTTTTTTTTTTTTTTTTTTTTGAGACGGAGTCTCGCTCTGTCGCCCAGGTCGGACTGCGGACTGCAGTGGCGCAATCGTAAACAATAATTTCATTTCAAAATAGGTTGTTCCTGGCTGGCTCAGGCCTGTAATCCCAGCACTTTGTGAGGCTGAGGAAGGACTGCTTGAGCCAGGAGTTCGAGACCATCCTGGACAACATAGCAAGACCCGTCTCTTTAAAACAGACCAAAAAAACAAAAACAGATGTTCCTGAAGCAAAAAAACAGGTTAAGCAAATAAAAATAAGTCAGTGGTTTATCATGTAGCTCTTCATGAAGATGAATTATTCTAATTTTACTCAATCACACTAATATATGTTTGAAAATCCAAATATACAGCTTATGAAAAAGAAATCAGTTTAAAAACCACATATATCCAAAATTCAAAAAGCTTCCACTCAACCTTAATATAAAATAAAAGGAAAATGGAAATAGCTAAATAGATGTCACATTCATACAATGCGATACTCGGCTGCTGTTAAAAAGAATAAAATAGATCTGTATGTAGTAAGATGAGAAAATGTCCACAATATGATGATTAAATGAAAAAAAAAGTTAACTGCAGGAAAACTGTATAACTTGATTTGGGAGAAAAAAGAAGAGAAAAATTACGTACAACATGCAGGCACAGGAAAGAATGCAGGGCCTGTACCATACCACACCAGCTGACTGCGCAGAACGTCGGGTGGAGACTAGGAGACCCGGGAGCCTTTTGCCCTATCTAGCGCCTGCCACAACAGACATTTTATAACTAGAAAACCAAATATGCTTTTAAATTATATTTACAAAAAAATTGCCGGTCACGGTGGCTCACGCCTGTAATCCCAGCACTTTGGGAGGCCGAGGCGGGCAGATCATGAGGTCAGAAGATCGAGACCCTCCTGGCTAACGCAATGAAACCCCATCTGTACTAAAAATACAAAAAAATTAGCCGGGTGTGGTGGTGGGCATCCGTAGTCCCAGGTACTCGGGAGGCTGAGGGAGGAGAATGGCGCGAACCCAGGAGGCGGAGCTTGCATGCAGTGAGCAGAAATCGCGCCACTGCACTCCAGCCTGGGCGACAGAGCAAGACTCCGTCTCAAAAAAAAAAAAAAAAAAAGGACATAAAAATTCTAACTAAGAAAAAAGGCAAGCACAAAGCTTTAGATACAGTATAATTTAACTATGATAAAATTAAATATTTACATTTTATGCTAACACAAGACTGACCGGGGATGTCATAACATGCATGTGCAAATGGCAAAAAAGCACAAGCAGATGAGATCCCTCTACACACCCACAAGAGTACTTACAACTAGGAAGGCTGATGACACCAAGTGTTGCCAGGAGCCTGAAGCAACTAGAAGGCTCACACATTGGTGATGGGGTAACTTGGGGTAAATTTTTAGAAGAAAATTGGTATTCTACTAAAGCAAGCAAACGCCTACTCTCTGACCCAGTAATCCTGTGCCCAGGTGTCCATACCCAGAAGAAAGGGAGGCACATGCCACCAGTTCAACACACTGGAGCCCAACTCCTACTACCCCATTGTTCAACTCAGGGTATGACAGGGAGGCTGACACCACCTTCCTGAAGACTAACTTCCATGATAAGGAATTTCCCCCCTGACTATTCCATACAACTACACATGCATTTACATTTTGAAACAGTAATCACACTGCCAGGAACTTACAACTAGAAACAGAAGGTATTTGTACTCGGCTACATGTAATCACAAAATATTGGACACAAACTAAATATCCATCCATAGAGACAGGCTGAATACTCTGTGAAACATCTATTTTAAGGCACACTATGCAACCATTTTTTGAAAATGAGGAAGATCTCTAGGAATTTACATGCAATAATTTCTAGGAAGATACAGTTAAGTGAAAAAAGCAAGTTGTAAAAGAGTATGTATAGAATGCTGCGTCTTGTATAAGAATGAAGGGAAACAAGAAAAATATGTGTGTTTATGTCTGTGTGTGTGTCACATGTACATCCCAAAAGGAAATACAGGATGGAGAAGGCAGAATCTAATGCAAATGATTATCTTTCTAGAGAGGGGGGTGGAATGAGGTGAGAGAGAGAAGGAAAGTTTCTGAGCACACCTTTAAATATAAGTTACTTACAACCCCATTCAAGAAATAAAATAGAAAGACAAACCTTAAAATTGAAACAAATAGAAAATACATACCTATATGAGTAACCTTTGAAAACAGTAGTTTGTGGAATTTGACTGTCCTTATTCTAAGGACAAAAAGACTGCCAAAAACAAAACAAAAAAAATCCTGAATTTCAACATCACTGAGTAGAATGTTGTTGGTGGCACTAGGGCCCTAATCCTGAACTGCTTGTGAGTGCAGTGGGTAGGGCGGTGTCGCCGGGACCACAGTCGTCAGTGAGAAAGAGCAGCACTGGCACAGAGCAGGAGAAGGGAGAGTCCCATGGGATTTGGGTTGGAGGTGTAAGCAGGAACTTAACTTTATCTTCAGCTGAAGCCATCTGAAGACTTGCAGGTTTTCTGCCTTCATAGGAAAACTACAGCCATTCAGAGGCAGCCCTCCTGCCCCAGTCCATGCAAGGTCACAAGCTGCTGCTCAACGTCACATCATAGCCTAGCTCCTGACATTTTCAAAGTCACAAATGGGTGCAAGACGATTTGGGCCCAAGTATTATGGAAACTAAGTTTCTCTTCATAGCCCTGGCCACAGGTTTAGGGATTTCATCTAAAAGGTAGACAGACAGATACTAAGATCCTCAGCTGTTTAGGGGAAAGGGTTAGGTTTCCTCTTTAAAATCACCATGCTACAGATCAGTATTTTGCAATTTACAACACTGCATTTGCCAATCATCATCAAGAAGCTGAAGATGGCCCCAAGAAGACAACACTGGTATCTGCCCATCCTCTGCAGGAGGCTTTCCGGTGTCCCCTGCCCACGCCCTGCAAGAACTCACTGGTGCCCAGCTCCAAAGGGGCCTCCTCTGGCTCCCTCGAGACCATCTGACCAGGTGCAATGGAACAGCGCCCTCAAGGATGAGGGTGGCAACTGCCTTGGCCAGGCAGGCACACTGCGTCTTCCCCGTTTGCCCTCCCATCAGTAGTTGGCCCTGGGATGGAAGGCAAAACAACCGATCCCACCCAGGTCTTGGTCTGCAAGTCCCCCAAGAAAACCAGTATTAGTCAGTTTAGCCCCAGAGAGGATATGCCTTCCAAAGTGGCCCTCCCTGTGCCATGTGGGCAGGCCTAGCCACAGGAGCCCCAACAGACTCCAACCTTGCTCAACTAAGGGGCTTCTGGCTAGAAAGCGGTTCTGGAGCCTGCTGGCCAAGCCGTGCTCTCTTTGGTTCCACACAAACAGGAGGTTCAAGCTAAGAGTTCCCCACAGCCACCCCTGCTTATGGTTCCAGGCACTCCAGGCCCCGCACTGTGCGATCTCTCGCACCACCCAGGGCCTTGCACTGGGCCCAGCCCCAGGAGCCTGAGAAGAGGAGTGTTCTGGTTAACATCAGTACTCTGGTGACAGGTCACACTTGAGCATGATGTTCTGATGTTGCCAAGGCCTCCAGAGCTCTCTGCAGAAGGAACCTATGAGTGACTGAAAGCTGAGAGTCCCAGACTTGGAGCAAGCACTGTGGAATGGAAGCATACTTCAATGACTAAACACACTGGGGACACAGTGGTCACGAAGGGATCAAACCCTGGAGTACAGACACCGGGGCCCTCCAAGGAGAGGCGGAGACCCCTGCTGGGGGCACTCACTGGTAGCCCTCCTTTGCCTGTGACCTCCCAGGGTGGTCCCTGCACATATGCAGGGTGATGTCGCCACATCCTGGGCTCTGCTTGGCCACACCTACCTGGGCTGCACCCAGTGTCCCACGGGTGACCTGACCAGAGGAGGGCTCAGTGCCACAGGGCCTTGAGCCCAAGGAGGGCCCCAGCTTGCTTGGCAGGCATGAATGTGTCCCAGGGGTGGTCCTATCAATGCCCCTGCCTCAATGACTAAACTGTGAGAAGACTGGGGATGTGAAGAGGAAAAGCAGGGATGGCAACGGACGGTACTTGCAAGCCCTAAAGGTGCGACTGGCGCCGCAGTGGACACAGGACCCCTAGCAGCCCAGCCACCTGGCCAACTCTTAACAGCTCATGCTGCAGAGCCTTCAGCCCTCAATGGGACCACACAACCAGACTCCAAGTGAGCACCTTCTGAGCGGCACCCCCAGGCCTGGCTCACCAGGGGATGCTCCCTGGCTCTGGCCCCAGGAAGACTTCCTTGTGGTTGCTGCATGCCCCTCACGCCCTCCAGTCTGGTCCACAGGAGGCACCATCTACTCTTGGAACTCATAACTCTTTTAAAAATTCAAAATCATTACAGGTCATGAACCTCTGAAGTCACTTCTGAATAGTCAAACTTTCCAATTCCATAAACTCTTGAAAGACAATATGAAGAACTACTGAAGATTAAGGAGTAAAGTATCTAACTCAAAGCTGATTCCCTAAATAAAGATGTTCACTACACCTGTAAAAAAGAGAGGTGTTCTTGGCAAAAGGAACATAATGAAGAAAATCTTTGGGACAAGAAAGATCATGGGGTGCCACAAGAAGATACCACTCCGCACCCAGCAGGATGGCCATAATAAAAAGAATGGAAAAAAACAAGCATTGACAAGAAAGTGAAGAAATTGCAACCCTCATACATTGCTGGTGAAAATGTAAAATGATGCAGCTAGCTGCTTTGGCATTTCTTTAACAAGTTAAACACAGAATTACCATATGACTCAGCAATTCCACTCTTAGGTATATGCCAAAAAGAATACAAAACCTGCGCAAGAATGTTCACAGCAGCAGCACAACAGCCAAAAAGAGGAAACAACTGAAGTGGTCCATCAACTGATGAATGGATAAACAAAATACTCCATACAATGGAATATCATTAGCCATAAAAAAGAACGACACACTGACACATGTTCCAACACAGATGAACCCTGAAAACATGATGCAAGGGAAAGACACACAAAAGCCACATACTGAAATCACCAGAGTCAGCAAATCCATACAGACAGAGAGCACATTAGCGGTTGACAAGCGCTCGGGAGGGAGGACCAGGGAGTGACTGCTTAATGCTTATGACATTTCCATTTGGGGTGACAAAAAATTCTGGATAATGGTGATGGTTGTGCAATATTGTGAATGTACTTAATTGTGTACTTTAAAATGGTTAAATGGTATATTTTAAGTTATGAGTACTTCGGTGGGGCAATGGTGCATTCAGCATAAGTGAAATAAACCTTCAGACTGGTGATGCCAAGTTAACAGGTAAACATGGACCAGATGATGTGCTAAAGCATTTGGAACTTTCCCTGGAGGAAACAGAGAGTCAATGAAGTTTTAGTAACAGAGGCAGATGCTCAACTCTTCTTCAATAAAATACCAGAACTATCATTTACTAAGTAAATGCATTTACTGTGAATTCATGGTCTTTTTAATTCTCACAACTTATGTGAAGCCTGTTTAGAGATGGAGAGTCACAGAAGTTAGATAACTTGTCATGGTCCCAGAATTAGTAAAAATGCCAGGATTTGGGCTGAAGTCTTATTGTCTTTAAAGTCTATGGTCTCTTTGCTGTGTCTCACTTGGAAAGGGCAAAGTAAAGGAAACCATCAACCAGTACCTGCAGCAGGGCGTCCTGGCTGGGGAGCATGTGGCAACAGATAAAGAAGGGATGGATCTGAGAGACTTCGGAGATACATCCAATTAGGTAAAGGACTATTTGCTGAGACTAAAGGAGGAGTCAATGATTTCCCCCAACTTCCTAGCTTTGATGAATGTGCAAATGATGGTTTTATTCCCAAAGAGATACAGTGACATTGGCACTTATGTTCCTATACAACAAATCAAACATGTGTTACCATGTATAACCGGTTGCCATTCTGTATCGAAGAGGCACCTATTTTCTTAAAATATTCAAGAATCTGTTAATACATAAAACTTAGGTAACATGCCAGTTCAACCAGAAATATTTTTATCCATCAGAATTAGGAGGAAGCGGACTTTTTGCTGTCTCACCCCAGTGGCTACACTGCCCTTTGCGGAGATGTAGGCATGCACATCTCCATAGAAGTCCATCCTGGGCCCAGCCCCTGTCTACTCTCTCTACTTGTTCCCTGGGTCACCCCTTCCCTTCTCAGTCTTTCCCATCATGTGACTACGAAGGAGTCTCAGGTTTGTATCTTTAACCCAAATCTGTCTGTTTAAACTTCAGTTTACACACATAGAGTAGAAGCTCGCTTATCAGTCTCACTTTAACTGACTTGAATTGGAAAAATGACTCTCTCCAATCCCTCCCTGAAATACACGAGCTGATGCCCAAGGTATGATGACGACTTTCAGCAAGTAGGCTTCACTCTAATACATCGCAAGCTTTTGCCAGCTAAGTTGTATGTGTTCTCATATCCAGATGTGTTTGTTCTCAAATCTATTTTTGCTACCCGAACCTGTTATGGTAGTTATGTACTTTTAAGCTCATCAATGAAATATGAATGCAAAAGGAAACAGTTGTTTCTCTATAAGCTAAGTTGTATGTTTTTAAAAGGCTCACTTGAGTTTGTTAAAAAAATAATTAGGTATGGGGGAAAAATTGTAAAAGATTAAGAAAATTCTAAAGATAATCGTATCAAATTGGTTCTTAAATGCCTATATCCTTGTTTAACTTTAAATAAACTGATATTGGAAAATGTTAAGTCTGCTAAGATTAGGCCAAAACAGACACAGCCTAAAGAAAAGGCCCTGGGCTTACATCAAAAGATTGGCAAGTATAGAACTTGAGGTAAGTGGTGTAAAAAAAAAATTGGCAAGTGAATGTATACTTTCATGTTTTAAGTTAAAAACATACATCCATTTCTTCGTGATTCCTGTTTTAACCAGTTTTCTCAATTAACCAAGCAACTGCTGGGCCCAATCATGTCAGACTTTTCAGCTATCAAGTACGTATCTTTACCCAGTTGTCAACAGACACCTCAAACTCAACATGCCCAAAACTTTATTTCTCCCTCCAAATCCACTCTATTCATCTTTTTCCCAGATTACAAGCCTGGGAATCATTCTTAACTCCTCCGTGTCCCTCAGCCCACCCATTCTTATTCACCACGTCTTGGTAATGTTTCCTTCAAATATTTTAAAAATCCATTCCCTATATTTCCTATCCCTGTTACCACAGTGCTGGTTCTGAAGACAGGCATAGTTTAGTGGAAAGAATATGCGTTGAATCTTTACAAGTGTCCATCTTTTAACTGTGCTTCTGCTACTTACAAGCTGTTGAACAACATCTGTCAGACGCATGTACCGAGCGATATGAAGTGTGCATTGTGCTCGGAGAGTGAAGGGCGTTAAACGACAGCGAGGACGAGGGGCACGAGCCCGGCCTGCAGCACGGCCACAGCCTCGCGCTTACTCCTCCATCGCCTCCTGGAGTCCCCGAATTCATCCCGCATCCTGCTGGGAAACAGCGTCCATCCGACACAGCACCGCCCACAGCGGGCCCTCGGCGTGGCCCGCAGGCCCTTCGGACCGCCTGGGAGCGCGGCCACACGTGCCAGCAAGTGAGGGCAGCGACCTGGGACCGCCGCGTCTACTTACACCGCGACGACTCCGCGATCCACGGACACCGCCCGGCCCCCACGGCGGCCCTGCAGGGGAGAACTCGGGCCGCCTTCCCGAGTCCCGGCCGCCGCTGTTCGGCTCGCGCGGCTGCCCGCCGGGGACCCGAACGGAAGAAGGGTGGCGAGGCGGGAAAGGAAAAGGCCTGAGGGTCCAAGGCAGGAGGGGACACACGGAACACGCCGAGGGCCAACCACGCCGCCGCGCGCTCCCCGGCTAGGACCCACCTGCTGCAGGTACTGGTTAATGGTAATGTGCGCCATGGGAGCGCCGCCGAACGGAGAGCGCCACCCCCTACGCCTCAAGCGGGCCAGCTGGCGTCACTTCCGGCCCTCGGTCCGTCTGGGTCCTGGCGCCCCCGGCCCCGCCGCGGGTGCGCAGGTTGGTTCCGGAGGGAGAACCTGGGGACCGGCTCGGCGACGCGCTCGGGCTGAGGGGGCCCGGGGTCTTTCTGCCGGGGCCCCGTCCTCTCAGCCGGGACGCCAGCGGCTCTGATTGTGTGTTCGGGCCCGCCCGGGCTGAGGGGTTTGGGGTCCAGTGGCGAGGACAGCCCCACGGCTAAACTGCCTTTCACTGCGCTGACCCTTCGTCTGCCCCTTGTGAAAACCAGGCCGCGGAGGACCCTCCGCGCCTGGCTGGGCCAGGGCCTCGGGGCGCGCGCGCCCGAGGAGGGGGAGGGGGAGGGACATGGCGCGCGCTCCCGAGCTCTCATAAGGTGCCTCCGCCGCGCGCTCCCGAGCCTGCAGGAGTTAGGGCACGTCCCGGCGCGCACCCCTGAGCCCTCGAGGTGGTCTCACGCCCGGGGTGGGGGTGCCGAGCCCTCAGGAGGCGCGCGCCCCGGGGCCCTCAGGAGGGTGTCCCGGCTCCCGATCCCCTCAGGAGGGGTGCCCGCGGCACGCATCCCCGAGCCAGGAGGGGGTGCCCGGAGCCCTGGGGGCAGGGTCTCGGTGCGCCCCCCGGAGCCGGGGGTGAGGGTCCCGATCCCTCAGGACGGGAGTCCCGGCGCGCGCCCTCGAGCCAGGAGGGGGTGTCCGAATCTCTTAGGGGGAGTCCGATCCCTCAGGAGGGATTCCCGGCGCGCGTTCCTAAGCCCTCAGGAGTAGCCGGGCGCGGCGGCGGTTGGGCTCGGGCACGCGGGCGGGGCGGGGCGGGGCGCGCGAGGAGGACGGGGCGGAGGCCGCGCGGACCGGGGCGGGCGGAGCGGAGCTCGGCGGGCGGCGGCGCTCGGGGCGGGGCGCGGCGGTTCCGGCCCAGCCATGGCGGACGAGGCCCCGCGGAAGGGCAGCTTCTCGGCGCTCGTGGGCCGCACCAACGGCCTCACCAAGCCCGCGGCCCTGGCCGCCGCGCCCGCCAAGCCGGGGGGCGCGGGCGGCTCCAAGAAGCTGGTCATCAAGAACTTCCGAGGTGGGTGCGGCGGCCGGGTCGAGGGCCAGGCGCCCCGGGCGGGGACCCCACGAGACCCCGCCCGACTTGGGGGGAAGGCCCCGAGATCCGTGCGGGCCCCGGGAGCGGGGGCGCCGGGGCGCCGGCCGGGTCGGGGGTGGCTACGCGGGGCGCTTCGCGGCGCGCCCTGAGCCGCCCGCTCTCCCTCCGCCCTGCAGACAGACCTCGGCTGCCCGACAACTACACGCAGGACACGTGGCGGAAGCTGCACGAGGCGGTGCGGGCCGTGCAGAGCAGCACCTCCATCAGGTACAACCTCGAGGAGCTCTACCAGGTGAGGCGGCGGCCGGGGCTGGGGACGCCGCTCCTGCCCCGCGTGACGCAGACGCGGCCGGGCGGCCGCTCCGGGTGCCTCGCAGGCTCTCGCCGGGGAGCGGAAAGGCAGGGCGTTTGCCTCCACTGCAGGGCCGGGAGCCCCAGAGGCAACAAGTGGTTTTGTTTATTGCCGTGGTGGAATTTTTGTTTTCAGGCTTAAGCTGCTTAGAACCATATTTAAAGTTATCCCATTACGGAAGAGAAGGAGGTGTGTTTCTAGGAGCCACGTGACTCATATTTTGCAAGTATACGGCAAATTATTTTCTCGTTATATGTAAAACTCATGACTGTGTCACTTGCCACAGTAATAAGAGGGTCTTTTCTCTGTTGTGTTTTGTGATTAATGGTTGCCTTTAAGATATTCAAACAGATTTTGAAAAAATTCAAAATTCAGAAAAAGTGGTTTTGTTCTCTGTTGTGTTTTGTGATTAGTGGTTGCCTTTAAGGTATTCAAACAGATTTGGTAGCATTTAATTCAAAGTGATGGTGTTCCGTTTCTGAAGTAACAAAAAAGTACATTTTACCATACTTGGATATTTTATTTATAAGCGACTTTTTTTCTGGTGTCTTCTTTTTGTAAAGTAACATTCATTCAGTAGTCTAATATCTATATTTTAGGTCACGATGTGTCATACAATTATTTCTATTAAAAGGCTTGAATTAAAAAAACTTTTTTTCTGGATATGCAAGTGACTGCATTGTAAAAATTATAAAAAATACAAAAAAGAAGACTTCAATCACCTATACTCCTACCACCCAAAGAAAACTACTGTTGACAGTTTGGTGTACATACATCCATTCTTTGTCTGAAGTGTAAGTGGATGATGTTTTCTTACCAGCTTTGAGATAGAGTCTACATATAATGTGCACTTCAGGAAGTTTTAACAGATGCATGCAGTTACGTAACCGGCACCACGGTCAAGATGGAATCTTTCTTGGTAGAATGGTAGAATATTGCTACCACCCCCGAAATTGCCATGACCACTTTTGCAGTCAGCCCTCTCCCCTGACTCCTAGCCCTTGGCGGTCCCCCATTTGCTTTCTGTTACTATATTTTGCGATTTCTAGAACCTTATCTAAATGCAGTCATGTATTTCATAGTCTTTTGTATCTGGCTTTCACTTAGGACAGTGCTTTTGAGATTCATGCACAACGCAGTGTGATTGTAATTTATTACCTAGTAGAATGGGTATACCACAGTTGTTTTATCCATTCACCAGTTAATGGACATTTGGGTGTCCATGTTTGGGGTTTTTTGTTTGTTTGTTCTTTGAGACGGAGTTTCACTCTTGTGGCCCAGGCTGGAGTGCCATGGCACGATCTTGGCTCACTGCAACCTCCACCTCGCAGGTTCAAGCGATTCTCCTGCCTCAGCCTCCCGAGTCGCTGGGATTACAGGCACCTGCCACCACGCCTGGCTAATTTTTGTATTTTTAGTAGAGTCGGGGTTTCGCCATGTTGGGCAGGCTGGTCTCAAACTCCTGACCTCAGGTGATCCACCCACCTCGGTCTCTCAAAGTGCTGGGTTTACCAGCATAAGCCACCGCGCCTGGCCTTGGGTTGTTTTAAATAAAGCTGCTGTAAACATTTGTGAATAACCCTTTGTTTGGACATATATTCTTACTCCTCTCAGGTGAGTTCTGCTTACTTCTTTATCTAGAAGTAAGTTCTCAGGGTCATATGGAAAATGTATGTTTAACTTTGTACGGAATTTCTTGTTTTTGCAAGTGACTGCCCCTTTTGCGTCTCTCCCAGCAGTGTATGGGAGCTCCGGTTCCACTCCGCCACCAGCGTGTGCGTCTCTCCCAGCAGTGTATGGGAGCTCCAGTTCCACTCCGCCACCAGCGTGTGGTGTCCTCAGTCTGTAACTTTAGCTGTGCTTGTGGGTGTGTGGTGGAGTGTCATTGTAGTTTTAGTTTGCATTTCCCTCTGATGCTAAGCATCTTTGTATTTACTTGCCATTCTATGTATCTTCGTTGACGAAGTGTCTATTTAAATATTTTGCTCATTTTTATTGGGTTGGTTATTTTCTTATTATTGAGTATTTGAGTTTATTATGTATTCTGGATACAAGTCCTGTATCAGATATTCGCCTTGCAAATACTTTCTGCCTAGTCTTCAACTTGTCTTTTGATTCTCTTAACTGTGCCATTTGAAGAGTAATTGTTTTAAGTTTTCAAGTCACATGTATCAGTTTGTTCTTCTATGGATTGTGCTTTTAGTATCCAAGAAATCTTGCTTAATCTGAGGTCACAAAGTTTTCTCTTATACTTTCTTCCAGACATTTTAGAGTTTTAGGTTTTACATCTAGGTCTACGATCTATGTAGAGTGAATTTTTGTATATATTGTGAAATACAAATCTAGAGTCAGAGTCGGGTGCAGTGGCTCATGCCTGTAATCCCAGCACTTTGGGAGGCCAAGGTGGGTAGATCGCCTGAGCGTCAGGATTTTGAGACCAGCCTGGCCAACATGGTGAAACCCCATCTCTACTAAAAGTACAAAAAATTAGCCGGGCGTGGTGGCAGGCACCTGTAATCCCAGCTACTTGGGAGGCTGAGGCCGGAGAATCGCTTGAACCCGGGAGGCGGAGGTTGCAGTGAGCCGAGGTTGTGCCACTGTACTCCAGCCTGAGCAACAGAGTGAGACTCCATTTCAAAAAAATACAAAGAAAAGTCTAGAGTCAGTGTTTTCCCTGCAAATGTCCAGTTTTTCAGTCTCTTTTCCCCTACTGAATTGCCTTTGCTCCTTTGTCAAAAACCACGTAGGAGTAGGAGGAGTGAGTTGTGAAATCAGGGTGTGTTGGCCCCCCAGCTTCATACATTTGCACAGGTTTCTGGCTATTCTTGGTCCCTTGTGTTTCCATGTGAATTTTAGAATCGGCCAATTTGTATAAGAAAGTGTGCTAAGATTTTGATTGACGGTATATAGAATCTACAGATCAATGTAGGAGAATTAAATTCTTAACAGTATTGAGAGTCTGGGCTCAGTGGCTCACACCTGTAATCCCAGCACTTTGGGGGGCTGAGGTGGCCTGATCGCTTGAGCCCAGGAGTTCGAGACCAGCCTAGGCAACATGGTGAAACCCCATCTCTACAAAAAATTTAAAAATTAGCCTAGTGGGGTGTTGCATGCCTGTAGTCCCAGCTACTCAGGGCCCCCACACCACAACCTGGAAGCTCTTCACACAGGAAGCTGAGCAGTTGGGGCCTGTTTGTCTCCCATCTTTCTGAGATTCACTGTCTTTCATAGCCCAGTACTCAGTGCTTCGAAAACTGTTGCTTCGTATATTTTGCCTGATTTTGTGGTTATTTCAGGCAGAAAGTTAATACAGTTCTTGTACTGTGTCTTGACTAGAAACGAGTCCCACCTGAACTCTCAGAGGTCTTTGGTTTAATAAAATATGATACCTTACAGCTAAAGCTTCTTACTACTCTTTTCCTGGAGATTTGGCTGTCTGATATCTGCTGCCTCATTATTTTTACTTAAAAAGGCGGAATTACTTTGCAACACCTTGTACACAGTGATATGTCTTATAAAACAATCACTAGATATTATGAACAATGTTTGTAGGTGCCTTAGGTGTCTGTCTTGAAACCCTGAGAACTAGGAGTGCTTACCCCAAAATGACAGTCACTGGTTCCTCCTTGGAATGAGACATCGCAAATTCCAGGGGCATCTCTGGAGGTGCTGCCCCACCAGGGGATATGTGGAATCAGTTGATTCACTTACTTGTGATCATCTCTCCACGCACAGGTGGGCTTCTGGCCTCTCACAGAGTCTGAAGCATGAGCTGCCTCAGATCTATTGGAAGCAAATGGGATAGAAATCTAAGAAAAGCAAATGTGAAATTACTGATGTCTGATCAAGCAGGCAATACATTTGACTTGGTGTTTCAAAATAAAGTCTCAGTTTTTGTATAGGTGGGGTGGTGTATACTTTGCCAAAGAATCTTATGTGAAAGGACCAATTCTCACCCAAGTTTGAAAGGTTTGGTTTCGTGTTTGGTTTTTGGTTTTGCTCACTCTCCCTCTACGTCTAAACACCTTAGGAGTCCTGTCACTTACACTTTTTGGGCCTCAGCTGGCCTGTTGTTTCTGTTTGTTACTTTGTTTTTATCATTTTCCTCCTGTAGTGTGTAGAGGAGAATGTTGTGAAGGCATGGATCTTTTCCATTGAACGACCTGAATTTCGGTCTGTAATAACTAACTCCTGAAGAAAGTGCATCTTCTGTGTCTTGTGTCTCTATGTTTTAGTCCTGCTTGTTGCTAAATGAGACAACAGAAAACTGAAGACTGCATTTCTAGAAAGGTTTCAGAGAAAGGCTGTGTTTTGATTTAGAACTGGTTTTTTTGTTTTTTGTTGCACAAAAACAAACCTCTCAGGCCCTTTAAAAAAAAAGAGAGAGAGAGGTGTGGCCTCCCTATGTTGTCCAGGCTCCTTGGGAACTCCTGGACTCAAACAGTCCTCCTGCCTTGGCCTCCCGAAGTGCTGGGATTCCAGGCGTGAGCCATTGCACCCGGCTGACATGCAAGTTCTGAGGAAAGCCAGGCTGTCTTTCTTGAGTCACGGAGTAGTTGTCTTCATGACATGTTGATACCAGGTGATAATGGTCAGTGAAAGAGAGAGGTTAGTCCTTTGTATTAGGTGGCATCCTTCCCTCACACCCAAGCTGCAGGCCCAGCGTAGGAATGGGACCTCCACAGCCACACAGGTCTCATCCTGTGTGGCTGTGAAGGTCGCTATATGACTCTGGAGGTAGCTATGTGACTATGGAGGTCTCGTCCCGTGTGGCTGTGGAGGTCGCTGTGTGACTGTGGAGGTCACGTCCCATGTGGCTGTGGACATCTTGTCTGTGTGGCTGTGGAGGTTGCTGTGTGACTATGGAGGTCTCGTCCTTTGTGGCTGTGGACGTCTTGTCTATGTGACTGTGGAGGTTGCTGTGTGACTGTGGAGGTCGCGTCCCGTGTGGCTGTGGAGGTCACTGTGTGACCATGGAAGTCGCGTTCCGTGTGGCTGTGGAGGTCGCTGTGTGACTATGGAGGTCTCTCTCGTCCGTGTGGCTATGGAGGTCTGTGTGGGAGTATGGAGGTCACATCCCGTGTGGCTGTGGAGGTCGCTGTGTGACTGTGGAGGTTGCTGTGTGACTATGGAGGTCGCTATGTGACTATGGAGGTCGCTGTGTGACTATGGAGGTCTCATCCATGTGGCTGTGGAGGTCTCTGTGACCATGGAGGTCACGTCGCATGTGGCCGTGGAGGTCGCTGTGTGACTATGGAGGTCACGTCCCATGTGGCTGTGGAGGTCGCTGTGTGACCATGGAGGTTACTGTGTGCCTATGGAGGTCGCTATGTGACTATGGAGGTTGTTGTGTGACTATGGAGGTCTCGTCCATGTGGCTGTGGAGGTCTCTTTGTGACTATGGAGGTCACGTCCCATGTGGCCGTGGAGGTCTCTGCGTGACTGTGGAGGTCACGTCCCGTGTGGCTGTGGAGATCTCTGTGTGACTATGGAGGTTTCATCCATGTGGCTCTGAAGGTCTCTGTGTGACTATGGAGGTCGCGTCCCATGTGGCTGTGGAGGTCGCTGTGTGGCTATGGAGGTCGCGTCCCGTGTGGCTGTAGAGGTCGCTGTGTGACTATGGAGGTCTCGTCTGTGTGGCTGTGGAGGTCGCTGTGTGACTATGGAGGTCGCGTCCCATGTGGCTGTGGAGGTCGCTGTGTGACTATGGAGGTCTCGTCCGTGTGGCTGTGGAGGTCGCGTGTGTGACTATGGAGGTCTCGTCCATGTGGCTGTGGCGGTCTCTGTGTGACTATGGAGGTCTCGTCTGTGTGGCTGTGGAGGTCTTTGGGTGACTATGGTGGTCACGTCCCATGGTCCCATGTGGCTGTGGAGGTCGTGTGTGACTATGGAGGTCTCGTCCACGTGGCTGTGGAGGTCTTTGTGTGACTATGGAGGTCACGTCCCATGTGGCTGTGGAGGTCGCTGTGTGACTATGGAGGTCTCATCTGTGTGGCTGTGGAGGTCTTTGTGTGACTATGGAGGTCACGTCCCATGTGGCTGTGGAGGTCTCTGTGTGACTATGGAGGTCATGTCCCACAGCTCCATGGCCTTCCTTGTTCTGTCTTCCACATCTGAGAGCAGGGATTGCCCTTATCCGCAGTGAGCATTTTGTTTAAGTAGCAGTGAGTTCACTCCAGGCAATGCTTTGACACTATAAATAGACGTGTATTTGACATTCACACACGTGTCTGTTGAGCTAATACAGACAATCATTTGATGAACCTGCTAGTTAGGAAGTAGCTGTGATGTGAGAAGAGACAGTGCTGGCTGTAGATATACACCAAATTTCCTCACTTGGCTGTTGATACAAGGAAAGCATCTTGATACTAATAGGAGTAGAATGCAAATGATACTTCTCTACCTCCGATCATTGGATTACATTCCTTTTCTCTGGGGTGAATCTTTAAAATGCTAATGGCCTGAGTGCACCAACATGAAGCACACAGTACCATCTGATTAGTTGCTTTATGCATCCAGAGAGGGTATTTCTAAATCTCAAAGTATGATTGAGTGTCAAAAATCCATTTGGGGGAGGGGCAACTCCTGTGTTGTGCTGCTTCTATAACAGCACAAAAAAGTCTTCCAGTATGTTCCTGCCAGCAAGGAGTTGGCAGGGCGGGGAGAAACAAAGGCTGTCGCCTTTCCAGTGATGAGTGCCTGTAATATGAAGCCGGGAGTCCTGACTCAGCACCTACAGCAAACCTGGGTTACCCAGGGCTTGCCACTTGTTTTGAGAGGTTCTTAAATTCTTAATTTTAAAAACAAAGTAAATTGCAGTATGACTCATATGAATAGTAAATGTGCACCAAATAGGACACATAGGAGGCAGAGTGGGTTATAAAATATTTAGTCATTTGCCACAACCAGGAAAAGATGGTTTTAAGGATATTGGTTCTTGGTCTAGGAATTAAAACATCCAGAAAATGGTCCTAAGTTACTGTTGATTTTTGCTGAAGAAAATACATTTTCTTCATGTGTTATATAAAAAACTTACTTTGTAATAATTATGTTTGTGGGATTCACTAATGTTTAACTACTGGAGCAAAACCTTTGTCGTAAAGTTCTCTTGGTTGTTTGAGGAGACAAAAGGATGGCAGATCTTTGACCAAATTATGAAGATATGGAATTCAAAGGGATGGAATTGAAGAGTTTGAGAAAGGAGTTAAAGTAAATACAGAATGTGGGTAGGAATTCCGTTTCTATAGTAAGACAAAATGTAGGGGGAAAGTTTGTATTTCTTTGTTATTATGCTGATAATAAGCTTGCTAGAAAACAGGATTATAATTAAAAACAGGATTATAATTATTCCACATCCTCTTTTGATCTTTGTAAATATGCATGTATTTTATATGGTAGTAATCACTGTATGTATTTAACTTTGGTTAATATGTAGCAGCTCTCCGATATTTAGTATTGGAATTATTAATACTTGTGTAAGTATTAGTAAAATGAATAGCTTTATAACTTTAATTTACCTTTTTTCCTAGGGGTATATTGTATCCTAATTAAATTCAGATTATTTATCTAAAGTGTTTTTATTCTGTATATCCCCACATTTTTCGAACCCCACATTGGTTCAAAACTTGTTAGAAAAACCATATTTCTGTTTATAATATTTCATATTGGAATTGAATGAGTTTAAGTTTTTGTACCTAAGATTGGAAAGGAAATTTTATTAGAACTGGTAAGAATGTACAAGCATTGTTTCTTTGAGGTGAGTAAAAATATTGTGAGAAAAAATTTTCTGCTTCAAAAAATGGTGTCAGCTGGGCACGGTGGCTCATGCCTGTAATCCCAGCACTGTGGGAGGCCGAGGCGGACAAATCACCTGAGGTCAGGCGTTTGAGACCGGCCTGGCCAACATGGCGAAACCCCTCCTCTACTGAAAATACAAAAATTAACCTGTGCGTGGTGGCAGGTGCCTATAATCCCAGCTACTCGGGAGGCTGAGGCAGGAGAATCGCTTGAACCCGGGAGGTGGAGGTTGCAGTGAGCCAAGATCCTGCCTTTGCACTCCAGCCTGGGTGACAGAGCAAGACTCCAACTCAAAAAAAAAAGATTTCTTCTTGTATTAGGGGTGTTCACAGAATAAAAAAGAAAGTTTATTAATTAAACAAACTGAAGTGAATTACACATCTAGCCTGCAGAAAAATAAATAGGAAACAATACAGTCTGGCCTGTGTCACCCAGAAAAAGCTCAGTTTGGATTGAATCACTGCCCTGGGGAGTGTGAGGGGAAGGCCCAGCCTGTTGTTCTCCTTCCTGATGGGAAGGTGGTCACTGAGGGAAAAGATTTTCTTGGTTCTCTAGCCCTGATTTCACTTTGTAATCATCAAGGTGAACTTAAACACAAACACACTCCAGTGACCCCCATCTCAGACTGAGGAATCGGAGCACCCGGAAACAGGCCTGTGAGGATCAAACCTGTTGAGAAGTCCCAAGTGACTGGGCACCATAGATGCTCAGGAGTGGTGCAGGCCAGCTGCCTGGGACCCGAGGTCCAGCAGGTGCAATGTGCCCACATTAACTGTTGTTACCTCTACCCCCATGCCAACTATGACTGGACTGCAGTGTTCCAACGAGAAGTGCCCTAAACTTAGCCATAATAAGTAATTTATTTGTAGATTCCTGAAGTACTGGGGTAGGGTGTGGGGTGCCTTTTTCTTATGATTACAGCTATGTTAACAATAGGGTTTTTTTATGAACCAATCTGTTGTTCATACTGAAGAATTGATGTAGCCCTTTTGTTTGCAGGCTGTGGAAAATCTCTGTTCTCACAAAGTCTCCCCAATGCTCTACAAGCAACTGCGTCAGGCCTGTGAAGACCACGTCCAGGCACAGATCCTTCCGTTTAGAGAATATCCTTTTTTTGGTTCATAAAGTTTCTATTCATTATCTAAGTCTTTTAAAACTGAACATTATTATGATAAAGAGCTAATGAGTATCCTTAATATTAAAACAACAGCTTTTAAAGTTCTCTTTTATTTGATAGGTTTGTAAGCGAAATTTACCATTTAAATTATTTTGCTGATTTGAATTAAAGGGAAACCGTGTTCATTTATTGGGTATGGTTGAAGTATTTAGGAAATGTTCTGAAAAATGTCTTCAAGTTTGAGTATCCTTTATTCTAATAAACACCATCTGCATTGGCTTTCTGTGATAGGCAACAAAGTCCCATCGACTTGGCGACTTATGGAGACACCCACTTATCAGCGCACAGTTGTGTCTGTCAGGAGGCCAGGCAGGATTCAGTGGATTCTATGCTCAGTCTCACGGGCAGAGTCAAGGTGTCAGCCAGGTTGGGGCCTCACCTGAGGTCTTTGCTAGCACGGGCAGGCAGTTGGCGGAAGCCAGTTCCTGTGGTAGTGGGACTGAGGGCCCTGCCTTCTGTCCCGTGTTGCTTGGTGTCACTCTCAGCTCCACATGCACAGGTCCTTGCCTCTCCTCTCACAGCACGACTCTTTTCTGCTTCTAGACCAGCAGGAGAATCTGCCTGTCTGACCTGCTGAGATAGGGCCTTATATGATGTAACCCGTAACCCAGTCAAGGAATGATGACCTTCGTATTCACAGCCTCGTTCACAGTTGCGTGTGAGGCATCCTCCACGTGGGGACAGGGCAGGAGCATCTCAGAATTCTGCTGCCACACCAGCTGTGACTCAGACGTCTACAGGGGAGTCTCTGGGCTCCTTGGCATCCTATAGAAAATCCTTTAATCTGGACTCAATCTCATTCCCCAGCCTCCTCCCAGTACTGTAGCTGTCCATGTGTCTCATTGGGTAGGAATTAGAAAGTAGAGTTTATAATTGCAGAAAATCTACTTGTGGCTGTACTTTTCTAGGCCTCCGTTTCTTCATGTGTAAAATTAGGTGGTTTGTGTTTGCTTATTTCTAAGTGTTCTTCTAGTTCAAGGAAACTTCTGCTCCCCCATCTCCCTGATCTTGGGAAACTAAACCATTCTGAGTTCATTGGAAGGGTCCTCAGGGAATCTGCAGCAGTTGGTGCTGCTGAAGTTGAAGCACGTGACAGGGAAGCTGAAATGCAGGGTGAGAGGTCTCTGTTTAGACAATCTCCACAGCACCCCGCACAGATGTGAGTGAAGTCGGTTCCAGCTCTGTTGTGCTGGCTTCTGTAAATACGCCTCTGCAGTGTTTTCCAGCAAAGCCCTTTCCTAAAGATCATGAGGTCGTTCAAGAGATCAGTGACCGCACACCACCTTTTGGAACCTGGCCAAAGTGCACCTTATCTCAGGAGGCGCCTGTGAGGGCGCACAGAAGCAGGCCCCGCCCCAGTGCCACGGCTCAGCAATGCGCTTCCAGGAACCTACGTTCCAGATGTTTCCATCCAAAAAGCGGCCTGACTCCTAGGCTTGGGGGAAGTCTTTAGCAGATGCCCAAGCCTTCTCCCAAAGACTTAGGCGTTTATGAGAGTCAGTAGGCGGTGATTGTTCCTACTCTAGTTGCTGTCCCAATTTACTTGAAAACGACTATCTGATTACCTGATCAAATGAATCTTTTGCCAGTTACTCCTACTCTGTGGGTTGACTAATGTGCCATCAGTTCACTCACTGCACAAGCACTTGCTTTCTACCTACTGCACTGGCACCGCAAAATGGAAAGTGACCCCCATGCCTGATTTCTACCCTCCAAGAAGTCGCAGGCTTATGGGAGAGGCAGGGGAATTACTGTATTTCCCTGGTGCAGTGGCAAAACTGTGATTACAAAAATTATCATTTGGTTCATTAAAGGCAAAAGAAAAAAACACTACCGTATTAAATGCCCTTATTAGTCATGAGACAAGATCTTGAGTTGAGAACTGCGCGTCAGGCCAGGAATGGTGGCATGTGAAGCATCTGGGGCAGAGCCTCCCAGAGGAGACCCTCCTGAAGGGATGGGGAGGATGCGCCCTCCTGTGGCTGTGGCACCAGAAGCAGAGCGTGGAGGGTGCTCTGGAAACCCCGAGCAGCGGGCACAACTAGAACTCCAGAGACCTGGTGGCCCTTAGGCTGTGATGCTAAGTTGCAGACTGAATTTGAATCTTTGTGGATACTACCAAGGAGTCAGACTTCAGTCTGTGAGTATCCCAGAGTCCTCACAGGTTTTTTAAGCAAGAAACCAGAATTAGATTGTTCATGGAGGTCACTCTGGCAGAATGATGGGATAAGTTTACATATAGACCAGCACACCACAGCCTTCCATTGGGTCGGCACATGTTTTTAAGTATCTGTCATGTGCTAGGTATGATGCCAGGCCCTGGGAAAATAAATCTGAGCAGAATGGGATTCTGTCCCTTTGGAGCTTAAACCCGAATGGCGGTGGCAAAAGCATCAGGATAAGCATTTATGCAGTGCTGTGATAAGGGTTTTTTTTGTTTTGTTTTTTTGTGTTATTTATTTATTTATTTTTGTGAGATGGAGTCTTGCTCTGTCACCCAGGCTAGAGTGCAGTGGCACGATCTCGGCTCACTGCACCTCTCCCTCCTGGGTTCAAGCCATTCTCCTGCCTCGGCCTTTCCAGTAGCTGGGATTACAGGCGCCCACCACCATGCTCGGCTAATTTTTGTATTTTTAGTAGAGACGGGGTTTCACCACATTGGCCAGGCTGGTCTCGAACTCCTGACCTCGTGATCCACCTGCCTCAGCCTCCCAAAGTGCTGGGATTACAGGCGTGAGCCACCGCGTCTGGCCTGTGATAAGGGTTTTCAAAGGTTCAGATAAGCTCCTGGGACCTAAAGAAAGAGCAGCTAGCCCACCTGTGTAGGGGAGCATTGCAGGGGCGAAGCGATGTCTGGGCCATGTCCTAAAGGATGGATGAGGAAGTGGCAGGCGCTGTGGGATGCCAAGGTGGCACAGGCCAGGGAGCAGCGTGGGCAGCCCTGGCGCTGAGGAAGCTTACTGGGCAGAAGAGCCAGGTATGCTGCTGGGTGTGGGAGAGTTGACCACTGACAGGATCCCTAAAGGGGAAAATGAGAGGAAGGTGGATGCTGAATTGTGGAGGAGCCTTTGTTGAACCAAGAGGTTGAGGTTTATCTGAAGGTGGAGATTGAGCCAAGGTGTTCAGGCACAGCATGGCTGGGTTATGTTGGTAAGAAGTTAGTGTGCCTGTGTGTGTGCACTGTGGTGTGAGGGGTCACACCACAATGGTTTGACTGGGCAGCAAAACCACAGGGTGGAATGGCAGCATCCTGCCAGCAAACCTCTTATGGTTAGAGGGAAAGGATCTGACTGCTGTGGAAGGATGAACCAGACACGGATTGAGGCGGGGAGGGTCTGTCGTGGTCACGTTGATTTGGAAGGAGGAGACACGGATTGAGGCGGGGAGGGTCTGTCGTGGTCATGTTGATTTGGAAGGAGGTGAGGAGGCACTCAGGTAGAGATGCCTGTTGTGCATTTGGGGCTGGAGACACAGATCCAGTGGCTCCAGACATGGATGAGATGCCCAGGAAAAATGAGCAGAGTGGCCAGACACAGTGGCTCACGCCTCTAACCTTAGCACTGCATTTTGGGAGGCCAAGTTGGGAGGGCCAGTTGAGCCCAAGAGTTCAAGAGCAGCCTAGACGACAATTAGCCGGGTGTGTGGTTCACACCTGTGGTCCCAGCTACTCTGGAGGCTGAGGTGGGAGGATTGCACGAGCCCAGGAGGCCGAGGCTGCAGTGAGCTGAGATTGCGCCACTGCACTCCAGCCTGAGCAGCAGAGCAAGACCCCCATCTCTAAAAAGAAAATGAGCAGAGCCATGAGAGGAGGTGGATGAGGGCTGCTGTCAGGAAGATGAGAGGAGAACCTGGAGAGTCATCTTGTGGGAATCGAGGGGCGAGTTTAATATGGCAGGCGGCTTAGTGACCAGTAAGTAGAGTCTGAGGGGATGATGAGACCAGGAAGTGGCTGGTTACTGTGATGAAGGCTTTTAGGCTACATTCGTACGTTAACCTAGTAAACATGGGGTGTTTCTGTCCAACTCAGCACTGTGCGTTGGGGACCAGGGACAGGCATGAATGGCACGGGTCCTGCTCTCAAAAAGCTTGTTTTTGCTGGAAGAGAGTTCTGACCCAGCCCAGTCTCACCTGGGGAAATGTTAATGTGATGGCAGATGCTGAGATACTGTGTGGCAGGGAGTATTCCAAGGTCTGCATATTCAGATTTCTTTTGCCTCTGGGATATTCCAGTACTTCAAGTAACTCTACTTTCTAAGATTTAAGTAATTTGTTGTTGTTGTTGTTGTTTTGAGACGGAGTTTCGCTCTTAATTGCCCAGGCTAGTGTGCAATGGCGCAATCTTGGCTCACCGCAACAACCTCCACTCCTGGGTTCAAGCGATTCTCTTGTCTCAGCCTCCCGAGTAGCTGGGATTACAGGAATGCGCCACCACGCCTGGCTAATTTTGTATTTTTAGTAGAAACGGGGTTTCTCCACATTGGTCAGGCTGGTCTCGAATTTGCGATCTTGGATTATCTGCCTGCTTCGACCTCCCAAAGTGTTGGGATTACAGGCGTGAGCCACCATGCCCGGCCAGATTTAAGTAATGTTATGTACCGATTATATTTTGATTGTATGCTGATATTAGATTATAGATGAAACCCATCAGATGTGCAGGTAGAAAAAGGGCTTTTGTGGAATTGAGTCATTCACTACCATCTTCTTCGTTTACCACATCCGTTTTCTTGTCTCACATGTTTGATAAATTCTGCACTTAGCTGTCCGTTTCAAAATAGATAGCTGCTCTTGGTGACGTCCCTTCCTCAAAATAAAGGCCATTTGTACCCTTGCACTCATACACATGCTCAGCCACAGGCAGCTGCTGCAGAACCCACACCACATGCTGCAGGACCACGTGCCACCCAGCCAAGCTACGTGGGCAACAGGAGCTCTTCAAAAATGTCAAGCCCGCAGAGTGCGGTGGCTCACGCCTGTAATCCCAGTACTTTGGGAGGCCAAGGTGGGCGGATCATGAGGTCAGGAGATCGAGACCATCCTGGCTAACACGGTGAAACCCCGTCTCTACTGAAAATACAAAAAAATTAGCCGGGCGTGGTGGCGGGCACCTGTAGTCCCAGCTACTCGGGAGGCTGAGGCAGGAGAATGGCATGAACCCGGGAGGCAGATCTTGCAGTGAGCCGAGATCGCACCACTGCACTCCAGCCTGGGTGACAGAGCGAGACTCCATCTCAAAAAAAAAAAAATGTCAAGCCAACTGTCCTCAGAATCTAACCTGTAGATAACTATAGATGAAACTCACATTTTCCTTCCCCTGGTTCACCTTGACAGCATTGCAGCTCTGGTCAGCCACAGAATGCCAGGCAGTGGTGGACACCATGATAGCCGTGTGGTCAGAAGGGAAGGGCACGGGAGTGAGCTGGGAACCTTGGCTGTTGGGGAAGTTGCAAAGCTCCAGTTTCCTCTAAGTGTGCCTTTATGATCCGCACTGGCGACAGCAGGCTTTGTCTTTCCTTAGAAAGACTTTGTGCCTGTTCTCACTTGACCAGATATCGTGTACGGAGCACTTGCTGGCAGTAGGCCAAGCTCTGCACATTCATGAATTGCTTTGTCTCACAACACCCTGAGCCGTAGGTATCTTTATTGACCATATTTTCCAGATGAAGAGACGAAAGCCCAAGAGAACCCTGTTAATGCTCGGCCAGATCAGAGGAGACAAAACAAGCACCCCTGCCTTCATGGGTTGTGTGGATGAATGAGGGTCGGCCTAGGGCTGTCCCCTCGCGGTCTGTCCGGTCTGTCGGTACAGGCAGCAGATGGGCCACTTGTTCCTGGAATTGCAGAAGCAGATAACCAAGTGTAGAAAATGTATGTATCCCTCTTCTACCCCAACAGAAGCACCGTCTTTTTGCTTTTTCTTTTTTTTTTTAGTTACAGATATGATAGGTAGGTTTTTTTCTATGGTGTAAGCATTTCTGCTGTTGGATTTTGTTTGCTGTTTGAAGACCTGCCTAACTCGTCTCAGTAGGCTGTATAAATCGTTTAATGAAGATTGGCCCTTTTCTGAAGTGAGAAAAAGGATGGTTGCTGAAGAACCTATCTCGAGAATACACTATTGACAGACTCACGGTGTCTGTGTGTCTCACATCCTGGAATTACTTGCACACCATTGTGGCTATGTGTTATATCCCAGAATATGGAATTGATTTTGATGTTTAGAAGGCCAAAGCTTACTTAGTAAATGCCACACTGATTTTAGCTTACCATTTTGTAGTTTTTTTCTGTGGGAAATAACAAAAAAATTATTGATTGAGGATCTATATTGATTTTACAGAGCTATTTTAGAGGAAGTATTTCTCATTTAATGAACACTTTACATTGGACTTTCCATCTTAACAAGACACTGCCCCAGGTGGAACTCTGTCTTCACAACACCTGAGCTGCCCAGTGGTGTCAGATTGACTGGTGTCAGTTTAACCCCGTTAAGTTTAAAGGATCTGTGCACCCTCATCTGGAAGCAAAGCTCCGCCTTCGGCTGCTGTGGCCCGCCTGCCCGCAGAGAGGCTTGCTGGGAGGTCCAGGCCGCAGTTCCCGTCCAGCTCCTGGAGTCAGAGCTGCAGGATGGCTGTTGGGGGTCCTTGAAGCCTGTCCAGATGCACTTGGGATGGGTTTTTTTGTTTTGTCCAGACTGTTTCTGTAGATTCCTAATATAATGAGCCATTATAATTTTGAACAATTTGTAAAGAGTACTTCCAGAGGAACCTGTTAACCATTCAACCATTAGGTCTTTGCTGTAAGTGTCTGTTTTTAATTTTCTGGCAGTGCTTCTGAGAATTCTGCAAAGCCTCAAGAAAAAATAGAGTAAGCTGTCTTAGCCAGGCCCCTGTAGCTTTGGTCACAGCACTTCCTGGTGTGACAAGGACTCAGACCCCCCGGGAGCCCCTTGGCTATCCTCAGCACTGTTTATTCCTCCTCAGGCTCTGCCTGGCACCCTACCCTCCCTGGCACTCTTTCTTTGTCAGGCCACTCGTTGCCACCCTGAGACTCCAGCTCATGTCTGATTTGTGCATCCTACTTAACTGATGTGTTTTTCCTCCTCTCTGTGTGTGAGGATGTTGTCACCACCTCACATTGGCTCTTGAGTGTGAAGTGTCTTGCTGCACGGCAGAAACAGACCTAGAGAAGTCCCTTGGTTTGGCCAGTATTGTGTTGCTGACAGGCGGTGGATCAAGAGTTAAAATGTAGGAAGTCCATGTTCTGTCCCCTTTGACAAGCCATTTTCTTAATCTGTACAAAGGGAACAATGTCTGCACCACGAGGTTGGGGAGATTTTCAGTGAGAGTGGATGTGAAGAGTGTTTCGTAAACCATAAAGCAGTTTATTGTCATTGATGATTCTCAGCTTTGCATGAACCTGAGGGACACCAGACCACTTGCTCTAGGAGCCCATATTCTGGGTTCTTTGTCCTAAACTACTTTTTGGGCCTTTTCCTAAAAATACACATTCTAAGAGTCAAGGTAAGAGTGTTCCTAATTTGGTGCATGGATGAGAGTTCATGTTAGTTTTCATTGAGGCTGGAAGTTAAACCTGAGCCATTTTCCTGTCCAGCTGCACTTTGCCACAGGCTGGGCACACTGGCTCATACCTGTAATCCTAGCACTTTGGGAGACTGAGGAGGATTACTTAAGACCACGTGTTCAAGACCAGCCTAGGAGTATAGTGAGGTGCCATCTCTTTTAATTTTTAAAAAATAGTCCTAGTGACTCTTACCAGGCCAGTCACCATCTCCAGGAGCCCCCCTGTGGGAGTATGTTCAGTGTCTGCCCTTTGTGAAGTGGGGCCTTTTGTCCCGCCACCTACCCCCAGGGCACTTAAGGCCTGGGTGTGTTTCTGCCGGCAGGGACTTGAAGGTGTCTGGCAGTGAAGGAAGGAGAGGATGAAGGGAGGCTGGAGAGGGAGTGGCGAGCGGCCAGAGGCAGGCGGGGCCGTGGGAAGGGAAAGCAGCACAGGCAAGCTGAGTGCACATTGGTGATGAGATACAGAGATCCATGATTGAACTTCTAGTGTATCTTAGCCCACTGGGGCTGCCATGACAAAACACCATAGAGTGTGGCTCATCAACAGCAGGAGTCTGTTGCTCACAGCTCTGGAGGCTGGAGGTCCAGGGTCAAGGCACTGGCAGATTGCATGTCTGGTGGGGCCCCGCTTCCTGGTCCATAGCCAGCACCTTCTCACTGCATCCTTATGTGGTGGAAGAGGCAGGGGAGCTCTCTGGGGTCTCTTTTGTAACCCCATTCTTGAGGCTTGTCCACTCTCATGACCTAATCACCTCCCAGAGGCCCTGCCTCCTAACACCATTACCGTAGAGTGAGAGCTTCAGCCTATGAATTTTGGGGGGACATGAACATTCAAGACTAATATTCTTTCAGTATTCCAGTTACTGAATGGTGTGTAGTATTCAGTGGAGAAGGTAGCTGAAATTAAGGGGTTAAAATTGTAATAATGGCCGGTTGCGGTGGCTCACGCCTGTAATCCCGGCACTTTGGGAGGCTGAGGCCAGTGGATCACAAGGTCAGGAGTTCGAGATCAGCCTGACCAACATGGTGAAACCCCGTCTCTACTAAAAATACAAAAAATTAGCTGGGCGTGGTGGCACACGCCTGTAATCCCAGCTACTCAAGAGGCTGAGGCAGGAGAATCGCTTGAACCTGGGAGGCAGAGGCTGCACTGCTGAGCTAAGATCGTGCCACTGCACTCCAGCCTGGGCGACAGAGCGAGACTCCATCTCAAAAAAAAAAAAAAAGGTAATAATTAAATTGGCCAGCATTTTTAAAGTTTTCCTTAGCAGATCTGTACAGACTCACTAGATAGTGTTTTATTTTTAAAGAAGATTAACACGTGCTGGCAGGACCACTGCAGACAAATGGTAAGCTTGTTCACTTTTTCATCAAAACACGACCTCATCCATCTTCCCTCACCCACATGATTGAGAGCTGAGACATAGAAGTTCTGTTGAGGATTCTGTCTGTGTTCAGTGCTGTGGTTGAACAGCACGATGAGAAAAGCAGGGAAGGTGAACTCCTCAGCTCCTGTGAGAGGGCACCACTGACCCTCTTGGCCTTCAGGTCCACAGTCACAGTCCGCAGTGGTGACAGGGTTCTTAGATGCCTGCATGGGTCTCTAAATGTCTCTTTAAGCACAGTTTACTCCTCAGAATCTAGCCTGAATCCCAGGTCTTTCCTGCAGCTGCACAACCAGCGTCTTAGGCTTTGTAGATGTCTTGGCTTTGACTTGACGTCATGTATACATTTTTAGTGTGACCTGGCCGTTAATTACTTAAGTGAGAGAACAGACCGTATTAATAGCTTTCCTAAGTAGGTTGAAATCTTCCGTTTTCTAAATGATATCAGTAGGAGACGATGGGTGTATTTCTTTTCTGGGCCAGGTAGCTGGCAGCTGCTAGAGCTCGCTGAGGGTCTGTTGGGAAGGGTTTGGTGAGATGCGTTCACAAGTCTCCCCAGCCAGGTAGTGGGCTCGATGGTAGGAGCACAGGACAGGACCAGGGATCATCCTGCATCCCTCACTCTGCTCGCAACGCAGAGTCAGAGACACACGTCCAAGAGCCTCATCATGTAACAGGAACTCAGGTTTTAAAAGCTAAGTGCATCTCCCTAATCTAGTAAGAAGTAGCACATCAGTCAAAAAAATGACCAAATTTAGGCCGGGCGCGGTGGCTCACGCCTGTAATCCCAGCTCTTTGGGAGGCCGAGGCGGGCGGATCACGAGGTCAGGAGATCGAGACCATCCTGGCTAACACGGTGAAACCACGTCTCTACTGAAAATACAAAAAAAAAAAAAATTAACCGGGTGGGGTGGTGGGCGCCTGTAGTCCCAGCTACTCGGGAGGCTGAGGCAGGAGAATGGTGTGAACCCAGGAGGCGGAGCTTGCACATCACGCCACCGCACTCCAGCCTGGGCGACAGAGCGAGACTCCGTCTCAAGACAAAAAAAAGAAAAATGACCAAATTTAAAAGATATCCTTTAGGCCTTGGCTGAACACAGGATCTCTTTAAAAAGAAAAAAAAGATACCATTTTAGGCTAAGTGCGTTAAAATTCCTACAGTCAGATTTACAATATTAAAGAGATGGAAATCACATACCAAGGGGACAAAATTAACTTTAGAAAAAAAAAATAAAACATGAGGGCTGTGGTGGACAGGAAACAGCTGTTGGATTTGAGACAGCTAGCATGGAGTTAAAAGGCCTGATCTTTCATATTTTGCTAGTAGAATTCATAAGTAAATGGTTCTCCTTTCTGCTGGTCAGATCATGATCAGAAGCATCTTCCTGTTCTTGGACCGCACCTATGTGCTGCAGAACTCCACGCTGCCCTCCATCTGGTGAGTGTCCTCACAGCGCAGAGCTGCGTCTTCCCTGCAGCTGATGCTTTTCGTCCCGTTTGTGTCTTCCGCAGGCTAAGATGGTAAAGTGTGTGTGATTACTTGTGCCTTCCTTTCTTCAGCCAAAATCATTAACGTGAACGTAGGAGTCCAGGTGGGTCTTAGCCTTGAAACACCAGGTGTCTAGCCAGCAGCAAGGAGTGGAGCAGGAAGCTCGGACAGGCGGCTGACTTTGGTCATGAGGGTGAAGACAGAGGGTCTTGGTTTCTCTCTGACGACTGGAGGTTGAGCCTGGAGCGGCTCTTTCCAGCGCTGCAGTTGAAACTCGGAGAAAGACTGCCTGCTGCCCGTGGGGTCGCAGCCCTGAGGCTGTGCGTCCCCTGTGGAATGGCTTGCTCAGCCTCCCGGCCTCCTGAGCACATAGCACTCATCGTCCGTCATCTTTCGGGGACTGTATACACCAGGGGTTCTGGGGCCTTTCCTCAGCAGCGTTCGCGGCCACGGACCCCACATGTCCTCTGCTGACCCCTGTGTGTCCTCTGTGGCCACCCCATGGCGCTGAATCCTGCCGCCTCCTGCAAGCCGACTTTGGACAAAAGCTGTGTCCGGTCTCACCGTCTGATTTGTCTTGTTCTCTGTTAATGTAGTGTTTCATTCTTCTCACATTCATACATAAAAGTGATGTCGTGCCTTCTCATGAGCTTTAAACCCAAGTTCTTTAAAATGTGCCTGCTTTTCCTACCCCACCCACTGGGCACGCTGACCCAAGGCAATGTGATTTCTGCTTTCGCCATGTAGAGATTGCTCTTGTCTGAGATGTCGGTGACCTGCCAGTTACCAAATCCAGCAAGCATTTTTGTCCTTATTTTATACAACATCTATACAATTTTGGACACCCTGTCCTTGTTGAAGCTCCCATTAATGCCATTTGCCCTTCTAACTTCCTCATGGAACTCCCAAACATCTCCTAGTAGGCATCCATGTGGTCTACGAGAAGGCAAACGCTGCACAGAAAAGACAGCCTGTGTTCCAGGAAAGAATGGAGATGATAAAAGTGATCATAGCAGATTATTTAGCATTTGCTCTGTGCAAGGGACTGTTTCCTACTAATGTATTTAATCCCTAGAGCAGCTCTGTGGCGTGGCCATTGTCACTCCTATTTTATACAAACTAAGGCACATAAGTTAAAATAACTTGCCCTACCTCAGTTGTCTGGCCCATAGTCTAAATGCTTTTCAAAAATTATTATTATTATTATTATTATTTTTAGAGACAGGGTCTCACTCTGTTACCCAGGCTGGAGTGCAGTGGCACAATCATAACTCACTGCAGCCTCAAACTCCTGGGCTCAAGTGATCTTCCTGCGTTGGCCTCCCCTGTAGCTGGGACTATAGGCACGCACCACCACATTCGACTAACTTCTAAAAATTTTTTGTAGTGCCAGGATCTTGCTATGTTGCCCAGGCTGGTCTCGAACCCCTGGCCTCAAGCGATCCTCCCACCTCAGCCTCCCAAAGTGCTGGAATTACAGGTGTGAACCACCATGCCCAACACTAAACTCTTAATTTATAAACATAGTTTATACCATAACTGTCATACAAACTATAAACATTGTTTATAAAATAGAATAAATGATACCACCTCCAGTCTACCACAAGTGGCTAAAAACCTGAACGTGAGCATCATTACAAGAAGAATCCTGGTTGAGGTGTGTGTGGGCAATGCATGGTGAGGAGATACTTTGTCCATCTCTGGGATGGGGAGGAGGGCTGAGGGTGAACCTTGGCCTGTGCTTTGAAGAATGAGCAAAGGTGGTCAGGCAGCTAAGAAAGAAAGAGTAGAAGGAAGCAGTAAGTTCAAAGCCGAGTATCTCCTGCTAGTGATGGCTAGGACGGCAGCATGACCAGAAGAAGCCTGTGTGGGGAGTGGGAGGTGGGGAGGGATAGAGCTGATGAGGGCCCTGAAGGGTTTTTCAGCTGAGGTTGATGTTTTAAAGAGAAGATCCCAGTGGCAGGGTAGAGAGTCACACAAGTGGAGACCTAAGCCTTCCTAAGCACTGGCTACCTGCCTGGCACTGCCCCAAGGGCTTCAGAGGCAGGAACTAATAACATTTGATCCCCATTTTAACAGTTCAGGAAGGAAAGGCACAGAGACATTAAGCTTCTCACCCAGGGTCACACAGCTAGCAAGTAGTAGGGCCAGGATTCAAACCCAGGCAGCTGCCTCGAGCCCACAAGTCTGGCCACTGCACCTTCCTGCTCCAACTGTGGTGAAGTGCACAGAAGACCTGGTGTGCAGCACACGCGGGAGCAACAGGAGAGGCCCATGGTGATGTGGGCAGTCAAGGGAGGTGCACGTCTCCACCATTGAGGTGGCTCCCAGGGCCCTCTGCACACCTGTGTGGCACCCACCACTGCGGCTGCTGCCACCACTGCCACCATAATATTATTAATAATACTACCACCACCACCCGCCTACCACTGTTACTACTGCCACCACCACCACCACCATTACTGCTGCCACCACTACCCGCCCACCACCATTACTGTCACCACTACCCGCCCACCACCATTACTGTCACCACTACCCGCCCACCACCATTACTGTCACCACTACCCGCCCACCACCATTACTGCTGCCACCACTACCCGCCCACCACCATTACTGCTGCCACCACTACCCGCCCACCACCATTACTGCTGCCACCACTACCCGCCCACCACCATTACTGCTGCCACCACTACCCGCCCACCACTATTACTGCTGCCACCACTACCCGCCCACCACTATTACTGCTGCTGCCACCACCAGTATTACTGTCACCGCCACCACCGCTATTACTACTGCCACCACCACCTGTCCACCACTATATTACTGCTGCCACCACCACCACTATTACTATTACTGCCACCACCAGCACCACTCCTGCCCTGATGTGCCAATTCCGGATTTCTGGCTGGAGCCCAGCATCTGTATTTTTGGCCCCTCCTTAATGGCGTACTTGGCCACTGGGGACAGTAGGAGTGTTGAAGCAAAGCACAGAGCCCACAAGATGGGTTTTGTGGACAGCCACTGGCAGCTGAACCATCTTCCTAACATTCCTCAGGCCATGAGCTGAGGACTGCGATGAACTCTGAAAGCTGTGCATCACCTTCTCTTCTCAGGGGAAAGCAGCAAACATTTGGTAGGAGAGCTCCCAGGGCTTGGAGAAGGGAAGCTGCTGGGACGTGCTCAGCAGAGGACACTGGGAAGAGAGTGTACCCTGAGGGCTGTTGGAGACGGTGGCGGGAGGGGCAGGTGGGGCAGGCAGGGTCGTGGTGCCCAACTGCCTGAGTGTCTCCCGTCGCTCAGCAGGAAGGTGGCGAGGACCCCGGGCTTCTGCCAGCAGCTTGTGTGATACCAGTTTTACTGTCAGTGGCATGCATGACCTAGCAGCGTCTCCAGGAACGTGGAGCAGCTCTGTTTAAGGAAGGAAATACAAGGCGCGCTAGACTGGCTGAGAAACAGAAGTTTTTAAAAGGAATTCTTGGCACCTAGATGTAGAGAATTAGCAACTTCACATTTTTGGGATGATATTGAATAGCATAGCTGGAGATTCACCCATAACTTCTAAAAAGCGAAACTAAAATGTAGTCCTGTTTCTTACTGTCTATACAGGGATATGGGATTAGAACTGTTTAGAACCCATATTATTAGTGATAAAATGGTTCAGAGTAAAACCATTGATGGAATCCTACTGCTGATCGAGCGCGAGAGGAGCGGCGAGGCCGTGGACCGGAGCCTGTTGCGGAGCCTCCTGGGCATGCTGTCTGACCTGCAGGTGAGTGCTGCCTGTGCGGAAGATACCTGGGTACCTGCCCAGCTACTTGCACCAGAATAAATGGTTGTACCAAAGATGTTAAACAATGAAATCATAAAGGCATTTGTTGAAGATAGGAGAGTCTTTAAAATCCCTAGAAGGGGAATAGCGCTCAAGCTAACACCACACCAGGTGCCACAAAAGAGAAGATAGATCAATATCACTACATAAAATGCACGGATAGATCAATATCACTACATAAAATGCACGTTTTTCATGGAAAATATAAACAGAGACAAAGCCAGATGACACGCTGGGGGAAAATATTAGCAACACACACAAAAGACAAAGGGCGAAGTTCTTTAGAGCAATAGGACCCCAAGGCACTATAGGAAGAGAACAGAGGAGGGCCTGCCCGGCCGTTTTGGGAAGGACAGTGCAGCCGGCCGGCTGGGTGGCCACAGGCGCCTCCAAGTTCAGGTCATGGCAGCCTGCCCCGTCAGAAACTGGGATGTGTTAGCACTTGTGAAGATAGTTTCCTTTACTGAAATTGGTCAGTAACTCTGCTTGTTTCTTAGGTGTATAAAGATTCATTTGAACTGAAATTTTTGGAAGAGACTAATTGCTTATATGCTGCCGAAGGCCAAAGGTTAATGCAGGAAAGAGAGGTGAGATGATGGGATGTTTCCGAATCCCCTGGCTTCGTTTCTGCAGATGAGCACCTAGGAGGACTTTCCTCATGTTTGCCTTTTCACACACATGCAAATGTTTCATTGAAAATCTTCTGAAAGCTGCAATCTTGCCAGAATCCCCAGTAATGAGCTTCGTTCTTAGTATACTAAGAATTTAGTTTATGTGAACTTAGAAACTATTGCACTCCCCCCACAAGTAAAAAGCTGTAAGATCATTTCTGAAATAATTAAAATAACTCAAATTTAAGCAAGATGATAAAAACATACATGAAAACTTAAAAATATAAATGTAAATGATAAAATTTTTCATTTGTGTGAAGCACTGCAAAAAATTTTCCCAAAAAAAGCTGTGCGAAAAAACATGTAGTAGTAATAGGAACCCAAAAAACTTAATCACCTTTCCAGATACCAGAGCAAAATCATAAAGGAACCTGCCCCATAGACTGTCACCCAAATGGTGCGTGCTACTGCCAGAATGGACCTTAGCCATTGGTTCCTTCATTCTGGCTTTGCAGAGGAAGTTTCATGTCAGATACTGAGCCCAGCTGCAGCTACCCCAGCAGAGCCTCAGGCCTTTCCCGCACTGTCTTGGGAAACATGGGCGTACTTTGAGGTCTCCTGCAACCGTGTTGTTTGGTGTCCCCCAAATGAACAACCACCTTGTTGACTTGCTTTTGCTGACCCAGCTGTGCGGGGCAGGGTTGCCATTTAGCACCTCATCCTCCTACCAAGTGAGGCTCAGCTCCCTGTGGGCCCTGGGGATGGGAGGAGGGTGTGCACAGACCCCGAAACTTGGTGGTGCACAGGGACGAAAGAGAAGTGCAGCCTGGGCCCTGTTGTAGGATGGATGTTAATATCAGCGTCCTTTCTCCATGTCCCCCACACACATTTCCGTCCTACCTCTCCCTCCCTGTTAATCTGTGTTAATATTTGGCTTGAATATGTATTCTGCTTTTTAAAAAAATTACATGTAAGGAAAACAAAATCTCAATTTCTTGGATAGTGTCGACATTCTTTTTGTTACTGATACATTTAATTGTTTTGTTTGTAAGGTTCCAGAATATCTTAACCATGTAAGTAAACGCTTAGAGGAAGAGGGAGACAGAGTAATCACTTACTTGGACCACAGCACACAGTAAGTACCGTTTGCTCGCTGAGCGTTCGTATCTTCACCATGGCTGGAAGGTTCTCCTGGCTGGTTATTGAAATAAAGGGTGTCTTTGTCAATTCATTCAGTACTAAGAGTGTTTTTGCACCTAGCATATTTTACTTTGTTATTTGTCATTATTTGGCATTCACAAATTACAGTTTTTACCCAGTGCCTTGTCATGAGTTACGTCTAAAGAGAGTAAATCTTGCTGAGATACTTGGCATCTTTGAGTTTTGAGACGGTCTATTTATGTTAATGGAGTATCACTGAATATTAGGTTATTTTGATTGTGCATTCTCTGTTACACATTTTATATCGCTTTAATTTTATTTATGGTGCTGTCACACAATTTTCTCTTTTCATCTTATGTTTTTTTCCTGCAAACCTGAGGTTGATGAGTAGCTAGGGAAACAAAAAGGGAGAGATTATGTGAGCGTGTGTGTCAGGCACAGTGTGTCCATATGATGGGAGGCAAGGACAGAGGCAGAGGGGACAGCAAGGGAGAGAAATGAAAATGATACAGTGTGCAGCTGGGCGCGGTGGCTCAGGCCTGTAATCCCAGCACTTTGGGAGGCTGAGGTGGGCAGATCACAAAGTCAGGAGATCGAGACCATCCTGACCAACATGGTGAAACCCCGTCTCTACTAACAATACAAAAAAATTAGCCGGGCGTGGTGGCGGGAACCTATAGTCCCAGCTACTTGGGAGGCTGAGGCAGGAGAATGGCATGAGCCCGGGAGGCAGAGCTTGCAGTGAGCCGAGATCACGCCACTGCACTCCAGCCTGGGCGACAGAGCGAGACTCCGTCTCAAAAAAAAAAAAAAAAGAAAATGATACAGTGTGCAGAACTGGACCCAGTAGGGAATGATAAAATGTACAGATGTGCAGAACAGGACTTGGTAGGACTCAGCAGAGAAAACAGGAGGAGAGATGAAAATGATATGGTGTGCAGAACTGGACTCAGTAAGGTGCGGAAAGGGGAAGGATTCTGACAGAATCCAGCACAAAAACAGAGAGGGTGCAGAAAAAGAGATTTGGTCACTTAGACGTGTGGAGTTGGAGGAGCCTGTGGGAAATCCAGGATCTCGAGGCAGGCCAGGGTGGCTCGGGGGCCATGTTGTGCTTCCTTCCAACTGGGAGCAGAAGAGCAGCCCCCGGGAGACTGGGAAGCAGCAGCCAGGGAAGTCCGGGGGAAATAGTGGAGAGAGCGGCAGCCACAGCGAAGCCCCACAACCAGGGTGTGCAGGTCACACACAGCTTCCCTGAGCCCTTTCTGCCTGTGTAGGAAGCAGAAGGCGGAATGTCGGCTCTGCCCTTCTCCGTAAGATGGTGCATTAAAACGTTCCTTATAAACTGGAAATGAAGGCTTGGGAAGATGGCTAAAATCAGCAATCCTTGGAATAACGCAGAAGCATCCCTGCTTCCCTGGGCCCGCCCGTGGGCCTGCTTGTGCTGTTCAGTAGGTGGTTTTTAGAAAGGGCTTCCTTCAGCGTCATTAGCAACAGGAGTCGTCGTCCGTTTGCATGAGGAAATGTTCTTAACCTTCCGTTTCTGATTGCCTCTAGACTGCATCTGTCATAGACAAATGCCCCCATCTTTTGCAGAGAACCAGTCTCTTCTTTAAACTTTACTTCTAACGCTTATTCTTTTTACCTTATATAGGAAACCACTGATTGCTTGTGTGGAGAAACAGCTATTAGGAGAACATTTAACAGCAATTCTGCAGAAAGGTAGATTTCCTAACTCTTGTGCAAATTAAACTGAACAATTATCCTTAGTTCATTAGGAAAGTAAAGGGGGCATTACAAATAGCAGTGTTAGGACGTTTGTTATTTTCATAAGACAGTCATTAAAAATCTTTTCTAATGAACATGTTAGCCATCCACGGGAGAAAAAAAAATCAGTAAGAGAAATAATGGAAGGCACCTAGTGGAACTACATTCACTGCTAAAACCCCAGTGGCAGGAAGGCCCGGCAGACCTTCTGTACCACACTCATGCTGAAACATGGGTGCAGTGAGCCTGTTGCAGCTCTCTGAGCAGACTCATTTCCTGTGTCCGGCCGTTCTTCATGCACACTCGGATGTAGGGGACTCGGGGAGCTGTTCGGGCTGTTAGATTTTCGTGAGGCTTCCCTCACCTGCGGACTTCGTGCATCTTAGTGTCAGATGAACTACCGACTAGGTGGTCTGCTTAAGCAGAGTATACTTTTCTCCTGGTTTTCTGGAAGAGAAGAGCATGTGTTCTAGTGCTGACGGCGCGGCCTTCACGTCCGCTTCTCCCCAAGTGGTGGCAGTACCTGGCCATAGGAAGGTGGCTTCTAGCAGCCTGCACCTTTAAAATTGATGCTGATGTCTTACCTCGATCTTTGTTTATTGCTGTTTTTTCTAGGCTTCAAAGTGTGCTGAATTCTATGAAAATTACAATGAGCAGTCTAACCTTTGTAACACTTTAGTACTTACTGGCACATTTCACTGTTACCATTTGAAACAATGTTACCTTCTGAAAGTCATTTTAAATGTATTTGGAAAATACGAGACTTTTTTCAAGCCATTGGAAACCTTAAAGTTTAATTTTGAGAAGGCCCTAAATGGTATTCAAATATATTCTGCTTTGGGTTCTACATTGTCAGATAATAGTATTATGGCTAATGAGATACTTAAGTGAAACCAGAATAAAACCAAAAGGGAGGAGAATTAACATGATTGAGCATCTCCTGTTACAAACAACTCCACTTGATGTGAATATCTTTTCAAGCAATTCTGTGAAATCATTATCCCCATTCTACAAATAAGAAAACCAGGGCTTAAAACAGCCAGATGTTGGTGCCTGGAATCACATTGCTTGTGAGCTGAGAGTCACGGGTCCAATCTGGTTATGATGTTTCTGCTTATTCCACACTGAAACCTACACATCACCTATCCACCTAAAAACAAATGCATTCAGAATTTGTGTCAGGTGTTTTTATGAAAGGAGTCACTTTATAAGAAAAAAGGCCAGGCATAGTGGCCCATACCTGTGACATCAGCACTTTGGGAGGCCAAAGTATCACTTTGGATCACTTGAGCCCAAGAATTCACGACCAGCCTGGGCAACAAAGAGAGACCCTGTCTCTACCAAAAAAATAAAAATAAAATTTTTTTTTAAAGCCACAGGTGGTGCATGCCTAGGGTACCAGCTACTCAGGAGGGTGAGGTGGGAGGATCACTTTGGCCCAGGGGGTTAAGGCTACAAAACTACAAAAACCTGGGTGACAAAGCAAGAGACCTGTCTCAAAAAAAAAAGAGAAAAAAGATTTCAAGTAAATAGTAGAAATTTGCATAAATTGTTCCAGTGCATACTTTGTTAAGCAAAATTATTTAAAGAAAATGGTAAATTATATATGTAAAAGCTTACCCTAAATTTTATTAGAAATATTTTAAAAATTAAAAAGATACTTTTGAATTCTTAAGACATGGGTTTTAGTAAAATAAAGTATAAAAAGTTTGTGTCAGTAGATCAGAATGTAATTGAGAGAAATAAACATTTGGAGCTCTAGGTGAGGATTGTAATTATAGCCCCACCATGTGTTTGCGCACAGCTTTAAACCTCCTCGTTTGTGTGAACATCGTGCCCAGTGTAGGCAGAATCTGAGACTTTGTGAATTGTATGACTGTTCACCATTTTATGCTTTAACCTGGCTGCCTCTCAGTAGTTATCATAAAGCAAGTATTTAGAAAATCTATGAGAGTTTTTCTCATTGAGGTATGGTTTCAGAAAACCGTTATAAATATTAAAAATCTAAAACACTGAAAGCTTTTTTAAATGCTGTGTTAAACACTTCAAAATATCCGATGATGTTTTTCTCTTATAGTTTACTATAGGTGTGAATAAATTTAATCCACTATAAATTAGATTTGATAGCTTGTCCTTTTACATTGTCTGGCCGATGGACTAAATCAGAAGTAGATTGAGAACATGAACCTCCCAGGTTAAATAGTTGGTGTAAACTGGATTTTCTGACTTGCTAACTTAAGTGAAATAAGAGGGCTTCAATGACATAAAGAAGTAAATAATACATCTTCCAACATACTCAGAGAAAATGAGGTTCACCTAATAGGATCCATCTCACATATTTAACCAGATCAACCTGCTCATGTAGAGGCAGCGATGTGGAGACCCGCCCAATTTCTAAGCGGTGTATTGACGTTCTTCTGGTGCACGCTGTATTCTAGTTGAGTTGTTGTTAATGCTGCCCATGCTGTACTCTGCTGACGTGTACTGCACATCTCAGGGCTCGACCACTTACTGGATGAGAACAGAGTGCCGGACCTCGCACAGATGTACCAGCTGTTCAGCCGGGTGAGGGGCGGGCAGCAGGCGCTGCTGCAGCACTGGAGCGAGTACATCAAGGTACTGGCGGGGTTTTGAGGCCGCGGGCGTGGGCATTCCCTGCAGGGAGCAGAGCCCCTCCTGAGAACGCCTAGTGTGCCCTGGCAAAGGGAACTGGGCTGCTGGAGGGCCCGTCTGCATTTTCATCACAGATGATAGGGTGGACAGTAGGCTTCCATCTGCTTCCCAATCACCAGTGTGAATTTGCTTTTTAGGATAACACCAGCAGTGATTAGCACCATCAAGGTAGAAAGTATAACTTAAAGAACAACTGTTTTGCTCTTCTTCATCAGCATAAATATTGGTTTAATTCTAAATCATGATTTTTCCTAAAGTAATCATTTTTGTAAATCTGCTTGTCAGACATGATCTCCTCATGCCCTTTCCTCAGGGAGAACTATTATATATTTGGCATATCAGTTTGCTTTATAAACTTTATTTCTTAACGGTCCAAATTTAGGATTTATTACTTAAACTTTCACTTTCATGTTTCGAAAGCATTTCTTTGGCATCCCTAACAAGCCCAGTCCAACCCGTCGTAGAGTGGCTTCTTGGGCAGTACCCTGAGTTTTCACATGTCCTGTGCAGGAGAACGGCCCTTTGGTGCTGACATAGGACCTCCCTGAAGACTAGGGGCTCTCGGCCCAGGGCACCACCCCACCAAGGGGACATTTGTTGATGTCTGGAGACATTTGTGGCTGTCTGAACAGAGAGGGTGCGGCTTGCTTTGCTGGGCAGCACCAGGGGTGCTGCTGAATGCACAAGGCAGCCCTCACCACAAAGAATCACCTGCCCAGAGGGCCAGAGTTGCCCAGCCCAAGAAACCTGCTGAAGACCCTCTAATGAGAAGCCATTCTCCAGATGCCCCTCACAGAAACAGGAGAACTGAGGCAGACATCAGGGCCCCTTCACAGATAGCTCGTGTTTTCAGGATGTGCCAGTTGCCTAGCATGAATTTTCCAGCTTAAATGGTGAACATTTAGCAAAAGTCTGTGTTTTTGCTTGCTGGTGACTATTCTTAAATCCCATAATGAAAAGATAAACAAAATTTCCAGAGAATTACACTAAGAGGAAAAAAAGAAAAGCCAATCACAGATACTTAACGTGTTATTGCATAACATTTTGGAAATGACAAAATTTAGAAATGGAGGATAGATGAAAAGTTACCAGGGTGTAGGGATGGGGCAGGGTGTGTGGTTATAAAAGGCCCCAGGAGGTAGCCTTCTGCGGGAACAGTCGGGGTTTCGGCCGAGGTCTAGATGTGCACACCCAGATGAGTTACGAGTAAACTGGGCCATGTGAAAAAGACGGGTGCGCTGCCATGTCAGTACCCCAGCTGAGACACTGTTGTGTAGTTTCGCAAACCGTTGCCATTGGAGGAAACTGTGGAAATAAAGACACTGGGATTGCTTTGCTATTTTTACTATTATGCAAATCTGTCATTATCTGAATAAAGATTTCCGTTAAATAAAAAAGATAAAGCTTACATGCTGCTTTATGGAATAATCAGACCTGAAGTCATGTATCAGTCCAGCTGTGGAAAGCCAGCACTCACAGCACCCCTCCCCACAAGGTCTCGTACAATGATAGAATTGGAACTTATAACTGAGTCACACTAAATTGGCCATAAAGCTACTGAAGATTTAGGTTTTTTGCCAGTGAGACAGTCTTCAGGGGATGGGAATGTGTGCTAAAAACTAGGAAAAGTTCACCTTTGCAGTTTCCAGTCTGGGTAATAAAAATCAGTGAGTGACCATCACCCCTGAGTGTCAGCAATAAGTAGTTATACTGTAACAAAATAGTAGTTTATATTCAACTCCACATGCCGTTATCAAAATAAAGCTGGGCCTTGTAGTGTATGTGCATTATTTCAAAATGCAGTTAGCACCAAAGGGTGTAGAGTAAGAGGTAAGTCCCTCCCACACCTGCTAGCCACACACCGCCCCTCTCTGGGAGAGTCTGTGCCCTTTCTGTTGGCATCTTTTTTTTTTTTTTTTTTTTTGAGGTGGAGTCTCACTCTGTCATCCAGGCTGGAGTGTAGTGGCGTGATCTCAGCTCACTGCAACCTCTGCCTCCTGGGTTCAAGCAGTTCCCTGCCTCAGCCTCCTGAGTAGCTGGGATTACAGGCTCCCGCCACCACACCTGGCCAATTTTTGTATTTTTAGTAGAGATGGGGTTTCACCATATTGTCCAAGCTGGTCTTGGAACTCCAGACCTTGTGATCCACCCGCCTTAGCCTCCCAAAGTGCTGGGATTACAAGCGTGAGCCACTGCGCCCAGCCTTCTCTTGGCATCTTTCCACCAGCCAGCTACCTCGCGTGTGTGTGTGATGTGTGAGTGCACATGTGCATTCTATTGAGACGAATTTTTTAAATCCAATCATTGTATTCAGTTCCTCTTCGGCATATATAGTTTATATCATCAAATGTTAACTGTTTATTAGTGCCCTACACAGACTTTTAGGAATGTTTAATATAACAGTTTTAAATTAAAAATACAAACTAGGCTAGGCACAGTGGCTCACGCTTGTAATCCCACCACTTTGGGAGGCCAAGGCAGGCAGATCATGAAGTCAAGAGATCAAGACCATCCTGGCCAACATGGTGAAACCCCGTCTCTAGCTGGGCGTGGTGGTGTGCACCTGTAGTCCCAGCTACATGGGAGGCGGAGGTTGCAGTGAGCCGAGATCACGCCACTGCACTCCAGCCTGGTGACAAAGCGAGAGTCCATCTCAAAACAAAAAAAAAAAAGTACAAACTAAAAAAGTGAGCTTTTCATGGTTAGAAGTGATGGAGAAGGAAAACTAGCCAAGAAGTCCCAAGAGGTATATTGAATTAATAGGAATTAACTTGTCTTGGAGGAACTTACACATAAACATTCTTTAAAAAGCAACGGACATTTTCCAGTCGTTTGTAAGTTCTCTCAGAAACAGAATCGTAAGACCAATGCATTAATTGTGTATTTAATTGTATATTCACACCAAGCACAGGGGCTCATGCCTGTAAACCCAGCACTTTGGGAAATCACAGTGGGAGGATTGCTTGAGGCCAGGAGTTCGAGACCAGCCTGGGCAACATGACCCCGTCTCTACAAAACTTTAAAAAGATGGGCCAGATGTGGTGGCCTGAGCCTGTAGCACCAGCTACTCAGGAGGCTGAGGTGGGAGGATTGCTTGAGCTTGGGAGGTTGAGGCTGCAGTGAACCGTGATTGCACCACCGCACTCCAGCCTCGGCCGCAGAGTGAGGGCCTGCCTCAAAAAAAAGTGTATTCACTTAATTTTTGAAATGTGAATTCAATTTGTGAAACTTTTAAAGTTATTGAGTATTTACTACTAAGAGTAATTTATGTTAAACTATCCTGATTATATGATAGCAGGAGAAGATACTGTTTGCTATTGTAAACATGTTGCTGAGTTGGTATTGATTTGCTTTTGTAGACTTTTGGAACAGCGATCGTAATCAATCCTGAGAAAGACAAAGACATGGTCCAAGACCTGTTGGACTTCAAGGACAAGGTGGACCACGTGATCGAGGTCTGCTTCCAGAAGAATGAGCGGTTCGTCAACCTGATGAAGGAGTCCTTTGAGACGTTCATCAACAAGAGACCCAACAAGCCTGCAGAACTGATCGGTAGAAAAATATTTGTTTTTTTTGTTTGTTTGTTTTTGAGACAGTCTCACCCATTTCTAGACAATTTTTTAATATGGGAAAATAAGGCAAAATCAACCAAAATGTTCAAGCTGCTCAAGGGGTGTGTGGAAAGCGTTTTTATCAAGTCTTATTAGGACACAAATTTAAAAACCGACACACCTGCATGCATGGGTGGAGGAGGGCATTTCCATAAGGGAAGATGAGGTAAGAATTTAGAAAAGAAATGATGCTTGACTTCGCCAAAGAAGGGAGGGGTGATCACCATCTTTGTATCCTCTAATCCATATTAAAATAGGATAAAACCAGATGAGATCTCAAATGATAATACTATTTTTAAGCTGTACAATTTTTTCACAATAATATCAAAATATATTTCAGAATTCATAGGCTTTCTCTAGTCAGTAAAATTTTTTTTTTAATTCGAAGGAGAAAGGGGGCAAAGAGAGCTGAAATACGACGATACTAGATTGACTGTTGATTACTGCTGAAGATGTAAGATGGAACATGGAGCTCATTGTGCAATTGTCTGCTTTTCTGTGTGTTCAGAATATTCCATTACAAAATGTTTAAAAGAAAAAAACTAACAAAAACAGCAACAGAAGGAATTCAGGAGGCAGTTTACTTTGGCTTTTGTTCCTCTGTATCATTTGTGGTTTCTCTAAAGCAAAGGGATGTTGAGCTCTTGGGAGTTTGGGCTTCTGGAAGTCTTGGGTTCTCCCATCACATGGGGACTTTGGTCCTCCCTCCCAAGCCACCTGACGATGGCTTGTGCAGCCTCAGAAACAGGAAGCCCGAGTAGAAATGCTTTCACCCTGCGTTGCCACCTTGGATGCTCTGAGAAAGTCTTTCTCTTTGAGAATGTCTCCTCTGCATTCATGACACCAGATCCTAGAAATAGGCACTCCAGCGTCCGGGGCAGTCACGTCCTGAAACCTGAGCATGTATTTGCTGAAGTCATTTTATTTTGAAATTCAGAGATTGCATTTAAAGATAAGAAAGATATTTAAACCTGCTTTAAACATTCAGTCCTGGCTTCATTAAAATTTTGGCAAGTATTTACTCTCACTTGACTTGAGAAGTACTTACCTTAGAAAATCAGATATTTGTTTTTTTGTCATATAGTCATTTTGGGAAGGTTCCAGAATGTTCCTGTACAATGTTGCTAATAGAAATTGAAGATGCTCTCTTTTTCTAGTTTAGAGTATTTACTATATGTTTATGCTCACAGCAAAGCATGTGGATTCAAAGTTAAGAGCAGGCAACAAAGAAGCCACAGACGAGGAGCTGGAGCGGACGTTGGACAAGATCATGATCCTGTTCAGGTTTATCCACGGTGAGACTCGGGCACTCAGAAAATGCTGCATAATCAAGAGGTGTAAACAGGCCCTGCTTTCCCAGAGGAGGTTTAGCATGAGAATGTCAGTATCAGTAGAGCCAGTTTGCATTAGAATGAACACTTTTCATCCTTGCTAACATGGTGAAACCCCGTCTCTACTAAAAATACAAAACATTAGCCAGGCGTGGTGGCAGGCGCCTGTAGTCCCACCTACTTGGGAGGCTGAGGCAGAGAATGGCGTGAACGCGGGAGGCGGAGCTTGCAGTGAGCCGAGATCGCGCCACTGCACTCCAGCCTGGGCAACAGAGCAAGACTCTGTCTCAAAAAAAAAAAAAAACACTTTTAAGGGTTTTCAGCAGTTGAAGTTTGAAGTTTAACATTTGCTTATCAACTCTCTGATGTCTTGATTATTCTCGTCTGGTTATAAATAGGTAAAGATGTCTTTGAAGCATTTTATAAAAAAGATTTGGCAAAAAGACTCCTTGTTGGGAAAAGTGCCTCAGTCGATGCTGAAAAGTCTATGTTGTCAAAGCTCAAGCATGGTAAGTATGTGGGGCCTGGGCTCCTCCCCTGTAACTGAGGGTTGCTGCCCCGTGTGTTACCCCGATCTCACTCCCTCCTTTGCTGTGTCCAGAGTGCGGTGCAGCCTTCACCAGCAAGCTGGAAGGCATGTTCAAGGACATGGAGCTTTCGAAGGACATCATGGTTCATTTCAAGCAGGTGAGTTGTGTTTCTTAGGTAAAGCGGCTTTTTAAAAAGTATCTGTTAGTGTGGTGGCTCATGCCTGTAATCCCAGCACTTTGGGAGGCAGAGGCAAGAGACGTTCTTGAGGCCAGAAGTTCAAAACTACCCTGATCAACATAGCAAGACCCAGTCTCTACAAAAGAAAAATTTTTTTAATGAACAGGTAGTCCTAGCTACTGGGGTAGGGCTGAAGTGAGAAGATCACTTGAGCCCAGGAGTTTGAGGCTGCAGTGAGCCGTGACTGCACCACTGCGCTCCAGCCTGGGCAACAGAGTGAGACCTTGTCGTGGATGGGTGGATAGATAGATAATACATAGACAGAGATAGCAGTACCTTGTCATAGATAGATAAATAGATAAGGTAGGTAGATTCAATAGATTAGATAGAATGAATCTCACTCTATGTAAGAAGAAAATTACACTATTAACGTTTCACAAGTAAATTTTAAAAGAAGAAAAAGAAGATCTAAACGTGTGGCAAGAATTTTATTTCAGTGAGTCTGGTGGTGACACCTGAAGAAGGGAAAAAGGCAGTCCTAGTGAGGCATTGGGTTTCATGGAATACATTCTGGGGACTGAGATAAATTCTAACACAGATGAAACTTTATATTGAAAATTACACGGTTTATTTTGTTTTAGGTTAATTATGTTTTATTACTTTCTCAAAATGATTGTCTTGGATTTCTCTGTTTTAGCATATGCAGAATCAGAGTGACTCAGGCCCTATAGACCTCACAGTGAACATACTCACAATGGGCTACTGGCCAACATACACGCCCATGGAAGTGCACTTAACCCCAGAAGTAAGTGTGCAGAAAGCATGCTGTCCGCTCCCGCTGTCATGCCCTTACCAGGCACAGATATGTTGCCTTCAAGAATTGTTGAATGGGGAGTTTTTAAAAATAGCCCACTCAGTCCAAAATCAAAGTGCTCTTATGGTCTTTGGAAATGTGCTTGAGAAAGTGACCACTTTTGTCACCTTCTGTGGCTCCTCCCAGTGCAGCCTGTGTCCACCTGCTGACCTGCAGGGGGCCCATGAGCACAGGCACTTGTTTTGGAAGTTATGGCTTATTAAGCTGCGGTTCTTGTCTGGTTGTTCTTTCTTTCCATTGTAGACAGTGCTGAAGTCTTGGGAATGGCATTATTTAGGGCCTTCTTTGTCAGCCACTACTTTAGCTACACTAAACCCTTCAGTGGAGGGTTTGCACGCCGGAGGTAGAATTCTGTGCTCAATGAAGTTAACATCAGCAGGAGATACAATACATGCACCATTCATTTAATACCAGGCGAAGGGAAAGGGCTGAGACCAGCCTGCAATCATGGAAGACTTCCTGGAAAAGGCGTCCCTTAAGCCTGATATCAAGTAAAGATGAATGATGATTTCGTCAGCTGAGAAGGGAAGAAAGACACACAGCTACAGTGGTAGGACAGTGTGATTCCTTTTCTTATCCATCATGAGGGTCATGGCCAATGCTCCTTTAACAAAAGACAAATTAGGAGGAGAAAACCTTAACAAATTTATTTAATCAAAGTTTTATTTAACACATCAGGCTTCAGAAATGAAGACCAAAGACCCAGGGAAGACTGTCCATTGTTATGCTTAGGTTTGATAAAGAATGGGCAGCCATGTAGAAATAGGTGTGTTAGTCTGTTTTGCATTGCTGTAAAGGAATACCTGGGGCTGGGTAATTTGTAAAGAAAAGAGTTTTCATTGGCTCATGGTTCTGCAGGCTATACAAGCATGGCACCTGTGTCTGTGCAACTTCTGATGAGGTCCCAGGAAGCTTTTACTCAAGGTTGAAGGCAAAGGGGGAGTAGGCGAGAGAGAGGGCGCAACAGGTGGTGGGGGAAGGTCCCAGACTCCTTAACAATCAGATCTCGTGGTAACTCATTACCACAGGGAGGGCGCCAGGCCATTCATGAGGGATCCACCCCCATGACCCAAACACCTCCCACCAGGCCCCACCTCCAGCACTGCAGATCACAGTTCACCGTGAGATTTAGAGGGGACAGACCCCCAAACTCTTATCAATGTGACTGGACAGAAGGGTACCATCTAACAGTAGTAGAGTAGCGGGGAAACCAGTAAGGCCTGTCTGTTCAGATTCTTCTTGGCCTCACTGGGCAATGTTCTTTCCTCCCAGGTGTAGGGCAGGACACCTCTGGAACAAGAGTCTTATGACTTAACTATCAGCAAGGTAGTTCAGAGAACTTCTTAATATCCAGATCCTACACAAAAGGGCATGGGAAGCATCGAGTAGTATCTCCAGGCTTTATGGCTGGCTTTGGGCAAGAGGGGTTTGAGTTTTCTCTGGCCTGCCTTGGGGAAGAAGAGTTCTCATTCCAGGAGAACTTTGGGGGAGAAGGTGAGTGAGAGAGCTTGCTTCTGAGGCGTCCTAGCCAGACTTAGAGAACATGTGCGGGATGCTCAAAGAAAGCCAGGCAGCCTGCTTTCCACGCTGGCCACGTGGTGCTGTCCCTTCCTGTCTCCACAGATGTTTGTGCTTCTGCACCATTCCCTTTCCCCTTAATATTCTAGTGGCTATTTCCCAAGAACATAAGCACCTGTCAAATGAGGGCATTCATTCTGATGTAATACTTTCACCCCATTTCTGTTGGTTGTCTCAGATATGTCCTTTGTGGTGTTTTTCCGGTACCCAGCTGAGCCCAGGACCCAGGCGGCCTTCGATGCTCCCTGTGAGTAGGTTCAGGTTGGGCAGGTCCAGCCAGATGCCCCGTGTCCCCATCAGGATCCTGGCGGGAGGTGCGCACTATCACGTGCCCCAGTGTCTTGGTGACATTCGATAGGATCCTCCTGTGAAGGTGCTGGCTGGTTTCTCCACCGTATCGTTAGTGTTTTTCCTTTTGTAATCACTAAGTAATCTGTGAGGAGACATTTCAAGACTACGTAAACCTCTTAATCCTCATCCAGCTGTCACCTGTGTGGCGATTCCTGGCTGAATTGATTTTTACCTGGTGAATGGGGATTTTTTTCCAGCTCTATCATTTCTCTATATTTAGAAGTTGGCATTCTAAGGAAGAGCCCTTCTTTCCACCCCCTTTATTTACTTATTTATTTCTCTCTCTTTATATCATTATGAACTCAGGGATTCTTAATTTATGTACTTATTTTGATGCTTAAATTGTCCCATATGTGGTCTGTGAGCCACCCTTAACACTGGTTCCTTTGCTCTTTGATATGCCTACATCATTTTTTTAGTACTTTTTTGTTTTCTAGCAAAAGTTGTTTGAAGCTTACCATACTGTATTTTTTTATTGTGGTAAAATATACTTTAACATTCAAGTTACCTTTTTAAAGCGTGTGGTTCAGTAACATCCAGTGCAGTTGTTCCTCAGTATCCACGGGCTGTTGGTTCCAGGACTCCCACAGATACTAAAATTCACACTCAAGTCCGTTATTTTATATAAGTGTGAGATCTTAGATAACCTATGCATACTCTCCCATATACTGTAAATAATCTCTAGATGATTTGTAATACCTAACAAATGCTGTGTAAATAGTTGTTACACTGTATTGTTAACAGTACAGTAACAGACCTGTCTGTTCAGATTCTTCCTGGCCTTTTAGGGGATCACTGACAAAAAAACTTAGTGCATGTTCAGTACAGACAACCATCCTTTTTTTGCTTTCGAATATTTTTGACCTGAGATTGGTTGAATCCATGGCTGTGGAACCCATGGACACAGAAGGCCAGTGGTACATTTACAGTGTTACAGAGCTGTCACCCCTGTCGATTCCAGAATTTTTCCATCATTCCATTAGCAGCTCCTCCCCAGCCTGCTCTGCTCCGGACCCCGGCAGCCACTATCTGCTTCCTGTCTCTGTGGATTTGTCTACATTAGATAGTTCACAGAAATGGAATCACAATATGTGAGCTTTTGTGTCTGGCTTCTTTCACTTAGCGTGCTGTTTTCAAAGTCCATCCGTGCTGCACCATACATGAGCGCTTTATTCCATCCATGCTGTACCATACATGAGCGCTTTATTCCATCCATGCTGTACCATACATGAGCGCTTTATTCCATCCATGCTGTGCCATACATCAGCGCTTTATTCCATCCGTGCTGTGCCATACATCAGCGCTTTATTCCATCCATGCTGTACCATACATGAGCGCTTTATTCCATCCGTGCTGCACCATACATCAGTGCTTTATTCCTTTTCTGGCTGAATAACATCACATTGTATCGATAGGTCACATCTGGTTTCTCCATTCACCAAACATTGGGCATTTGGGTTATTTCCACCTTTTGGCCGCTGTGAATAATGCTGCTATGAACATGGGTGTACAAGTTTTAGTTTGAACACCTGCGGTCACTTATTTTGGGGTATATACCTGGGAGTGGAACTGCTGGGTCATGCAGTAACTTGAAGTTTAAGTTACTGAGGAATTGCCGGACTGTTTCCCACAGTGGCTGCAGCAGCTTTTATTCCAGTTAGCAATCACGAGAGCTTCCCACCTTCTCACCTACACCTGTGATCTGCCTCTTTCGTTGTAGCCATCCCTGTCCATATGAGCTGGTCTCTCATCTTGCCGTGATTTGCATTTCCCTGATGACTGTTGATGTTGAGCATCTTTTCATGTCCTGATTGACCATTTGCGTATCTTCTTTGGAGAAATGTCTGTTCACGTGCTTTGCCTAGTTTTTAACCGGGCTGTTTATCTTTTGTTATTAAGCTATAAGAGCTCTTTATATTCCAAATGCTAGACCCTTATCAGATCTGTGATTTGCAAGTATTTTCTCCCATTCTGTGGGCTATCTTTTTACTTTCTTGATAGTGTGCTTCTACAAAAGTTTTTAATTATGGTAAAATCACATTTATTTTCTCTTTTGTAACTTTTGGTGTCATGTCTGAGAAACCATTGCCAAATCAAGATCACAAAAAATTGACGAGGCCAGGTGCAGTGCCTCACACCTGTAATCTCAGAACTTTGGGAAGCCAAAGATCACTTGAGCCCAGGAGTTAGGAACAGCCTAGACGACATGGTAAAGCCCCGTCTCTACAAAAAATAGACAGATTAGCCGCATGTCGTGGTGTCTGCCTACAGACCCAGCCACTCAGGAGGTTGAGGTGGCAGGATTGCCTGAGTCTGGGAGGTTAAGGCTGCAGTGAGCTGTGATGGAGCCGCTGTACTCCATCCTGGGCAACAGAGTGAGATCCGAGACCGTGTCTCAAAAAAAGAAAATAAAATAGCACTATGTATTCTCCCAAAAGTTTTATAGTTTTAGCTCATATGTTTCAGTCTTTGACCCATTTTGGGCCTGGACTGGTAGCTAGCACATAGTACCCAAACGATAGCATTATGATGATAATTATCCTCATTAATACCAATCCAGTCCTAGGAATGAATCCCAAGGAGATGGTTTTTAGGAAAGATATGCACTAAGAGGTTTATCACAAACCATGGTACTTCTCAAGGCAAAAAGAAAGAAGAGGCTTATCACATTATTGACTTTTATTTAGGTATGGTAATGGCATAGTAGATACATTTCCTAAAAGAGTTCCTGTCCTTTAGAGATACAGAAATACCTACAAATGAAATGAAATCGATGATATCGTGCCTGGGATTTGGTGTCATTGAAGATGGGGAGTAGGTGCAGCAGGTGATTTATACATGTGGTTTCATAGAAAGGTGACTCTTGGGCTGAGTTTTGAAGCATGAAGAGGAGATTGCCAAGCAGATGTGAGGTCAGCAGGAATTTCTGACAGGGCACAGCTTAGACAGAAACACAGAGAAACTAAAAGGGCACGTCAAGTCTAGAGAGCAGCAGGCATTTATGCAGCACCTGCTGGTGCCATGTACAGTGCTGCAATGGGGAGTCAGAGAGCCAGAGGCCCTGCCCTGTGAGCCCCTGTCCGGAGTCCACATTCACACTGTGCTATAGATGCTGGTAGAGCTAAGAGGGTGTCAGAGAAGACCTCTCTGAGGAGGCGGTTCTGGAAATGAGTAGGTTTCATGAGGGAGATGGGATATGGGATCCAGCAGAAGAAACCACGTGTGTGAAAGTCTGAGGGGATGAGAATGTATGAAAGACAGTGGAATGATCGACTGAACTGGGCCTGGAGGATGGGAGGGGCACAGGCCAGGTCTGTGAGATCAGAGGTTAGAATTTCACGCTTTCTTTGTCCCAAGATCTTTAGAAGCCATCCAGAGACACAGGGAATGGTGAGCTCGTGGGAGAGGAGGGATTGGTTTGGATTTGTGTTCCTGCCCAAATCTCATATTGAATTGTAATCACCACTGCTGGGGGAGGGCCCGGGTGGGAAGCGACCGGATCATGGGGGCAGATTTCCCCCTTGCTGTGCTCATGGTAGTGAGTGAGTTCTCATGAGATCTGGTTGTTTAAAAGTATGTAGCACCTCCCCCTTCTCTCTCTTCCCTGCTCCCGTCATGTGAAGACGTGCCTGCTTTTTTCCCCTTACCTTCTGCCATGATTAAAAGTTTCCTGAGGCCTCCACAGCCAAGCTACTTGTACAGCCTGCAGAACTGTGAGCCAATTAAACTTTCCTTCTTTATAAATTACCCAGTGTCAGGTATTTCTTTATAGCAGTGAAAGAATGGACCCATACAAGACGTATAGGTGGATGCTGAGTCCCGGAGCATTGGCATTTGTGGAGTGGACGAGAGCAGGGGGAGGCCACGCCCTGGGCTGTGCAGAGATGGTCTCCTGAGGCGAAACTGGTGAGCCCTTGCGTGCGCAGCACAGACGTGTCGGAGATCCCGGGTGCAGTGGACACCAGACAGGATCAAGCTGAAGAGTGGAGGGTATGACGGACCAGGAAGGGCATGCAGAAGTCAGGGAAAGCACCGCGCATGGGAGAGTCACACACAGCCTGCCCCTGAGAGGCATCCGGAAAACACGAGCAGGATCCGGGCGATGGGAAAGGCTGGTGCACTGAACGCTGGGAACTTGAAAATGCAGCAACCACAATTTTAAGGATCAGTAGAAAGTTTGGAAAATGTAAGAAATTCACTCAAGGCCAGGCACAGTCTAATTCCAGCGTTTTGGGAGGCCGAGGCAGGAGGAGCGCTTGGGCCCAGGATTTCAAGACCAGCCTGGGCAGCATGAGAAGACCCATCTCTACAACAACAACAACAACAAAAATCAACGGGCTTGGTGTCATGTACCTGTAGTCCCAGCTGCTCAGGACACTGAGGCAGGTGGATCACTTGCACCTGGGAGATCCAGCCTGCAGTAAGCTAGGATCACACCACAACCTGGCTGACAGAGCAAGCCTGTGTTCCAAAAAAGAAAAGAAATTCACCCAGAAACTAATCATAGAAACAACTAACTCGTGCTGCACTTTCTGTGCAGGCCCAGATGGAGGTGTTTGCCATCAGCCCCTGCACAGTGCAACGCAAGGGGTTGTGGTGTCACCCTTCACAGATGAGGAAGCAGGAGCCCCGCTCATTGCCGGGAACACCAGCCGAGGCCAGGGCTGGGCATGGCCGGGCTGAGACACAGGATCTGGCCTCAGACACCTTTTTCTTGACGGGCTCCAGTCTTCACTCTGTGCCACTGGCCCCAGCAAGCCCTGGTATGTACAGAGACCACGGAATACAGCTGGTCTGTACCATGAAACACCAGTTCAGGCATTATCTCGTTGACACTGAGAAGCCCCAAAGTTCAAGGATTGAGGACGTTTTTACAAATAATGGAATCCAGAAAGTGTGAGAATATAGAGCTGACCTTTTAATTCAGCCGTGAGAAATTGTAAAACTCTGTGCATTGAATGGGGAGCTATTGAGATGGATGGTGTGTGGCATAATTTTGTTGTTCTCCTATGCTTAACAGATGATTAAACTTCAGGAAGTATTTAAGGCATTTTATCTTGGAAAGCACAGTGGTCGAAAACTTCAGTGGCAAACTACTTTGGGACATGCTGTTTTAAAAGCGGAGTTTAAAGAAGTAAGTTGTCTGTTTCATTTATTTTTTATTATTTGTAAATATGTTAATATAATTTTTTTATTGTTACTGGACTTTAGTAGCAAAAAAGGAGTGTTTCACTTTAATTCACTAGCTTTTATAAGTCAATAAAATTTGTAACAGTTAAAGGGTTATTATTCCAATCAATAAAAATTCTTAAGAAATCAATCCATAGAAAACCATTTACCTATTGAAAAAAAGAGCAGAGAATGTGAAGAGGCAACTCATAAAAGCAAAATTGAAAAAAATATCTGTGAAGATGCATTACACTTCTCTGCTAAACAGAGGGCTTCAAAGTAAAATACAGTAAGATGCCACTTTTTGACTAAGAGATTTGATGAAGCCTAAAAAATAAAAAAAAATTAAAAAAAACAGACTCTTGCCCACTACTGGAAGAAGCATAAACTGTAGTGAGCTTTTGGAAGGGCAGTTTGGCATTGTGAACTTTGGCAACCCTGCTGCCGAGTTGTTGCCTTAGTTTCAACTCTAGGAACTCATCTTAATAAGACATTTTCACGGATTAATGAATGAGAATAGTGGTTGCAGTGCTGTTATTATGAGCGATTATTTAAGAGGGGAGAATGCATACAATGCACTGATCAATGAAAGGCGCTTATGAAACGGCAATTATATACACTAAGCAAAAACATAAAATTCCTATTTTGTATAGCTGTTATATTAATAATAAACTTATCTGTACATTATCAAATAAGTTATACATACCTACTTTATTATTGTAGAGAGTCATATACATGAAACCATATATTCTCTTCCTTAAGGTATTAGGAAAGTTAATTTCTATTATCCCCAGTTTTTTACCTACTTGCTGACTTTAGTTGAACTTGACCTCCACAGGGTCTGTACCAGCACCACCAACTGCAGCTCTCTCCAGGTGTGCAGGAAGGGCTTGTTATGGGCTTGTGATGAGTCTGGGCTGGGTCCGCAGAGGGGGCCACCAACTGTCACCCAAACTCTCATGTGCCTCTCGTGGGTCTGACCTGGAGGCATGTGGCAAGTTGCTGCAGCACTAACTCCTGAATAGAAAAGGAGATCATCCTGGGATATATAAGGCCAAATTGCATTCACCCCTACGTTACAGTCAGTCCCGTATAAAAGAAAGCTGGACTGTAATCCCAGTACCTGGGGAGGCCGAGGTGGGTGGATCACAAGGTCAGGAGATCGAGACCATCCTGGCTAACACAGTGGAACTCCATCTCTACTAAAAATACAAAAAATTAGCCGGGCTTGGTAGGCACCAGTAGTCCCAGCTACTCGGGAGGCTGAGGCAGGAGAATGGCATGATTCCGGGAGGTGGGGCTTGCAGTGAGCTGAGATTGTGCCACTGCACTCCAGCCTGGGTGACAGAGCGAGACTCCTTCTCAAAAAAAAAAAAGTTTGAGAGCAAAAAGAAGCTTCTTTTAATTTTTCAAAGATTGTACATGCACAGCTTCAGAGGTGTGATGAGGCCTTCTCTTCCAGGGGAAGAAGGAATTCCAGGTGTCCCTCTTCCAGACACTGGTGCTCCTCATGTTCAACGAGGGAGATGGCTTCAGCTTTGAGGAGATAAAAATGGCCACGGGGATAGGTACGAAAACTGCAGAGTGCATAGCTCCATGAGTTGTTCTTAAAGCATGTATTTGTTTTAAGATAAGACATAGACTTGGTAGCATGATTGGTTTACTGTTGTTGAGTCTCATTCGTTTAACGCCAGCCTTTGCCTGCATTTGCTTCCCATTCAGAGGATAGTGAATTGCGCAGAACGCTGCAGTCCCTGGCCTGTGGCAAAGCACGTGTGCTGATTAAAAGTCCCAAAGGAAAGGAAGTGGAAGATGGAGACAAGTTCATTTTTAATGGAGAGTTCAAGCACAAGTTGTTTAGAATAAAGATCAATCAAATTCAGATGAAGGAAACTGTATGTATAAACTTTCTCTTTTTACTTATAGGGGGTTTAGCAGGGAATCATTTGTTTTTGTAGTAATGTTTTTGGCTGTTAGAGGCCTGAAGCACATTTCTACAATAATCCAATTTCACTATGTAATGTTTATAAGAGTACTCATTTTCCTGTCGCTTTCATTAACTTCACATTCTCAGTAGGAAAGAAAATCAGAAAAAAAGCCACTTAATGTTATTCCTATTCACAAAAAAGTTGTGTGCTAAGCCAGAACTCCCCATGGTCATAGGGTTTCGAAAATTATCCACACTTTCTATGGTAATAGAATCTGATATGGTTCACTCTTGGTGTTGTACATTCTGTGGGTCTGGGTAAATGTATAATGTTATGTATCCACCATTATAGGATCATACAGGACAGTTTCATTGCCCTAAAAATTCTCTTATGTTCTGTCGCTGTATCCCTGTCTCCCTCCGAGCCCCTGGCAACCCCTGACCCTGTTACTGTCACCATAGTTTTGCCCTTTCCTGAATGCCGTACAGTTGGAGTCATAGTGTATATAGCCTTTTCAGATTGGCTTCTTTATTTATTAGAACGTATTTGAGGTTCACCGTGTCTTTTCATGACTGGGTAACTCTGCTTTTTGCACTGAAGGATTCTCCGTTGTCTGGATGCATCACAACTTATCCCTTCACCTACTGAAGGACATCTGGTTGTTTCCAAGTTTTGGTGATGATGACTAAAGCTGCTATAAACATTTCTGTGCAGGTTTTTATGTGGACTTAAGTTTTTAACTCCTTTGAGGGTGCACCTTTTATAGTGGGCAAAAGTGAGAAGGTCTATCAGTTCTTTCTCCCGAAGGTAACCACTACTGCCCTTTTTGTTTGTGGTCACAGCCTTTTTCTGTGGTGTGAGTGTATGTAAACTTTTTTTTTAGTGGGATCACTAAGCCAGGCACAGTGACATGCACCCATAGTCTCAGCTACTCGGGAGGGTCGCTTGATCCCGGGAGTTTGAGGCCAGCCTGAGCAATGCAGTGAGACCCCAAACTCTACAAAAGAAAAAACACCTGGGATCACTGTACATATGGCACCTGTCAGGGCCTTCCTGTAGCCAGTTTTCGTTGCTGATCGCAGTCTTCTCCTGGCCAGGACTTGTTGCAGGAGCACAGTGCCGGTTGTGTAGACCCACCAGGGCTGGCAGTGCCCTCGGCCACAGGCACTAACATTCCTCCACTGCCCCTCCTGAAAATAAGATTACGTTCAACACCCTGGCACAGACATTTCTGTGCACTTGTTAGATTGTTTCTTTAGTGTGATTCTTGCTCTGGAGCTGCTGGGTAAAATAATGTGTACTTGTCTTAGTTTGCTCTTTTCCAAGTTGAAGTCTGGCAGATTTCACCAGAGCACAGTGTCTGCCCCCACCTCCACCTGTCCTTCGCTCACCCTGTTCTGAGCAGCCCAAAGATAGTTTGTTGCAGTTTTCATTTTGATTTCTGATTCTTTACAGCATCTTTCTACCACTCAGTAGTTTATACAAATTATATAATCTTTCTAATGCTCAGTTTCTCATATTTAAAATAGACATACTACTACCTCAAGTTGTGAGAATTAAATGAATCGTTTAGAAAGCTCTTTGCCACACACCTGTAAGCACTTCATACATGTTGATGCTGCTCTTTTTATGCTTAGCCATTTGTATTTTTCTTTTTCTAATTGCTTTTCAAGTCATATGCATTCATTATAATGTTTTTTCTCTTACTGATTAGTAGGTTTTCTTTATATATTAAGGATATTAATGCTTTGTCCCTTTTTTTTTTTCGTTTTTTTTTTTTTTTTTTTTTTTGCATTTCACTCTGTCGTCCAGGCTGGAGTGCAGTGGTACAATCTCGCTCACTGCAACCTCCGTCCTCCGGGTTCAAGCGATTCTCCTGTCTCAGCCTCTCGAGTAGCTGGGACTACAGGCATGTGCCACCACACTCAACTAAGTTTTCTATTTTTAGTAGAGACGGGGTTTCACCATGTTGGCCAGGCTGGTCTCAAACTCCTGACCTCAGGTGAGTCACCCATCTCGGCCTCCCAAAATGCTGAGATTACAGGCGTGAGCCACCATGCCCAGCCTGCTTTGTCATTTTTGACAGATAATTTTGTTGTTTTTATTGGTTTTTTTTTCACATAACAGTTTTTAAGTTCTCAAATATAGTCTCCTTTTCTTTTATGGTTTCTGACTTAACGTGTAATGCTGTATTAGGCCATTCTTGTATTACTATAAGGAAATACCTGAAACTGGGTAATTTATAAAGAAGAGAAGTTTAATTGGCTCACGGTTCTGCAGGCTGTACAGGAAGCATGGTGCCAGCATCACCTCAGCTTCTGACGAGGCCTCAGGAAGTTTCCAGTCATGGTGGAAGGTGCAAGGGGAGCAGGTGTCTCACGTGGCAAAAGCATGAGCAAGAACAGGGAGGGAGGTGCCCCACATGTTTAAACGACCAGATCTCATCACCAAGGGGAGGGCCCAAGCCATTCATGAGGGACCTGCCCCCACCCACCCGGTCCCATCTCCAACACTGGAGACCACATTTCAGCATGAGATTTTGAGGGGACACATATTCAAAACCATATCATTGGCCTAAGAGAGAAATTCCCTTAACCAGAGTTTTAAAAAACATTTATACTATGTTATTTTTCTAGAAGTTTTTACATTTAAATCTTTCTTTTCATGTTGCAGAAATTATTTTAGTATCTGAAAACAGTCTAACTGCCCCCATCCTTTCCAAAACCAAATTTAAAATATCATCCTTGAACAAGTTATTTGAATTATCACCTTATTATGTATCAAATTCATATAGGTCAGTTTCTCAATTCTCTTCTATAAATTCTGTGTCTATTTCATAGCCAGCCATTTTTTTTGTTTTGTTTTGTTTTGTTTTTTGAGACAGTGTCGCCCAGGCTGGAGTGCAGTGGTGTGATCATAGCTCACTGCAGCCTCAACCTCTTGGGCTCAAGCGATCCTCCCACCTCAGCCCCAGGCATATGCCACCACGCCCAGCTAAATTTTTGTATTTTTTGTAGAGATGAGGCCTTGCCATGTTACCCAGGCTGGTCTTGAACTCCTGGGCTCAAGCAGTCTTCCTACCTTGACCCCCCAAAGTGCTGGGATTACAGCCGTGAGCCACCGTGCCCGGCACCAGGTTCTTTTAATTAATGTAGCTATTCCTATAACTTTATTCTTCCAATGAACTTGACAATAATTGTATCACGCCTTTGCTCCCCCAAATAAGAACATTGACATTTTTAATCCATATTGCATTAATTTACAGAGCTTTTATCTTTATCATATTAAATCTTGTGATTCATACATATGTGTATATATGTAAATACATACAAATCTTTTTCTCAGAGCTTTCTAGTTTTCTTCTGTAAGTCTTGCATATTTCTTGCTAGTCATAAATTTTCATTCATTCAACAAATACTTATTGAGCATCTGTGGTGGCCCAGGTCCTCTGTGAAGCACTGAGAATTCATCCATTAACAATAAAGAATAAGTCCTTGTTTCTAGGAGTGTTCAGTCTTTTCCAGCAGAGAGGTAGCAGAGGATCACACACATTGACTAACTTGTAAGAGTGGAGGAAAATGTTAGGATAGAGAAGTGCAGGAGAGTCTAATTAAATACTGTCGTCAGCCAACGCTTTCCTGAAGAAGTGACTAGCTTTGCTCAGGAACTGAAAGAAGGCCTCTGGCTGCAGCATCGTTGCCAAAAGGGGAAGCTGAGCCAGACAGGCCTGATCAGGGAGCCACAGCTGGACCCTCTGAAGATGGCTCAGATCCATGAAGCATTTGGAAAACCACTAGAGTTTTAAGCAAGACAGGCTAATGAAATGCTGATATCTTATAAAGGGGACCTTTTTTCTTTACATTTCTGACGGTTTTTATCAGAATGTATGTATTAATGCTATTTGTCTTTGTATATTTATTTTATTTCCAGCCACTTTACAAAACTCTTTAGCTTTGAAAGTTTTTCTGTTGATTTTCTTGGATTTTCCAGCTCATCTACAAATAATGATCGTTTTGTCTGCACCTTTTCAATATACCTCTTTAGTCTGTTCCTGTATTGCATAGTTAGAACCTCTAAAGTAATGTTTTTAAGGAATAGCAGTGCAGCTGAGCTTCCTAATTTTATCTCTAGTTCAGAGGATGTTAACTTTTTGGGGGTCATGGATCCTGTTGAAAATGTGATGAAAGCTTGGAGTCTCTCCCATCCTGAAGCATACTTGCCTCATATGTATGCACAGACCTTCCCCCAGCCCTCATTTCAACTGCAGATCCCCATCAGGTTCCTGTTGGACTAAGGTTAAGTTGTCTCTAGTATTTGCTGTTTGTTTCTGATAACCATGTTTTATCATGTTCAGATGCTTTTTTATTCATCCTTGTATGCTAATGTTTGTTTTAAATCAAAAAATCAATTTTATCATGCCTTTTCAGCATCTATCAAGATGGTCATGTAATCTAACCTTTCAACTGCTACAGTGCTCTCACTTATATTCACAGATTTCCTAATGTTGATCAACACTTAACATTTCTGGAATATATCCTGATGGTCATTATGTTTTGTTTACTGTGCTGCTAGTTTTAATCTACATCACACATAGAGTTGTTGCAGCTTTCTTATAAGGAAAATAACTTTTAAAAATATTTTTTAAGTTTTGGTTTTGGAGTTTTGCTATTCTGGGAAGGTACCTTTTACTACAACAAGTAAACATGCATAATAAAGTAGGATTCATCCAATGTCTGACCTTTCTTTGCATCAAAAGAACATTTCCGGCCAGGCACGGTGGCTCACGCCTGTAATCCCAGCACTTTGGGAGGCCGAGCCAGGTGGATCACGAGGTCAGGAGATCGAGACCAGCCTGGCTAACATGGTGAAACCCTGTCTCTACTAAAAATACAAAAATGAGCCGGGCATGGTGGGGGGGCACCGTAGTCCCAGCTACTTGAGAGGCTGAGACAGGAGAATGGCGTGAACCCGGGGGGCGGAGCTTGTAGTGAGCCGAGATCGCGCCACTGCACTCCAGCCTGGGTGACAGAGTGAGACTCCGTCTCAAAAAAAAAAAAAAAACCATTTCCCATCAAATTCGGTAACATCAGGTCATTAATATTGAAATATAGGCCAGGTGTGGTAGCTCACACCTGTAATCCCAGCACTTTGGGAGGCCAAGGTGGGCGGATCATCTGAGGTCAGGAGTTCAAAACCAGCCTGGCCAACATAGTGAAACCCTGCCTGTACAAAAATACAAAAAGTAGCCGGGCATGACAGCAGGTGCCTGTGATCCCAGCTACTCGGGAGGCTGAGGCAAGAGAATCGCTTGATCCTGGGAGGCGGAGGTTGCAGTGAGCCGAGATCACACCATTGCACTCTAGCCCAGGCAACTGAGTGAGACTCCATCGCAAAAAATAAAAAGAAAATACAGTTTTACACTTAACTTTTTTTTTCTTTTTTATACAGGTTGAGGAACAGGTTAGCACCACTGAGAGAGTGTTTCAGGATAGACAATATCAGATTGATGCTGCTATCGTCAGAATAATGAAGATGAGAAAGACTCTTGGTCATAATCTTCTAGTTTCTGAATTATATAATCAGCTGAAATTTCCAGTAAAGGTAAATGTAACATTAGCATAATTAAATTTGTAGTATTTGCTAAACAATTGACAAAGCATGTTTAATTCTATGTTCAGTCATATCATTTGACCTGCATTATTCATGGTGCTTTGTGTATACACTGAATGTAGAAAAACTGGCAAATGTGAAGCTCTTTATTCCAGGTGTTGCTCATTGCCACTGCAGAAATGATAGAGCCCTAAAACTCTCCTTCCCAGGGATGGTGCGCGCTTGTTCATATTTTCAGGAAGGGAAGAGGTAGATGGGACATGGAAAGCTGAACACTTTTCTCATAGTAGTAGCGGTCAAGGTTACATCACAAGATTTTAAGGAAATGATAACAATAACTAACTTACTCAGCGTTTACAGCCTACACCGCGTTTTCCACCACGGTAATAGTCTACTGTTGCTGTTGCTTATGAAAGTCAGCCCAGGCCTGTCAACCCGCGTTGTTTTCAGAACTGAGATTTACTGTCCTGCCACGTGTGGGATGCAGGATAAGCCGGGAAAGTATTATGAAACGTTTTTTACATGTATTTATCAACCCAGGAAATACTGAACTCTGATGACGCCTGGCCTCTCAGGGACAGGACCGGCCACACGTGCTTTGGAGGGAAAGTCCCCAGATTCCATGTTGTGCAGTTTGAGCCTCCCATTCCATCAAGGGAATAAAGTTGAGATGCACTAAATAGTCGAACACTTAAGAGTCTGGTGGAAGTGCCACTGTCCATCAGCCCACATTTGCCCCCTTCCCTGCAGAGGTGAGGTGCCGTCCTCAGGGCCCTGGGAAGCTCCAAAAGCACCATCAGGTTCACTGCCCCTTCCTCCCACCAGCTGGAGCAAGTCTCCTGTTGCCACTGCAAACAATCAGGCCCAGCGCGAAGCAGAGGTGAGCAAGAGTGGAGTGTGGCAGACCAGGGCACCTGCTCTGCTCTCGGGTAGAGAGTGGCAGACCAGGGCGCCCACTCTGCTCTCAGGGGTAGAGTGTGGCAGACCAGGGCGCCCGCTCTGCTCTCGGGTAGTTGGGTTTTTTTTTTCTTTGAGATGGAGTCTTGCTGTCCCCCAGGATGGAGTGCAGTGGCACGATCTCGGCTCACTGTAACCTCTGCCTCTCGGGTTCAAGCAGTTCTCCTGCCTCAGCCTCCTGAGTAGCTGGGCTTACAGGCACGCGCCACCACACCCAGCTAATTTTTGTATTTTTAGTAGAGACAGGGTTTTACCGTGTGGTCAGGCTGGTCTCAAACTCCTGACCTCGTGATCCGCCTGCCTCAACCTCCCAAAGTGCTGGGATTACAGGCGTGAGCCACCGCGCCCAGCCTCAGCCACATCTTGTAAAATGTGTGGCTTATCACTGAATAGAAGGTGAAGTTTGTTTGGAAAATAGAGGGTCTCCCTTGTATAGGGAGAGCCTTGCACGTAAGTGCTCACACAGATTTTCTTCCTAATACAGCAGAGCTGGAGTGGCTGTTCCCTCTGGGCAGAGACAGGCTGTGGCTGTGGATTCGTCTCCTCAGTCACCTACTCTTAGTGCAGGAACACTGGGGATTGTAGTTTCACTTACGTGGACATGGCATGCAATAACTATGTAAATACACGAGAATAAAACTACAGGCCAGGCGCACTGCCTCACGCCAGCGATCCCAGCACTTTGGGAGCTGAGGCAGGCGGATTGATTGAGCCCAGGAATTTGAGACCAGCCTGGGCAACATAGTGAGACCCCTTCTCTACAAAAAATAAAATTAGCCAGGCATGGTGGTGTGCAGCCTGTGATCCCAGCTACTGGGGAGGCTGAAGCACGAAGATTGCTTGAGTCCAGGAGGTGGAGGCTGCAGTGAGCTGAGATCGCACCACTGCACTCCAGCCTGGGCGACAAAATGAGACCCCATCTCAAAATAAATAAACAAAATAAAATACACTACTTAGGCAGAAGCATCCTTTCAAAGGATAAAAGTTGCCCCAGTAAGACATGTTGAGATTTTCCTTTCAAATAAAAATGTGTCACGTGATCGGGTCTGCCTCACTTATACGTGCCCTTGCTGATGGCAGATGTCGGATCTGCCTCGCTTATACGTGCCCTTGCTGATGGCAGATGTCGGATCTGCCTCGCTTATACGTGCCCTTGCTGATGGCAGATGTCGGATCTGCCTCGCTTATACGTGCCCTTGCTGATGGCAGATGTCGGATCTGCCTCGCTTATACGTGCCCTTGCTGATGGCAGATGTCGGGTCTGCCTCGCTTATACGTGCCCTTGCTGATGGCAGATGTCGGGTCTGCCTCGCTTATACGTGCCCTTGCTGATGGCAGATGTCGGGTCTGCCTCGCTTATACGTGCCCTTGCTGATGGCAGATGTCGGGTCTGCCTCACTTATACGTGCCCTTGCTGATGGCAGATGTCGGATCTGCCTCGCTTATACGTGCCCTTACTGATGGCAGATGATGTATGTACATTTCACAAGTTTCACGTTTCCCTCAGGAAACCACACTCTGACCATAAACTCACATGGACGCTTTTTTTATCAAGAGATAACGTTAACTTTGTCTTTAAAATAGAAAGTTTTGTTCATTTCATAAATATGTGTATAATTATAAATGATTTTCATATAAATATCTATTTGTATATATATTTCTATAAGTATAGTTACATACTTCATGCATATACCCCTTGTATGTAAATGTTTGTAAATTTAATGCCATTGTAATTAGGGGGGTTTTATTCTTCTTTTTTAGCCTGGAGATTTGAAAAAGAGAATTGAATCTCTGATAGACAGAGACTATATGGAGAGAGACAAAGACAATCCGAATCAGTACCACTACGTGGCCTGACGCATCTGCAGACGGTTCCCCTTCATGAAACACTAGAATGTACCCTCAGAGCAGGAAGCACACCTGTGCCATTTCTGGGACTCTGATTGATCCAGCTGTGGACATTGGAAGGCGAAGGAAGGGAGGTGGCTCCTGGGTCATCTTTCACAAGGCTCAAGACTTCAACCTGCAGATGTATCTTTTTCCCTCCAGTTTTTCCTCTAGTTCTTTTAGGCATTTAAATTGTTTCTGTTACTCTGTGCAAAATAACTTTGAGATTGGACAAGAAGATGTTACTAAAGAGAAGTTCCTTTAAAAGGTCTTGTTCTTGTGTCAAAAAGCTGCAAGTTTGGTTTGTTCTCGTGTGTGATCATGAGTGCACAATGAAGAAGACCCTAGATGCTGCATTTTTTAGCTCTGAAGATTCCTTAGGTATCCCTGAAGACAGCTCGCTCAGATGATCAGCATTTAGAGTGAAAACAAGGGCCCTTCATGGGTGAACATTAGAAAGAGCCAGGGTTCAAAGCTGGCGAATGGATGACGCACCCTAGCCACTGGCCCCTCTCTGTTTCATGTATTTCCAAAAGTTGTAAACTTTGATGGCTGATTTTTCGTAAGTCAGGTTTCTAAGTGAGCTCCCTGAGGTGCCAAGGCCATGGTGTCCGCCCTGCTGCGTCTGTTCGTCAGCTGAGTTCCTTGTGAATCTCTGTTTTAGGGTTTGGGGCTAGTGTGTTTGTGTTTCCATTCTAAGATTGAGTCTGGCAGTCCCTGTTTTTTTGCATTGGGGTAACTGCTCTTTGATTTTTTTTAATTGCAGTATTTGTGTGATTGCAATAATAAAGTTTGGTTTGGTTTTTACAGTCATGCGCAGGGACGATCCTTGTTCTCTGCTGTAAACTGTAAAAAGTTTATGGAGACTTAAAGTCTTGATGTTGTGAAGCAGAGGTTATTTTGTGGAAAGATTAAAAGGATTTTGTTGGTACCTGGTTTTGTGTTGTGTATATATACATGAGGTTGAACAGTGAAAGGAAAGTTCAGTAGTGATGTTAGAAGGGTAACTATGACAAAGATACTTTTGAGATAACATTTAAAAGTACTTTATATTTTACATAATAGCATGTTTCATTTTGATTAAAAGCTACCAAAGGAATTTTGATCATGGCATAAGTGTTTAAAGCAATATTTTCTGGAATATACCAAGTTTATATAATTTGATTTTGTGCTAAATTATTAAGAGTCTCTTTTTGAAACATGCGGGTTTGAAATATGACACCTTGTGGGTTTCCATATTAAAATCCTCACTCTTTAATTGTCATTTCTATCTTTGAAAATTTTCATTTATGAGTTCCATGATATGTGGTCTAAGAAAGACCAAACAGATTTCTATTTTTTTTTTCTTATAAGTTCGTTGTGTCTAGAGATTGTTAATATTGTAATTTAATGTAGACTTACTTTGAATAAAATTAGTTTAATTGGCCTTAAAATTACATTAATAAAACTTTGTGATATGCAAATGACACATTCTTCATAACTCTTTAGCAGCTTTGACTACTAGTGCACTAGACAGAAGTCAGAGCAGGGAGCACCTGTCCCCTCTCAAGTGATTATTCTTTCCTGGCCACCTCTACCACAAAATACCAGTGGGGCCAGGTAGTGACAAGTGGGTCTTTTTTACTTGGACGATTCGTTGTGCTGTGCCTTTGTTTCATTTGAGCACAGTGGCTCACGCCTGTAGTCCCAGCTATGGGAGGGCAAGGTGGGAGGATCGTTTGAGCCTGAGTTCCAGACCATCCTGAGCACCATAGGGAGATCCTGTTTCCATTTTAGTTTATTTATTTTTAATTGAGGTGGAGTCTTGCTCTGTTGCCCAAGCTGGAGTGCAGTGGTGCAATCTCAGCTCACTGCACCCTCCGCCTCCTGGGTTCAAGCAGTTCTCCCACCTCAGTCTCCCAAGTAGCTGGGATTACAGGCACCCGCCATCATGCCCAGCTAATATTTGTATTTTTGTAGAGACGGGGTTTCACTATGTTGGCCAGACTGGTCTTGAACTCCTAACCTCAGGTGATCTGCCCGCCTTGGCCTCCCAAAGTGCTGGGATTACAGGCGTGAGCCACCATGCCCGGCCTGCCTGTTTCTGTTTTATAAAAGAAAGGAAAATCTATTTATATCTATTCTCTTATTTAGCAATATTTAATGTTTTATTGTTAAAGGTCAGTGTGGTAAAACAAATAGTATAGAAGAAATCATTGAAAAAGAAACAGCACTTAGACAGAAATGCTGTAAAAGTGGAAAGGAGAAGGTGAAATTACTTGCAGGTTAGATGGTTGCATACCCAGGTCATCTAAGGAGCAAATGAAAATCTGTGACTGAAGAAAGAATTCACCAAGTTAACCAGACACAAAATTAACAAAAACATCAGTAGCTTTCCTATAAATATAGGCTATAATGGAGGGTCATTTTTTATTTTTATTTAGAGACAGGGTCTTAACTGTCACCTGGACTGGAGTGCAGTGGCATGATCATGTTTCACGGCAGCCTCTACCTTCTGGGCTCAAGCGATCCTCTCTTCTCAGCCACCTGAGTAGCTGGGCCTACAGGTGTACATCACCACGCCCAGATAATTTTTATTGTATTTTTTATAGAGGCAGTGTCTTGCTATGTTGCCAAGGCTGTTCTTGTACTCCTGGCCTCAAGCGAACCTCCTACCTCAGCCTCCCCAAATGCTGGGATTACAGGCATGAGACACTGCACCTGACCAGAAGTCATTTTTTCAATAGCAACCCCCAAAAAAGATAAAATACCTAGTAACAAATAGGGAAACACCTATGTGAAAGGTATTATAACATTACTAAGGAACACAGGCCCTGAATAAGTGAAAGTTCTGTTGATTCTCACATTTTGCTATACAGTATCTTAAGATGTAAAACCTTCCTTTAAAACACAAGCGGATTCTAAAGTTAAAACAGAAAAGCAAATATGCCAGACTAGTCAAATTGTTTTAAATTCTGCTGTTTTTAGAACATTGTAATTGAAACAGCATGATGCTGGCCCTTTAAAAAGATTCCTGGAACAAGAAAGTCCACAAATAAGCCAAATACACAGGAACTCGGCGTGGCACAAAGGGGCCGTGTGTGATCAGGAACTGGAACTTTGCAACAACTACCCATGCTCAGAAGTTTGGGCCACCTTGAAAAGAGAAAAGTTGGATTAGACTCCTTTTTATACTAAGGGAAGTTCCAAGTGGTCAAGTATTTACGTGTAAAAAAATACATATATATGAAACCATAATCATAAGATACTTTTTTTGTAAATTGACTATTATTGTATAAATTTATAGAGTATAAAGTGATCTTATAAATTATGCATACATTGTGGACTAGTCAAGCTAGTTACATCCATCACCTCAAATACTTAACATTTTTGTAGTGAGAACATCTGAAATTTACTCTTAGCAATTTTGAAATGTACAATACTCAATTTTTGACTGTATTCACCATGCTGTACAATAGAACTCAGAAAAAGAAAAATATAGTCCTCCTTTCTAAGATTTTTGGACCCGTTGCCCCTTTATTTGTGTTTTTCCACTAAGTGATCTAGTGAATTCACATCGATTTTTTTAAAAAAGGATTGACATTAAATGACATCTTTTAAAGTCAACATGGGGGAAAACAAGGTTAAAAAAACTGGAACCCTTGCCGGGCACCATGGCTCATCCCTGTAATCCCAGCACTTTGGGAGTCTGAGGCGGGCGGATCACGAGGTCAGGAGATCGAGACCATCCTGGCTAACACAGTGAAACCCCGTCTGTACTGAAAATACAAAAAAAAAAGCCCAACGTGGCGGCAGGCGTCTGTAGTCCCAGTTGCTGGGGAGGCTGAGGCAGGAGAATGGCGTGAACCCGGGAGGCGGAGCTTACAGTGAGCTGAGATCACGCCACTGCTCTCCAGCCTGGATGACAGAGCAAAACTCCATCTCAAAAAAAAAAAAAAACTGGAACCATCTTGGATAAAATGTACGACAAAGTACTGATGAGTTTAATGTTAACAGAACTAGAAGTCAGCAAGAAGACCAGCAACAAGCCTTCGGATAAGTGAGTTCTTCATTAGCTTTAAGAGAGTGGGAGCAGAGGAAACGGGTACCGTGAGGGCAGACCTGCTTTCAAGAACAGATGAACAGCGGCTGAGAATGACTCCAAGAGGTCGCAGGAGCAGAGCTGCATTTCAGTGGCAGGTGACTGGGCATTGTCCTGCAGCAAGGCCCTAATATCCCAGGAGAGGGCAGGATCGAGGGCACAGGGAGTGGGGGCAGGTGAGGGCTGGCCATAGGTGTGGTGCCGGGGGAGACATTGGTTGTGACGGTGACCATGGCCCTAGGCTGGAGGGTGGGGGGGTCATGTAACATGAAGATTTAGGAGGTAAGCTTGGAGGGCGCAGCTGTTGGCAATGATGGTCTGGGTGAGGACAGACGGGGAACTGGGGCCAGAGCATGGGAGACAAGACCTGATGGTCGTCCAGCAGTCAGGGACGGTGACAGGAGCCAGTGATGGAGGCCCTGAGTGCAGGACAGCCCTGAGGCCTGGAGGTGGGCCAGCCAGTGAGAAGGGCGCACCCCCGCCGGGGTGTCCAGCAGCATGGAAGGAGCATGGCCTGGAAGCAGCAATGGGCAGAAGGGAGGGCCTCGCCCCAGATGCAGCCCCAGGGGGAGGGTCACGAAGTGAGCAGCGGGCCTCTGCCCCCTCCACGGAGGCATGGGCACCCTGTGGTGGGTTTGGAAGGAGAAACCAGGCAGTGGCCAGGCCCAGGCCTTGTGCAGCAGCCCGGGAAGTTCAGGGGAAGAGGAGTGCAGGTGTTAGGACCGCCTAGTAAGAACGTTTAGGAGATGGAGGTTTTGTCAACAGACTGAATTCAGAAAGGGCTGGAGGGGGCAGAGGTGACAGTTGGGCCATGTGAGAGTGAGAGGCCCAGCAGTGATGGGGGACAGGCTGGTGGGCTCTGGTGAGGGAGGTCAGCTCGAGGGATCTGAGACATTGTGAAATGATGGTCTCTCAGGTAAATTTGTGAGGGTATATTAAATTCGAAAATGCCCACACCTTTGACCCAGTAAGTTCCTTTCACTCACGTAGAATGATTTCTAGTACTGTTCTCGCACACACAGAAAATACCTTAAATGTCCTTCAATAAGGAAACAGACCATGTGCTAAGTCCATGCATGTGTGATATTCTGACCATGCAGCTTGAACCAAGATCTAGATGTCCATTTGGAGTGAGTGTCAAGAAATACCACGTAAGAAAAGAGAGCAGTGCCGTCCTGCCACCACTGTGTGTGCGGCCCGTGTACGTGTGAATAACGACGGCTCAACTCCAGAATGGAGTTCTGGAAGGCTGCGAGCAGGTATGCGAGAATCTTTTCTATGCATATACCATTTTGTATTTTTTTAATTTTGTGTCAAAAGAATGTTTAAAAGTAATGACAAATTATTAAGAAAACAAAATGGCCCCACCCACTGTGTTGTTTCTTTACCATAAAACACAAGGAATCAGCCAACCCAAAGTAATTGCACTTCCCCGCCCGCTCTCCTCCCAACCTAATCCACTGTTGTCATCAGTTATTTTATGGGTTACCTTTGTAATTGTAATGGACATATTGAAACCCTATTCTCTCGATCCATGAATATACTCAGTTTCTCATGAAAACCTCCTGTATTGGCAGGCCAGGCACAGTGGCTCACACCTGTAATCCCAGCACTTTGGGAGGCCGAGGCGGCGGATCACGAGGTCAGAAGATCAAGACCATCCTGGCTAACACAGTGAAACCCGTCTCTACCAAACAAAAAATTAGCCAGGCGTGGTGGCGCACGCCTGTAGTCCCAGCTACTCGGGAGGCTGAGGCAGGAAAATCACTTGAACCTGGGGGGCAGAGCTTGCAGTGAGCCAAGATCGCACCACTGCACTCCAGCCTGGGCGACAGAGCGAGACTCTGTCTCAAAAAAAAGAGAAATGTAATCCTTTGTTTGTGCAGCTCAAAGAATATTCTAAGCATCAAAGACAAGCTATTTCTTTCCACATTCCATTAAAGCTGAAAATGTATGTCATGTTTTAACTTGCTTTATATTTGCACTATGGCATTTTTGTCCAGCTTTTTTTTTTCCTGGAGTTTTTAATTGCTACTGATGACCAAAAAAAAAAAAAAAAAAAGATGCCTTTTGTCTTATCACTAAGATAATTTCCTTATCACAGTTTGCATAAACCCAATTTTTTTCTTAAAACACACATTTCGGAGCTGGTCACGGTGGCTCAAGCCTGTAATCCCAACACTAGGAGGCCGAGGCAGGAGGATCATGAGGTCAGGAATTCCAGACCAGCCTGTCCAACATGGTGAAACCCCATCTCTACAAAAAATACAAAAATTAGCTGGGCGTAGTGGCTCGTACCTGTAGTCCCAGCTACTTGGGAGGCTGAGGCAGGAGAATCGCTTGAACCCAGGAGGATGAGCTTGCAGTGAGCCGAGATTGCACCATTGCACTCCAGCCTGGGTGACAGAGCGAGACTCTGTCTCAAAAAAAAAAAAAAAATCATTTATCAGAATCCTCTAATAGTGGTTTTCTTGTTGTTTTGGGGTTTTCGTGGTTTTTTTTTTTATATGGAGGCTCACTCTGTCATTCAGGCTCGGGTACAGTGGTGCAATCTCAGCTCACTGCAACCTCCGCTTCCCAGGTTCAAGTGATTCTCCTGCCTTAGCCTCTGGAGTAGCTGAGATTACAGGTGTGTGCAACCACACCTGGCTAATTTTTGTATTTTTAGTAGAGACAGGGTTTCACTGTTGTCCAGGCTGGTCTCAAACTCCTGACCTCAAGTGATCTGCACGCCTCAGCCTCCCAAAGTGACAGGATTACAGCTGTAAGCCACGGCACCTGGCCCTCGGATAAGTAGTTTGGTTTTGGTTTTGAGACGGGAGTGCAGTGGCGCAATCTCGGCTCACTGCAACCTCAGCCTCCTGGGTTCAAGCAATTCTCCTGCCTCAGCCTCCTGAGAAGCTGGGATTACAAGCGTGTGCCACCACGCCTGGCTAATTTTTTTTGTATTTTTAGTAGAGATGGGGTTTCACCATATTGGTCAGGCTGGTTTCAAACTCCTGACCTTGTGATCCGCCTGCCGTGGCCTCCAAAAGTACTGGGATTACAGGCGTGAGCCACCGCGCCTGGCCTAATAGTTTTTTAAATTGAACTATGGGCCAGGCATGGTGGCTAACACCTATAATCCCAGTACTTTGGGAGGCTGAGGTGGAAGGATTGCTGGAGGCCAGGAGTTTGAGACCAGCCTGGATAACAGACCTCAGCTCTACAAAAAAATTTAACAATTAGCCAGGCATGCTGGTGCTTGCCTGTAGTCCCAGCTTCTCAGGAGGCTGAGGTGGCAGGATCACTTGAGCCTGTGAAGTTGAGGCTGCAGTGAGCTATGATCGCACCACTGCACTCCAGCCTGGGCGACAGAGTGAGACCCTGTCTCAAAAAATAAATTAATAAATAAAAATAATATAAATAATACAATGAATCAGCTGGGCGCAGTGGCTCACGCCTGTAATCCCAGCACTTTGGGAGGCCGAGGCAGGCGGATCATGAGGTCAGGAGATTGAGACCATCCTGGCTAACATAGTTAAACCCCATCTCTACTAAAAATACAAATAATAATAATAATACAATGAATCATTTGCCTCTTTTTTTTTAAGAGACGAGGTCTCACTGTGTTTCCCAGGCCAGAGTAGAGTGCCCTGGCCATTCCCAGGCACAATTCGATGCACCCCTACTTCCGGCCACATCATTTGGCTTTTGAGCCCCTGCATAGCTGTGATCCTGGAACCCATTTTCTCTGCATTCCTGTGTAGTTCCACTCCTTGGATCTCAGTCTTCTCTTTTTCTTGTCTTCTGGTTTTATTAAGTAGATTCTTTTTTTTTTTTTTTTTTTGAGACAGTCTCACTCTGTTGCCCAGGCTGGAGAGTGCAGTGGCACGATCTCAGCTCACTACAATCTCTGCTTCTTGGGTTCAAGCGATTCTCCTGCCTCAGCTTCCCAAGTAACTGGGATTACAGGTACACCACCACGCCCAGCTAATTTTTGTATTTTCAGTAGACATGGGGTGTTGCCATTTAGCCAGGCTGGTCTCAAACTCCTAACCTGCCTCAGCCTCCTGAGTAGCTGGGATTACAGGCACACGCCACCACGCCCAGCTAATTTTTGTATTTTCAGTAGAGAAAAAGCCAGGCTGGTCTCGAACTTCTGACCTCAGGTGATCCACCCACCTCGGCCTCCCAAAGTGCTGATTATAGGCGTGAGCCACTGTGCCGGGCCTCATTAGGTAGATTCTTAAATGATCTTCTCAGAAAGAATGCCTGGGAGACAAATTTCCTGAATCCTGGCTGGACTGTTTTTATTTTACACTTGTGTTTGATTGTTGGTCTACATAAAAACTCTAGGCTCAAAATCACTTTCCCTCAGAACTTTGAAGGGATTGCACTGCCATAGTCTTCTATTTTCTAGCTCTAAAGTCTGATGCCATTTTGTTAACTAACCTGTAGTTCTTTCATGTCACTTTTGGAATCTTCTGTTCCTGGACTTTTGGTATCTCACAAGAGTGTCTCGGTGTGTGTCCACTTTCATTTGGCCTCTGCCAGCCACCCACTGAGCCTTCAGACTGGAAGACTCCGGACTTCTGTTCCAGGAAGTGTTCTTTTTTGACATTCTACATTGCCTCTTCCCCTTCAACTTCTTTGCTGTCACTTTCCTTAGCACTAATCTTTCTAAGTAAACCAACTGGAAGGTCTAATGAGAAGAAGGGCTGGCCTCACCCCTCCCCACTCATAGTTCACTGTCCATCTTTGTTTCTGGTTAGCTTTTCTCTTGGTGGCCTCTATTATCAGATTATTGTTTCTTGGTTTTCTTTTTAATAAAAGATTGTTTTATGTTTTTATATTATTTCTTATTTTTCTTTTTAATAAAAAATTGTTTTTATTTTATTTCTAGAATATCTTCTTGAACCTCAAACTGTCCTCAATGGGTTAGCAGGAATTACACGCCGGGTTCTGGGCAGAAATGGAGTCATAACTAAGCATGAATCAGGCTGCACTTTGGCCCACTTCCTTGTAACTGGAAGTCTTGTAGCCCTGGATACTGATCATTTGCACCCCCATTATTCTCATAGATAGGACCACTGACGTTAGAACCATAAGGCTTTAAACATTGCTTAATATGTTTTTCAGATCCTCAATTCCAGCAGAACAGCTGACATCAACCAGTCAAAGGCTCCCACAGGGCGCTGAGGCGGCATGAGAATGCAGGTTCTTCATCCCCCCATCCCATGATTTTAGCCTGCACTCTTCAACCCATCAGCAACTCCCACACCTCGGCCACTCCGAAACCCTTAAAATCCCCAGCCCCAAACTCCTCTGAGAGGCGCGTTCAAGGCTTCCTCTGTCTCTTGTTCAGTTCCCCTCTGGGTGTTAAGCTCCGTCTCTGCTGCAATCCCCAGTGTCTCAGTGTACTGACTTCCTGCACATCAGGCAAATGATGTTAGGATTAAAATTACACACCAGTGGGGCGCGGTGGCTCAAGCCTATAATCCCAGCCCTTTGGGAGGCCAAGGTGGGCAGATTGTTTGAGCCTAGGAGCTCAAGACCAGCCTGGGCAACATAGTGAAAACCCATCTCTACAAAAAAATATAAAAATTAGCCAGGTGTGGTGGCACATGCCTATACTCCTGGCTGCTCAGAAGGCAGAGGTGGGAGGATTGCTTGAGCCCAGGAAGTCAAGGCTGCAGTGAGCCATGATGGCACCACTGCACTCCAGCCTGGGCAACAGCGCTAGATGCCGTCAAGAAAAAAATTGAACTAGTGCCTCAGAGAGTTGTCAATTTTTTTTCTTTAAGACAGGTCTCAAGCTCAAGCACGTGTGTTGTGATCTGGGCCCCCATTCGTCAGGCTTCTGAAGTCGTGTTTTTAGGCACAAGCCTGTCCCCAAGTCTATAGCATCTGGTGCACAGTGCTCAGTAAACACTGAGGAGTGAATGAAGCAGGGCCAGTGGAAGGAACAAAGACCAGCAAGATAAGAATGGGGAGAAGTACGAGTGTGACAGAACAAAAGAAGGGAGTTTTAAGGTATGGTGAGAATCAGAAACAGACCATCACGGTGGCATCTCGGGCCATTCAGTTTGTGTGCTGGGCCCGACGGGTAGTGGGTGCGGCGAGATGTAGCTGGAGGCAAGGCAGAGGCCAGGGAGAGCTGCTCTCGGGTAATGAGAATTGAGCAAGCATCAAACTGAGCAAGCAAGAGAGAAAAGGGGAGAATCTGAGCATACGGAAAGGAGAAATAACTGCGGGCAGGTTTCCCAAACAGCAGGGGAAACCACATCCCCGCGCAGCGTGCTCCTCCCAGGGAACAGAACAGGGAAACCACATCCCCGCGCAGTGTGCTCCCCCGGCAGAGGTCCTAAGGAAGCCGAGGGGCGGACAGCCGAGCAGAGGTAAGGCTTTCTGTGGTCCGTGATGGAGGAACCAAGGCCAACTGCAGCACAAGTTGAGGGAGCATTGTACTGAGAAGTGGACGCCTGCCAGGAGTCCACTCTTCACAGAATGAACAGCACCTTCAAGGCACTGGGATCAGCAGAGAAGCTTTAACACTGGCCAGGTCCCCCCTCTGCCAGGTCCTCCATCTGTCACTCTCCAGGTGCCCCTGAGCAAATTCCTGCAATTCTTTAAACCTTGGTTTTCTTATAAGTGGAGATAATAATCCTACTTACCTCATGGGGTGGTTCCAAGTGAACACACACAAAGCTGCTTAGGACACGTACTACACACCAGCAAAGAGGAATGAGTCACAGTCACGCACAAGCACAGTGCCTCTTCATCAGGAAAACCCAGTTCCATACAAATCTAAGTGGCTTATCTTCAGAAACATTAGTGAAGAGCTGAAGCAAACACTGTCAGCTGGGAAGTCTGTATTCAGTGAACATACATTTCTGAATGGAGGCAAAGTATGCCTTTTCAGACAGAGACCTCTAGTAGGAGAAGTGCAGGAGGAAGGAGCTTCAGCTGCTGGAAAGCAAAGCCAGATAGAAGCCAGGGTCTGCCGAAGGCCTGGGGAGCGCCCGCACTTGCAAGCATTTGGGTAGACACTCACACAAATTAGCTACACAATCATTATTTTCTTTAAAAACAACTGTTGAAAGCAAAAATAATATATGTTGGCATTAATACCATATGTAGAAGTAAAACGAATGACACGACACAAAGAATGGGGAAAGAAATGGTCTGGTGAGTGTGATGAGCTAGAGATGCGTGTGACAGCCCTGGGGGAAAGGGGAGATGGTCTAGTGAGTGTGATGAGCCAGAGATGTGTGTGACAGCCCTGGGGGAAAGGGGAGATGGTCTAGTGAGTGTGATGAGCCAGAGATGTGTGTGGTAACCCTGGGGCAGCCACTAACAATACCAGAGAGAGAGGCAAAGAGAGAAAGAACAAGCCAACAGAGGAGACAAAGTATAATTTGAAAGAACACTCAATCCAAAGTGTTGACAAAGAGTCAAACTGTGAAATATTTGAAGAGATTTATTCTGAGCCAAGTATGAGTGACCAATGGCTCATGACGCAGCCTCAGGAGGTCCTGAGAACATGTGCCCAGGGTGGTCAGGACACAGACTAATTTATTTTTAGGGAGACATGAGACATCAATCAAATACATGTAAGATGTACGTTAGTTTGGTCTGGAACAGGGGCTGTGGGAGGCTTCCAGGTTATAGGTAGATCTAAAATGTTTCTGATTGGCAATTGGTTGAAAGAGTTATTATCTAAAGACCTGGAATCAACAGAAAGGAATGTCTGGGTTATAATAAGGGGCTGTGGAGACCAAACTTTCACCATGCAGATGCAGCCTCCAGGTGGCAGGCTTCAGAGGGAACAGATTCTCATGAGGCTTAAAGAGTCTGTTCTATCAATAATTCCAAAAGGCGGTATCATGAGTCATGTCTGACCCCTGCCCCCATCATGGCCGGAGCCAGCCCTTCAGGTTAGCCTTGGAAATGCCCTCCCTGATACAGCGGTCCATTCAGATGGTCTGAGGGGGCTTTGAATTTTATGTTTGTTTTACAAAAGGCAGACAGGAAATTCTTTTTTTTTTTTTTTTTCAGATGGAGTCTTGCTCTGCCACCAGTCTGGAGTGCAGTCATGTGATCTTGGCTCACTGCAGCCTCTGTCTCCTGGGTTCAAGCAATTCTCCTGCCTCAGCATCCCGAGTAGCTGGGCTACAGGTACCCGCCATCATGCCCAGCTAATTTTTATATTTTTAGTAGAGACAGCGTTTCAACATGTTGGCCAGGCTTGTCTCGAACTCTTGACCTCGTGATCTGCCTGCCTCTGCCTCCCAAATTGCTGGGATTACAGGCGTGAGCCACCGCGCCTGGCCTGGAAATTCACTTTTAAAAGGGAATAAAGAACGGATAGGACAAATGGAAATGGAAAGAGGGTGGACTTGAACCTGACCATCTCATTAATTTATTGGTAACAATGACATAAACAACACTCCAGTTAAATGCCAAAGATTTTCAAGCTGTATAGAAAATTAAGACCAAAGTATATGCTGTCTACTACAAAGGCACTGTTATTTCAAGAGAGAGGATCTCACTGTGTCACCCAGGCTGGAGTGCAGTGGCACAATCACGGCTCACTGCAGCTTCAATCTGCCAGGCTCCAGCAATCCTCCCACCTCAGCCTTCTGAGTAGCAAGTGTGCGCCACCACAACTGGCCAATTGTTTATATTTTGTAGAGATGACATCTCACTGTGTTGCCCAGCCTGGTCTCAAATTCCTGGGCTCAAGTGGATCCTCTGCCTCAGCCTCCAGAACTGCTGGGACGACAGGCGTGCGTCACCATGCCCAGCCCAGAGAGTCATTTTAATAAAGACACAGATGAGTTAAAGGATGAAGAAAGACCACGAGACGCACGCAGCTGGCATTGTCTTCTCTGTACAACTGTTACAGCAGTTTCCAGAGCCTACTCTCTCCTGGGCACAAGGGCATTTCTTAAGGAAAGACTCCTTGCACCAGCTGCAGAAGGGGCAACAGGTCCCAAACAAGCAGATCACTGTGGGCGTGTTGGAGAAGCTGGTGAGGCGCGTGCTCTCTGCCTCTGGGAAGGTCTCTGATGAGCTTGCTCTTGTGCGTGCTACGGAAGATCAGTGTAAAGGTGGCATGGTGGATCTGCAGATGGCAGCTTATTTCTTCAGACACCTAAAATTATGGCAGATAAAGATGACTCTGTGACCACTGGGCTCGCACCTGTAATCCCAGCACTTTGGGAGGCCAAAATGGGAGGATCACAAGGTCAGGAGTTCGAGACCAGCCTGGCCAATATGGTGAAACCCCATCTCTACTAAAAATACAAAAAAAATTAGCCAGGTGTTGTGGCGCATTCCTGTAATCCCAGCTACTCAGGAGGCTGAGGCAGGAGAATTGCTTGAACCCAGGAGGCAGAGGTTGCAGTGAGCCGAGATCACGCCACTGCACTCCAGCCTGGGCAACAGAGCGAGACTACGTCTAAAAACAAAAGAGTGAGACAGTCATCTCAACCTGGTACAGAGAGAGCTTGGTTGCATCATAATTGAGGTTTCCAATGCAGTGCACATTCTTACATATGTTGGATTACCCAAGCACTGTGTGATTGGAAGTGGGTGTGATCTGGATTCTGCCACGGATGGATTTGGGGAGAACACAGTGACTCAAGTGTGGCTGTGTGGAGTAGTGTGAACGTGGCAGGTGTTTCTCTCCAGGAATTGAATCCAGAAATGGGAACTAATGATGATCAGGAAACTTGGAAGGAAGTGTATAAGATAGTGGTTGAAAGTGCCTGTGGTCATCAAGCTAAAAGGATATACCGACTGGGCTCCTGGGTGAAGTGTAGCTGATCTTATTGAATCCACGTTGAAAAATCTGTCCAGGGCTCACCCAGTATCAACAATAGTGAAGGGGATGCAGGGCACCAAGAATGAAGCCCTCTGGAGCCTCCCATGTACCCTCACTGCTCAGGGATTAAACAGTGTTACCAACCACAGCTAAGGGATAATGAGGTTGTTCTGCTCAAGAAAAGTGCAGATACCCCGTGGGACATCCAAAAGGACCTCAAAGACCTGTGACTCCTAAGCTGTAGAAATTTAAAACCACAGTGAGATGAACCCTGAGCCTTCAGTGTTCATCCATATACATGCATCACCGTTTGCTTTTATCTTCTTCAGTATGTGAATTTGGGCTCACAGAATCAAATCCCATGCTTGATTTCATGCTTGCAATCGAGTCCTTGAACAAATACAATGAACCAAATGAACCATGGTAGCATGCTTCTTAACAAAAAGAAGAGAAGGCTGGGCGCGGTGGCTCACGCCTGCAGTCCCAGCACTTTGGGAGGCCGAGGCGGGCAGATTGCTTGAGCTCATGAGTATGAGACCAGCCTGGACAACATGGCAAGACCCCATCTCTACAAAAAAATACAAGAATTAGCCAGGCATGGTGGTGCATACCTATAGTCCCAGCTACCTGGGAGGCTGAGGTAGGAGGATGGCTTGACCTGGAGACAGAGATTGATTGCTGTGAGCCAAGATCACGCCACTGCACTCCAGCCCGGGCAAGATAGAGCCTTTTTTTTTTCTTGAGATGGAATCTTGCTCTGTTGCCCAGGCTGGAGTGCAGTAGTGCGATCTTGGCCCACTGCAGCTCCCGCCTCCAGGGTTCAAGCAATTCTCCTGCCTCAGCCTCCCAAGTAGCTGGGATTACAAGTGCCCGCCACCCACCACACCTGGCTAATTTTTGTATTTTTAGTAGAGATGGGATTTGGGCAGGCTGGTCTCGAACTTCTGACCTGAAGTGATCCACCCATCTCAGCCTCCCAAAATGCTGGGATTACAGGCGTGAGCCACGGCACCCGGCTGAGACCTTGTCTAAAGAAGAAAGAAGATGAAGAAAGACATACCATGAAGACGAATGCGAAAGATAAGAGTGGCTACATTCAGATCGAAGTAGACTTCAGGACAAGGAATCTCACCAGAGATAAGAGGTACCTTTCATAACGGTAAAACACCGACGTTCATCCCAAGACTTAACCCTAACTGGGCAGGCCTCTATTCACAGACCTCAAAATATGTAAAGCAAAAGCTGATGGGCAGACAAGAGCAACAGGAAACAGGCCTACCCATGGGTACAGCAGGAGTGCTGACCCTCTTCTTTCAGTAACTGAGAGGAGATAGCAGAAAATCAAGAGGGATAGAAAAGACTTGAAAAACACTCTTTGCTAATTGGAGCCAGTTGAGAGTCGTGTATCAGTACACTCAACAATGACAGTCGTGTAGCATTACACCCAACAACAGTCACATAGCATTACACCCAACAATGACAGTCACATAGAATTACACCCAACGATGACAGTCACGTAGCATTACACCCAACGACGACAGTCAGCATTACACCCAGCAACAACAGTCACATAGCATACACCCAACAATGACAGTCACATAGAATTACACCCAACAACAGTCATGTAGCATACACCCAACAACGACAGTCACGTAGAATTACACCCGACGGTCACATAGCATTACACCCAACGACAGTCACGTAGCATTATACCCAACAACGACAGTCATGTAGAATTACACCCAACAATGACAGTCACGTAGAATTACACCCAACGACGGTCACATAGCATTACACCCAACGACAGTCACGTAGCATTACACCCAACAACGGCAGTCACATAGAATTACACCCAACAATGACAGTCAGGTAGCATTACACCCAACAACAGCCGCACACACCAGGATGAGCACGGGTGGCTCATGAAACAAGGGTTAATATATTTAAAGGATTAAAATTATACAGAATGCATCCTCTGACCACAATGAGGTTAGATATCTAACAGAAAGATAACTAAATAACTAAACGGTTAGAAATTCAGCATAGGCTGGGTGCAGTGGCTCATGCCTGTAATCCTAGCACTTTGGGAGGCCAAGGCAGGTGGATCACAAAGTCAGGAGTTCAAGACCACCCTGGCCAAGATGGTGAAACCCCATCTCTACTAAAAATACAAAAAATTAGCTGGGCATGGTGGCGCGTGCCTGTAGTCCCAACTACTCAGGAGGCTGAGGCAGGAGAATCACTTGAACCCGGGAGGCGAAGGTTGCAGTGAGCCAAGATCGTGCCACTGCACTGCAGCCTGGGTGACAGAGTGAGACTCCGTCTCAAAAAAAAAAAAAAAAAAAAAAAAATTAAGCAATATATTTTTGAATAAATCTAATATAAAGAGAAAATTCTAAATAAATAACACACTTGTAAATCAGTAATCCACGAGTCAAAGAAAAATCACAAAGAACATTAGAAAATGTTTTGAATTTGATGAGTATGAAAATAATTGACCAAAAATTTGTCCGATGCACTAGAGCGTGTTTAGAGAGACATTTGTGGATTCAGATGGTTATATGATGCTGTAGACTAGTGTGTACCCCCAAAACTTGTGTGTGGAAATCCTCACCCCCAAGGTGATGGTATCAGGAGGTAGGGCCTTTGGGACGTGACGAGGTCGTGCAGGTGGAATCTGTGAATGGGATTCCTGCCCTTTTAAGAGCCCAGAGAAGTAGCCAGTCCCTTCCGCCATGCGAGGACACAGCAAGAAGGCACCATCAAAGATCCAGAAAGCAGCCCTCACCAAACAATGAGTCTGCCAGCGCCTCAATCTTGGGCTTCCCAGCCTCCAGAGCTGTGGGAAATAAATTTCCAGTGTTTATGAGTCACCCAATGTACAGTATTTTGTTATAGCAGCCAAAATGATCTAACACAACTGAAAACTACAAAACATGGTTGAAAAAAAAGTTGAAGACTAAAATAAATAGAGATGTATACCACATTATTGTCAAACCCAATATTAAGATGTCAGTCTCCTCCAAATTGATAATAGATTCAATCCAGAGCCCAGCAAAATTCTGGCTTTCTTTATAGAAAAATGACAAGCTGATTCTAAAATGTATATGGAAGTGCAAATAGTCAAAACAAATTTTAAAAGAACAAAGTTGGAAGACTTACTCTACCTAATACCAAAGACTTACTATAAATCAAGACATTGTGATATTAGCAAAAGGGGAGACATAGAGATCAACTGAGTTACACAGAGAGAATAAAACTTCATCCACTTACATCAGGTCAAGTTATTTTCAACAACGATGCCAGGCCAGGTACAGCGGCTCACACCTGTAATACCAGTACTTTGGGAGGCCGAGGCAGGTGGATCACTTGAGCTCAGGAATTCAAGACCAGCCTGGGCAACATGGTGAAACCCCATCTTTGCTAAAAATACAAATATTATCTGAGTGTGGTGGCACGCACCCGTAGTCCCAGCTACTCGGGAGGCCGAGGTGGGAGAATCACCCGCCCTGGGAAGTCGAGGCTGCAGTGAGCAGTGATGGCACCACTGCACTCCAGCCTGGGTCATGAGAGTGAGATCCTGTCTCAAAAAAGCAAAAACCAAATAAACAAAAAAATAAAGATGCCGAGGCAATTTTGACGAAAAAGCCAAACTTGTAAAATATTGAAAGAGGTTTACCCTTGAGCCCAGGAGTTTGAGGCTGCATGAGCCTATGATTGTGCCACTGCACTCCAGCCTGGGGGACAGAGCAAGATCCCATCTCAAAAAAAAAAAAAAGAAAAGAAAGAAAGAGAAAGACAGCAAGAAAGAAAGAAAAGAGAGAGAGAAAGAAAGAGAAAGAAAGAAAAGAGAAAGAAAAGAAAGAAAAAGAAAGAAAGAAAGAAAGAAAGAAAGAAAGAAAGAAAGAAAGAAAGAAAGAAAGAAAGAAAGAAAGAGGTTTATTCTGAGCCAATACAAGTGACCATGGCCCAGGGAACAGTTTCAGGAGGTCCTGAGAATGCACGTGAGGTGGCTGGGTTCCAGTTTGGTTTTACACATTTTAGGGAGGCAGAAGTTGTGGGCAAAGGCGTAAACGGATGCAGGTTAGTATACTTTGGTTTGCCTGGAAAGGCAGAGCATCTTGAAGTGAAGGTTGGAAGGGGCTTACAGGTCATGGATGGAGTCAAAGATTTTCTGATTGGCAACTGGTTGAAAGAATTAAAGACTTGAGGTCAGTAGAAAGAAATGCTTGAGATAGGATAAGGGGGTGTTGGGCTGGACGGGGTGGCTCATGCCTGGAGTCCCAGCACTTTGGGAGGCCAAGGCGGGTGGATTCGTTTGAGCCCAGGAGTTTGAGACCAGCCTGGGCAACACAGTGGATCTTGTCTCTGCAAAAAAACTCAGAAAATTTGCTGGGCGTGGTGGCACATTCCTGTAGTCCCGGCTACTCAGGAGGCTGAGGCAGGAGGATCACTTGAGCCTGGGAGGTCAAGGCCACAGTGAGCCCTGATTGTGCCACTGCCCTCCAGCCTGGGTGACAGAGCAAGACCCTGTCTCAAAATAAAATAAAATACATTAAAAAAACTGAAAGCTTGCTCTTTGATAGATACCATTAAGAAAACAAAAAGGTGGCTGGGCACGGTGGCTCACGCCTGTAATTCCAGCACTTTGGGGGGCTGAGACAGGCAGATCACGAGGTCAACAGATTGAGACCATCCTGGCTAACACGGTGAAACCGTGTCCCCACTAAAAATACAACAACAAAAAAAATTAGCCAGGCGTGGTGGCAGGTGCCTGTGGTCCCAGCTACTCGGGAGGCTGAGGCAGGAGAATGGCATGAACCCGGGAGGCAGAGCTTGCAGTGAGCCAGGATCGTGCCGCTGCATTCCAGCCTGACAGAGCAAGACTCTGTCTCAAAAAAAAAAAAAAAAAAAAAAAAAAGGCAAGGCATAGAATGGGAGAAAATATTTACAATACATAGCGCTGACAAAGGATCTGTGTCCAAAATATGTAAAGAACACTCAGAATTCAACAATAAGAAAATAAACCATTCTTAAAAATATGCCAAACATTCTATAAATAGACACTTCACTGAAAAAGATACAAATGGATATCAGACACATGAAAGGACCCTCCATGCCATTAGTTGTCAGTAAAATGCAAATGACAATCACGAGACACTATTACAAAGCTATTATAATTTTTTTAATTAAAAAGACAAATTGGGAGTGGTGGTGCACACCTGTAATCCCAGCTATTTGAGAGGCTGAGGTGGCAGGATCGCTTGAGGCCAGGACTTGAGAGCAACCTGGGCAACATAGCAAGACTCTGTTGCAAAAGACAAAAAAGAAAAAGAAAAAATTAGAAAAAAAGACTGACAATACCAAGTTTTGGCAGAGATGTGGAGACGCTGTTGTGGGGAACATGCAATGGTGCACCCACTTTGGAGAAACAGGTAGCAGTTTCTCCGGAAGCTAAACACGCACCTATCACACGCCCCAGCCATTCCACTCCCAGGTATTTACTGAAGGGAAAGCACGGATCCACAAAAGACCTGCACACAAACATTCACGGCAGCTTTATTTGTAACTACCAAAACAATGGAAACAACAACCCAAATGTCCTTCAACAGGTGCATGAGCAGACGATTATGGTAGAGCCAAACAACGGGATGTGCCTTCGCACTAAAAAGGGTGAAGGCATGCTGCATACAGCAACATGCGCAAGCCTCAAAAACATCACCCAAAGAGAAAGAACCTAGACACAACGAAGTACACACTCTGTGCTTCCAACAAAGTGAAATGCTGTGATACAAAACTCATCTCTTGTGACAAAGCAGACCCGTGGCCGTGTGGGTTTAGGGGTCGGGTGAACCGCAGAGGCCATGCGGGAGCCCTCTGGATTGAAGAAAATGTTTCCTATCTTGATTGGGGTGGTGGTTTCATGGGTATACATACTTGTAAAAATTCTTCAAACTGAGCACCTAAAATGGGTTTATTTTATGTAAACTAACCTCAATGAAGTTGATTTTAAAAGTTAAAAGAGGCCAGGTGCAGTGGCTCACGCCTGTAATGTCAGCACTTTGGGAGGCAGAGGCAGGCAGACCACTTGAGGCCAGGAGTTCAAGACCAGCCTGTCCAACATGCCGAAACCTCATCTCTACTAAAAATACAAAATTAGCCTAGCTTGGTGGCACATGCCTGTAATCCCAGCTACTTGGGAGGCTGAGGCAGAAGAAACACTTGAACCTGGAAGGCGGAGGTTGCAGTGAGCCAAGATCATGCCTCTACACTCTAGCCTGGGCAACAGAGCAAGACTTTCTCAAAATAAAATAAAAATTAAAAGAAAAAATGGAAAATGAACGAGGCATTTTTACCTAGCTCTACTTAGATAAACTAATAGTTCCTCATTGAGGATCTTTTTCAAAGTCAGTGCCATGGTCATCGTGATCTTTCTTAATGGTCTTGTCTGGATCCTAAAGTTTTCTTCTTATGAAACAGAAACAGACAATGGCTAGATTAACTGATGACTGATGCCTCCAGGTAGCCTTCCTAACAGATACCACCTGGAGACCACAGATGGACATGTGTCTGCAGGTCTTTCGTCACACCCTTCCTCTCATCACCATCTCCTCAGGCATGACGTGAACACGGTTCTGACATGTCTGTCCCGTGATGCTCAGTTCTGCTGCATGGCAACAGTAACATAGAGCCTTTTTTTTCTTTTTTTTTATTTTTATTTTTTTTTTGAGACAGTCTCGCTCTGTCGCTAGGCTGGAATGCAGTGGTGCGATCTCAGCTCACTGCAACCTCCACCTCCCAGGTTCAAGTGATTCGCCTACCTCAGCCTGCCGAGTAGCTGGTATTACAGGTGACTGCCACCACACCCAGCTAATATTTGTATTTTTAATAGAGACGGGGTTTCACCATGTTGGCCAGGCTGGTCTCGATCTCCTGACCTCGTGATCCACCCTCCTCGGCCTCCCAAAGTGCTGGGATTACAGGCATGAGAAAACGCGCCGGGCCTCACAGAGCCATTTTTAAATCCCCCTTTGAGGTTAGTCATGAGTTCAGATGGAGAAGTGGCTTCATGTGGATTTCAGTTCCCATTCTGTGTTTTTCATTATTAGGAATAGGCTCTGGTTAGCAGGATTTCATTCTTAAATAAAAATAGGCTCTAATTAAGCACACCTTGGATCCCAGGGCTCTCAGGAGACAGCATTCCAGTGAGTCTGTAATGGGCACATGAGCATTATTGCAGTTACCGAATTTCTCTTGCTGCAAATGACTTTGAACTATTTTTTTTAAACCCACTTTCGAAGAAGGTAAAAGTTTTGGTTCTTTTTTGTGAGAGGGTTCCGTTTCATAACCTTCTAAAAACAAGACTACCATGGTTTAAGTACTTCAAGGAAATTGGTAAACCTTGCCCATTTTAAGAGGCTTAAGTCACGGCACCTAACACTCAGGACAGTATTAAGGCCTTCTCATGAGCAGCTCCTGGAAAGCAACTCAGACACAGAAGCCGAAAGGCTGACACCCTCTGACCCAGCCATTCTCCAAGGAGTCTCTCAAAAGGAAACTATCCAAGATGAACCAACACATAGGTATAAAAGATGCTCCCAAAGGCATTATTTTTTTTTAAATTTTATTATTATTATTTTTTGAGATGGAGTCTCACTCTGTTGTCCAGACTGGAGTGCAGTGGCACCATCTTGGCTCACTGCAACCTCCGCCTGCCAGATTCAAGCAATTCTCCTGCCTCAGCCTCCCAAGTAGGTGGGACTACAGGTGCCCACCACCATGCCTGGCTAATTTTTGTGTTTTTAGTAGAGACAGGATTTCACTATATATTGGCTAGGCTGGTCTCGAACTCCTGACCTTGTAATCTGCCCACCTCGACCTCCCAAAGTGCTGGGATTACAAGTGTGAGCCACGATGCCCGGTCCATTTTATTATTTTTGAGACAAGGTGTTGCTCTGTTGCTCAGGCTGGAGTTCAGTTGTACAATCACAGCTCACTGCAGCCTTGACCTCCCGGGTTCAAGCAATCCTCCCACCTCAATTTCCCAAGTAGCTGAGATCACAAGCATGCACCATCACACTCAGCTAATTTTTGTATTTTTTGTAGAGATGGGGTCTCCCTATGTTGCCCAGGCTAATCTCAAACTCCTGGAATCAAGCAATCCTCCCACGTCGGCCTCCCAAAGTGCGGGGATTATAGGCGTGAGCCACTCTGCCTGGCCCCAAAGGCATTATTTTAAACAGAAAAAAGTAATCTAAATTCCCATAGAAGGGGCTCATTTACAAAATTATCACATCATGGGAGTTTTGCTTCTTTTTTCTGCTTATTAGCATATATTTTACTTTAACACTTCCTGTTTTGCATTTTTCTGACATGTCATTTGTTAACTCTAATTGTACACTGATCAGCATGATCAGTCGCCCTCTCATTCATTAACCCTAACCATACACTGATCAGCAAGATCTTTGCCTCTCCTTGGTTAACCCTAACCGTACACTCATCAGCACGATCGTTGCCTCTCCTTGGTTAACCCTAACCGTACACTCATCAGCACGATCGTTGCCTCTCCTTGGTTAACCCTAACCGTACACTCATCAGCACGATCGTTGCCTCTCCTTGGTTAACCCTAACCGTACACTCATCAGCACGATCCATTGCCTCTCATTGGTTAACCCTAACCGTACACCCATCAGCATGATCAGTTGCCTCTCCTGTCATTAATGGACCAACAGGAAATGCTGCTGAGGTAAGTGTGCACGAGCACGGTAAAGAAGTGAAAATCAAGGACCCCAGTGACGAGTGACAGACAGGAGCTTCAAGCTCAGGTCCGCCTGGTGCCAAAGCCCACATTCTGAGTAGCCTCAACAGAGCTCAGCTCTGATGCAACCCCAGGGAGAATGGAAGGCTCGAGGGAGGAAGACCCCTGGCAACCTGTCCTCCCCCCAGGTCCAGTGCTAGAAATTCTGATCACCACAACAATAGTCTCTTCCGATATGGGACAATTTGCTGATTCTTGGGAAAAGAAAACAATCACGGATAGGGAGAGATTTGCTAAAGGATACAAAATTACAGAAGAAACAAGTTCCAGCGTTCTACAGCACTGGACAGGGACTACAGTACTGGACAGGGACTACAGTTTCAAATAGCTAGAGGGAGGATGCAGAATGACCCCAATACCAAGAAATGATGTTTGATTTGACAGAAGTGTTAATTACCTTGATCTCATCACTACACGTTATATGGATCCAAACATCACTACGTACTCCATAAACGTGCAATTATTATATGTCAATTAAAAAATAAAATAAGGCAGTGCTCATGCCTGTAATCCCAGCACTTTGGGAGACTGAGGCAGGAAGATGGCTTGAGAGCCGGGCGTGGTGGCTCACGCCTGTAATCCCAGCACTTCGGGAGGCTGAGGCGGGCAGATAACGAGGTCAGGAGTTCGAGACCAATCTGGCCAACATAGTGAAACCCTGTCTCTACAAAAAATACAAAAAATTAGCCAGGCGTGGTGGCGGGCGCCTATAATCCCAGCTACTCGGGAGGCTGAGGCAGGAGAATTGTGTGAACCCGGGAGGCGGAGGTTGCAGTGAGCTCAGATTGTGTCACTGCACTCCAGCCTGGGCAACAGAATGAGACTCCTTCTCAAAAATAAATAAATAAATAATAAAAATAAAAACAAATAAAAATACAAAAATCAGCTGGGCATGGTGGCAGGTGCCTGTAATCCCAGCTACTCGGGAGGCTGAGGCAGGAGAATTGCTTGAACCCAGGAGGCGGAAGTTGCAGTGAGCCAAGATTGTGCCACCGCACTCCAGCCTGGGTGACAGAGTGAGACTCCAGAGTGAGACTCCTTCTCAAAAATAAATAAATAAATAAGTAACTTAAGCTAGACTTGGACAAATTTAAGTGCCCTTGGGTAAGAAGGTGCAACACCACAAAGATGTCAACCTCCCTCAGTGAACTTGTACATGCAACGTGATCCAGTGAAAACGCCATTGGCTATAGACATAAGAGTGGCAGAAGCCTGATACCTTCATCCAGTCCCATGTTAACTCCTTACAGAACCATGGTGCACCCATCAAAAACAAAAGATGAATTTTGGTGCACTGCCATTAGCTAAAGTACAAAGCTCATTTGAATGTTACCAATTTTTGACAAATGCCCTATCTCTATTCTAGCAGCTGGTCCAGGGTCCCACGCTGCATTGGTCCTCATGTCTCCTTGGTGTCTTTGTCTGTGACAGTTCATTTTTCTTTCACAGTCTGTCATGACCTTGAGGTTTTGAGGAGTACTGGTCAGGTACCTGGTAGACCTGCCTTCCATCTGCGCTGGTCTGTTTTCTGAAGGCCAGCACCAAGGGGGCTGGGCATGTACAGCGGCCTGTCAGGAGGCACATGGTGCCAGCAGATCCTGCCACAGGGGATACCAGCCTCCATCAGCAGACTCAGCTCGTGGCAGCCGGGAGGCTTCAAGGCGATGCAAATACGTTTCTCCTTAAACATTCCTGTTCAGGTCTGCCAGTGGACACAGCCTACAGCAATCCTTATGACGGTGGAAATGCTAATTTTCCACTTCCCTCCTCCTTTCTGCATTGAATGATGGGAATTTCTGTAAGAAAGATTTGTTTCTTCTCCTCTACTTATTCAGTTTTTTCCATCCGAAGGGATTCAGGGACTGCCGAGACCAGCTCAGTCGGGGAGACCCTAACTGAGCGGCGCTAGAGGAATTAAAGACACACAAACAGAAATACAGAGGTGTGAAGTGGGAAATCAGGGGTCTCACAGCCTTCAGAGCTGAGAGCCCTGAACAGAGATTTACCCACATATTTACTAACAGCAAACCAGTCATTAGCATTGTTTCTATAGATATTAAATTAACTAAAAGTATCCCTTATGGGAAACGAAGGGATGGGCCAAATTAAAGGAATAGGTTGGGCTAGTTAACTGCAGCAGGAGTATGTCCTTAAGGCACAGATCGCTCATGCTATTGTTTGTGGCTTAAGAATGCCTTTAAGTGGTTTTCCACCCTGGGCCAGCCAGGTGTTCCTTGCCCTCATTCCTGTAAACCCACAACCTTCCAGCTTGGGCGTTAGGGCCATTATGAACATGTCACAGTGCTGCAGAGATTTTGTTTATGGCCAGTTTTGGGGCCAGTTTATGGCCAGATTTTGGGGGGCCTGCTCCCAACAAGAGACATTTATTCTTTTGCTCATACACCAAAGCTATTATTCTTTACTTTCCTACTCAAACTCTTCCAGCTTTGGCCACTGGGAATGTTTTTTGGGGTGGCATCTGGGTCCTTTTATCACACCTATCAGTTTGCTTTTCAAGTACATCCTAATTTCCTGGAGCCACAAGATGCTCCAGGCTCATTTTGCATTTTCCCTCCCAGTCTTGGATCAACCATTCTCCAAGGAGCCCAGATTCCTTTACTGGAGGACAGTGTTGAGAGACCAGGATGTGGCCACAGCCTGTGCTTGCTGTCGCTGAAGCTGCAGCTTCAGCTCTGTCAGCAGCTGGAGCCAGGAGAGGAGAGGAGGGTCCGTGACTCACGTGTGCATGCACGTGCAGGTCTGCTTATTTCTGTAACTATGCGGCTGTATCTATTTAAAGACACCTGGGTTCATCCTGAGGCCCCAGGGCCTGCCCATCCAGTGCCACAGAACTCATTCTCACCTGTACCTTTCCTTACTCATAACTTCTGTCTTCCACAGGGAGGACCTGCAAATCATCATTATCTGCAGAATATCCACTGGTTCCACACTGGCAAACACATAGTTTGCTAATCCACACCCCTGTGGGAAACAAATTTACCAACTGGAGTGTGGTGTTTCTGAACAGCTCTTGCGCCTTTAACCTCACAGTATTAAAGGAAAGCAGAATGCGTCACTGTAAAATATGCCTCTTTGACATAAAACTTATTTTGAGCTAAAAGCAATTTAGCAGCAAATGGAGGAAAAGCTCTTCTACACCAAGACAGGATATAAATTCTCCTTTACTGGAGACAACTCTGGATGCTCACCAGCTCGGAGAAGATACCAGGGAAATCTGCAAGCAAACCTTACCCCATTCGTTTCCTCTCATATATTTTAGCTTCCCACAATTTCCCACCTTTGGAAGCCCAGAATTGCTTTCTTTTGCCCTCTGTCTGCAAATGTATTGTTCTTTCCTGCAGATGCTGTAAGCCAGAGTTGTGAGCCACTGCTTTGTTATTTTCACTGAGTGAGGTGGTTTGGATATTTGTCCCTCCAAATCTCATGTTGAAATACATAATCTCCAGTGTTGGAGGTGGGGCCTGGTGGGAGATGTGTGGGTCATGGGGGCGGATTCCTCGTGAATGGCTTGGTTCTCTCCTTGTGGTACCAAGCGAGAACCTGTTCTGAGTTCATGAGAGCTGGTGGTTTCAGGCGGCCTGGCGTCTCTCTCTTGCCAGGTGATGCGCCTGCTCCTCCGCCTTCTGCCACGATTGGAAGCTCCCTGAGGCCTTCCTAGAAGCAGATGCCAGCACCATGCATTCTGTGCAGCCTGCAGAACCATGAGCCAAAATAAACCTCTTATTTGTAAATTACCCAGCCTCAAGTATGCCTTTTTAGCGATGCAAACAGCTAACACGCTGAGATTCCTCCCATTGATGCACACCGTGTGTGTTTATCAACCGTTTGCTTTTCTCTTGTTAACCTGTCTTTTGTCACAGGACTCTGTCCCAACTCAGAAGTCATGGAGGTTGAGGAAGATCATATTTCCTCCCCAAAAGCATCCTGTGAAGACTTCAAGTCACTTAGACCAGCTCCTTTCTTCCTCACGTCCTTCAGTGTGGCTGCGGGACTCGCTCCCATGCACTGTCTTTGCTGGTCACAGCCTGCATTCTGTCTTGGGTCTTCCCCCATCCCTACCTCCAGGTAGATTTCCAACATTAATGTATAGTAAAGCTTAGTCTGTGATGTGCATCTCTATGGGTTTGACAAATATTCAGAATGTCCTCCACCACCATATTCCTTACAGAACTGTCTTGTCATCCTGGAACCCCCATGGCCCCAGCCCAACCCCAGAATTTTCCTGTCATCCCAGAACCCCCACAGCCCCCTGACCCCAGAACTGTCCCGTCACACTGGAATGCTGGGGCCGGCTCTCCCCCGGGCCCCAGAACTGTCCCGTCATGCTGGAATGCTGGGGCCAGCTCCCCGCTGCCCCAGCAGTCCCTAGTGCTTTGCTTTTTCCAGAATGTCATGTGCACGGAATCCCACTTGTGACCTTTTGGGGCTTGTTTTTGTTTTGTTTTGTTGTTTTGTTTTGTTTTGCTTCACAAAATGCATTTATGGTTCAGGCTGGGCGTGGTGGCTCACGTCTATAATCCCCACACATTGGGAGGCTGAGGTGGGAAGATCACTTGAGCTCAGGAGTTCAAGACCAGCTCGTAATCCCAGCACTTTGAGAGGCTAAGGCAGGAGGTTCGCTTGAGCCCAGGAGATCAAGACCAGCCTGGGTAACACGGCAAGACCCCGTCTCTATAAAAAGTTCAGAAAATTAACCATGTGTGGTAGCACGCACCTGTGGTCCCAGCTACTCGGGAGGCTGGGGAGGGAGGATCACTTGAGCTCAGGAGTTCGAGGTTGCAGTGAGCCAAGATTGTGCCACTGCACTCCAGCCTAGGTGACAGAGCAAGACCCTGTCTCAAAAAAAGAAAAAAAAAAAACAGGAAAAAAAAAAGAAAAAAGGAACAAAAAGCACTCCTTAAAACTTGGAAAGAAATGAAGTCAATGAACCTAACTGTATAGACAGTGGGTGGCACAACCACACAAAGAAGATGCCTTGAGTGACTTTTACACAGAGCACCAGCTGCTGCCCTGGGAGGACATGCCCAAAAGACGAAAAAGAGCTGTGGACAGACCCTCAAGGCACCCAGCAGTCCTGGTGGTGACCTGGGTGCTGCCCTGCAAAGCAATCACTCACAGATTGTAGGAGAAAGCAAATTATGGGACCCTTGTCAGGGGTCAAGATTGTCAGCGTAAGAAAACACAGGTGCAAATACAGACATAAACAAGAAGTTAGGTCGGGTGCAGTGGCTCACACCTGTAATCCCAGCACTTTGGGAGGCTGAGGCGGGAGGATCACCTAAGGTCGAGAGTTTGAGACCGGCCAAGCCAACATGGAGAAACCCCGTCTCTATTAAAAATACAAAAAATTTAGCCGGGCATGGTGGTGCATGTCTGTAATCACAGCTACTCAGGAGGCTGAGGCAGGAGAATCGCTTGAACCTGGGAGGCGGAGGTTGTGGTGAGCTGAGATCGCACCATTGCACTCCAGCCTGGGCAACAAGAGTGAAACTCCATCTCAAAAAAAAAAAAAGATGTTAAAACTCCCTAATTATCATTTGAATAGAAAATCCCAGTATAAAGTCCTGATTTTCTCTTAAATGTTCTGTCTTTCTTAGGTCTGTGTATGGAAAAGACCTAGAAGCTTGACAAACCAGTTGCTAAAATAGATTGTGATCTCGATGAAAGTTGATCAGAGAAATTGGGTCATTCTCGCCACACCCAACTAAAACAGTCAAAGAGCCTGGGGAGAAAGCACTCAGGACACACAATGTTGCTCCAAAATGTAATTCTCTTCAAGCCTGGCAGTGAAAACTGCTGCTGTAACCTGAATCCAGTTCCATCCATGGCTGCTGAGACACCCGACAGCCCCAGAGGACAAACTTCCCCGCCCCCGCTGCCGCCCACGCCCACGGACCCTGCCAGATCCCGGACAGAGCTTTACCAACAGCAGGGAACTTTCTCTCAAGACCTTCCTCATTCTTATCGAACCCCGAATCTTCTCTTTGTTCTTCAAAGACACGCAGTTTGTGTGTATGCCCCTGTGAAACTGAATGAATCAAACATAAAGCCTTTGAAATTGTGAATTACCCTGAGCCTTGAAGGAAATGTGGCTATACGGCATAGGTCATGCCACACGCAGCTGCAACTTCTGCCTTTCTCCCTGTAAACAATAAAGACCAAATGGCACCGGAGATAAGACCCCCTCAGATCACTACCCCTCCTCATGGAGTCATAACGCAATCTTCCTTCAAATACAGAGATCCCTAACCAATGGAACCGCTGCGGCGTGTGCCCCTGGTCTCATATGAGAACTGTGGTGATCCTGCTGGAGCTTCTGTCTCTGCGTGGTAAGTGAAACCTGAGCTTCTCCACTTGGAAACGCTGACCCCATGTGTCTGCAGTCAGTGCCTTCCCGGGTGGCCATCCTCAAGCTCTGCACTCAAATACACACTATAGGTAATCAGATTTTCTGAATCTCATTATTTGCAGTTGACACCTGAATTGCAATGCTTTCTTCCCAAATAAAACGTTAAATTTGGAGAGTCATCTCTACATTTTTGACTCTGACATCTCTAAAGACCATTTTTCATCAAAATAAACCAGGGCTTTTTTTTTTTTTTTTTTTAGACAGAGTCTCACTCTGTTGCCCAGGCTGGCGTGCAATGGCATGATCTCAGCTCACTGCAACCTCTGCCTCCCAGGTTTCAAGTGATTCTCATGTCTCAGCCTCTGGAGTAGCTGGGATTACAGGCGCACGCCAACACAGCCCGCTAATTGTTGTATTTTTAGTAGAGACAGGGTTTCAACACGTTGGCCAGGCTGGTCTCAAACTCCTGTCTTCACAGGATCCTCCCACCTCAGCCTCCCCAAGTGCTGGGATTACAGGTGTGAGCCACTGCGCCTGGCCCAAACCAGGGCTTCTTGATGAAATCATGGATTCCAACTGTGACCTAGAAATGCCCAAGGTGAGTTTAGCCGTAATGTTGGTAACTGGGCTGGACATAGTGGCTCCCATCTATAATCCCAGCATTTTGGGAGGCCGAGGCGGGATGCTCACTTGAGCCCAGGAGTTCACAATAAGCCTGAGCAACATAGCAAACCCTGTCTTTTATACAAAAGTAAAAATAAATTAGCCAGGTGTGACAGTGCGTGCCCGTAGTTGGAGGTGCTTGGGAGGCTGAGGTGGAAGGCTCAGTTGCACCCAGAAGGATGAGGCTGCAGTGTTGGGCAACCCAGCCTGGGCAACACAGTGAGACCCTACCTCTAAAAAACATTTTTTAAGTAGTAACTGAAAGGCGGGTAATAGTGGTAGGCAAGGCGGGGATCATTATATTATTCTACTTTTATTTAAAATATCCTTTAGAATTGTTACAAAAAGACTACTTATCTCAATTTTTACCTATCAACCACTACTTTATTTCAAATACTGAGCCCATGTATCAGCTTCCAAACCTGAACTCTTGTGGCAGAAACTGCAGAAGAAAATTTCAGGAGCCTGTTTCTTGTGCCAAGCGGGAAGCTAGGCCCTGTGGCCTGAGTCATGCAGCACGTTTGCAACTTCAGCTTCTTGGACTGGTTAGGCTGACAGGTGACCACACAGCCTCTTGTTCTTGTTTTGTAAATGACTAGGAGAGACCAGAGACCAGACTTCCCCGCTTCCCATTACTGATCTTTGCTGTGGACCAGCCGCCTCCTTCATTGTCCTGTGCATCTGTCCTAACTCAGACTAGATGGCACGACGACCCCGTGACGTAGTCCGTGTGGAACGCCAAACATACCTTTCCCAATAGGAAAAGACCACCTTGGCTAATCGGAGCACAGTAACTGTGCATTCACCCTCAGAGAGAAAGATGCTGGAATTGTGTTAAGTTTCCCTAAACTTCATCTATAGAAATGATCCCAAACTGCTACATTTCAGAACACCGACTTCTGTTCTTTGGAATCTGTGCTTCCTGGGCGGCCTGTCCTCAAACTTTGCACTTGAATAATCTCTCTTTAAAGTAGATTCTGACTCTTGATTATTTTAGGTTAACAATGTCTTCAGGGAAATATATTCCACACTGAATTCCTAACTTAAAAAACAAAGAAAAGCTATAAAATGTGAAAAAAAAAAAAAAAAAGGTCAGGCGCGGTGGCTCATGCCTGTATTCCCAGCACTTTGGGAAGCCAAGGAGGGTGGATCACTTGAGGTCAGGAGTTCAACAGCCTGGACAACATAGTGAAACCCTGTCTCTACTAAAAACACAAAAATTAGCTTGGCATGGTGGTGCATGCCTGTGATCCCAGCCAATTTTTTAAAAATTGGCCAGGTGTGATGGTGTGCACCGGTAGTCCCATCTACTTAGGACGCTGAGGTGGGAAGGCCGCTTGAGGCTGCAGTGAGCCTTGATTCCAACACTGCACTCCAGCCTGGGAGACAGAGAGAAATCCTGTCACAAAACAAAACAAAACAAAAAAGAAAGAAGGGGGAAGAAAAGAAAAAGGAAAGAATCAGAAAAAGAAGAAAAAAAGAAAAGAAAAGAAGGGAGGGAGGGAGTAGGGCATCACTTTGTCTAAATAATTGTAACCACAAAAAAGTGGAGACAGGTGAAGTAAATAGATGAGTATGGCCAGAGCATGGGGCAGCAGCAGGAAAGGAAAGAACAGATATGTATGGTTTGGACTAGATGAGTGTTTCTGAGCCTTTTTTTGATAAATGCCCTCCCTCCGTTCTGATACACACTTTAGGACACAGTGTGGGAATCATGTCATCTCTGAACCTCCTTCAACCAAGATTTTGTCCAGCATTAGATTCTATTTTTGCATTGTTAAGCAGGTTTTTGTTTTGCACCATAAAACTGTAATATTCAGTATGCTTGTTCAAACACCTCTCCTACTTTCTAAACCCTACTTCTAGCCTCCTTAAGAAGCAGTGGATCAGAGGAGTCCCCGAATTTAAACCTCCAGAGTTTCGCGTAATTGTCTCATTCCACTGCAGGGGAGAAAATATAATTTCTCTTCTTTCTCTCTTTATTAGTTGAGACATTCTCCTGAAAACAAAATTCAGAGCAACAGGAGAAACAAGCAGAAGTTTATTAGCACTTGCTGTACCCATCGTGTGAGAGGCCTCAGTTCAGAAGTATTTCTCTCTCAAGGCATGTTGTGAACAGCACAAGGTCAGACATAACCAGGTCCACACACGTTTATGTCTTTCCACAGGGTGGGAATATATTGATGCTATTTCAATTATAAAAGCCACGAGCTACGAGGAGTTGCCTCGAGACAATTCCCTTCAGTACTACTTGTTAACTTGGTAGAGCCATGGGCAAAGGCTCAAGCCAGTCCACGTGTCAGTCAATACTGCAAACTATACATCATAGTGTACTTAAAATACAAACGCTATGGTTTAAACATTCCCCATCAAACAAAGTAACATTGGACATCAAGAGAAAGAGGATAGGAAAAGGGGTTAATGGATCAATCCAAGGAAAGCAATGACGGGAACAAGGAGTGTATTCCAGCCTGATCCAGACAGAAGTCATTGTCTTCCAAGGAAGTCCTTGATGTGAGCAGATCCTTAGGCAGCAGATGCAGGGTGCTAAGCACAAGTGACAGCAAGGTGGGGTCTATCAAAATGCCAGTGTTGAATTGGTCAAATCCCGCCCTTTTTAAGGTCACAGTCCTCTGGTGAGGACTGATAGTGAGTGCCTGGTCCTGTCTTTATCTGGCTGAGTGCTGTCTCTATTAACTAGGTGCACATCCAGTCCCCGTTGCTATGATGCCTTTTGAAATGTAAGATTAAATCTTTTTCTAAGATGTAGGTACTTATGCGACGGGTGCTTTATACAAAGCAGTAGCGTAGGGGCCTTAATTAAATAGTATTTTAACAAAAGGCCATAAATCCTATATGATGACAAGCCAAAAAACAGAGCATCTTCAGACTTCTAAAATGCAGGAGCCAGGCGCCGTGGCTCAGGGCTGTAATCTCAGCACTTTGGGAGGCCGAGGCGGGTGGATTGCTTGAGGTCAGGAGTTCGAGACCAGCCTGGCCAACTGGTGAAACCCCGTCTCTACTCAACATACAAAATCAGCCGGGCGTGGTGGCGCACGCCTGTAATCCCAGCTACTTGGGAGGCTGAGGCAAGAGAATCGCTTGAACCCGGGAGGCGGAGGTTACAGCGAGCCGAGATCGCGCCACTGCACTCCAGCCTGGGCGACAGAGCGAGACTCCGTCTCAAAAAAAAAAACAAAGTGCTCGACAGGAACTTTCTGTAAGCCAAAGAGTATCGCCATCGCACCTTCACCTTCACCTTGGGCAGCCTGGTGCCGTCTTCCCTCAGCCCGCGATTAACGAGCGGAAGGCCGCACTGACCCATTTCAGATCCCTTATTTCCTTCCTAAAACCACTCAAGAGTTTGGGCACAGTGGCCTCCCTGTGTGAGGAACTTGCTTCCCACTCACCAAAAGACAAACCCTTCGCCCATCCCTGGCCGCGCACCCGGCCGGTCACCCGCGCTGCCACCCACACCACCCTCCTGTCCATAAAGAGCCCGCGTTTGGGACGCCTCGCAGGCTGAAGGGAGGCCTGGGCGTCCGCGATCCGTCTGCCCTTTCTCCCCTCGCGGGCTTCCTCTTTCCTCACTTTCTCCCGCCACTACTCTTCCTCTTCCTTTTCCGCGAACCCAGCCCACTTCCCGTTTCAGGACCTCGGCTCGGCCCCAGTCCCCCGGACCAGGCCGGGTCACGTGGGTCCAGGGTCACGTGCCGCTGCGGGTCACGTGCCGCTGCGGGTCACGTGTCGGCCTGCATCACGCGTGAGGGGGCGCGCGGTGCTGGAAGCTGCCGCACCTGCGGGGAGCCGAGCCGCCGGCGCTCGACGCGCGCGCTCTCGCGAGACCCGCGGGATCACGTGACGCCCGGGCGCGGCGCAGCTCACGTGACAAGCGCTGCCGGCCGCGGTGTCTTCTTCGTGCCGGCGTCGCAGTGGCCGGGCCTCTTGCGTCTGGTAACGCCGCTGTCTCTAACGCCAGCCCTTGGCGCCCGCGCCCCGCCACCGCAGCGCCCGGCAGTCCGCGGCCCAACCGCCGCCCGCGCCCCCGCTCCCCGCACCGTACCCGGCCGCCTCGCGCCATGGCGGCCCCCGGCAGCGCCCGGCGACCCCTGCTGCTGCTACTGCTGTTGCTGCTGCTCGGTGAGGGGGTCGAGGCGGGGCCTGGGAGCGGCGGGACCGGGCGGAGCCGAGGTCCCTGGGTCTTGAGGGCGGGGGACTGCCGGGTCGTTGTCCCGCGGGTCGCCCCGCACCCACTGCTCCTGGTCCCGGCCGGCTCTGCCCGCGGGCGGGTGTTTCTCTCGGGGTCGTAGGGTCGGAGCGGAGCTCAATGGCAGGTGCTTGGGGGACCAGGAGGTCTCATCCCAGGACCTGGCTCCTCTAAGGTCTGTCTCACTGAACTCAGTTTTTCTGTGGTGGTGAGTGCGAAAGGGAACTTCCGATGGCTTGCTCGGCGGTCTGGTGCTTTCAGGTCGTTAAGTTTCCTGGCAAGTTGAGGCGGTGAGATCTAGACGAGGCTGCGCCGCCGAAGGTGGCAGGGACGTCTGTGGTCTCAGCTCCCGGGTGGGTGACCTAGATCAAGCTCTTCCCAACATGGATTTCACCCAGGACAGGGAGAAGCCGGTGCGAGCATTCCCCACCTTTGTACTTGAACCTTTCTCCTCTTTCAGCGGTGTGGAGGAGATGCGAGTGTATTTATGTTATTGTGAATTCACATGTATGTTAAAATAATTTTTAAAGTTATCTTTGGGATTTCACAAGATTCCGTAGTAGACAAGATGAGGGAAAGCTGGCCTCAGACTCACGGTGGCAATGTTCATGTCTAGTAAGTAGTTTAAAGAGCGCCGTTCCTGTAGGCCGAAATGCGGGACCAGGGAACACGTGGGGAAGCACCCTTCTCTTCTGTCAGTTTATAGAGCTCAGATGGGCAGTAGGTGCTCAATATTGTATTGACTAGTGAATTTCGTTCTCATTTATTGTCTTAATAAGAGGATGTGTGCTGTCTCTTTAAGACAGTCCGGATTGCCCCCCGCCAACACTATTCTTTCACCTCCTCCCCCCGCCGCCCTCCCCCGTAATATGAGAAGATTATCTTAAATGCCAGGATCTGAAAGGTGATGTAGAATCAAGCTGGGGGAGTGTGTGTGAGTTAAGTAGATATAGAAATACACTCCTGTACACATCTGCCTTGACTTCTTTAAATCCCTCAGTCCCATCCAGCTGTAAAACTCTGTTACTGTGAGTGAATGGATCTTGGCTTCCCTTTTTTGTTTTGCCTGTTGTGTAAAATGAATTCTTTGAACTGCCTGAATAGCCACAGAGATGAACTTATTCCAATAGTAAGCCTGAAGCCTTGCTCAGCTCCTGCGACAGGGTCAGGTGTAGTTAATGAAAGGAGTTGCAGAAACAAGTTTTGTCATGTCACAGCAACTGCATTGTTCTTTGTTACAGATGCTCACAAGCCTCATAACTTTGATGTTTTGTTTCATGTTTTAAAAACTCACTTCAGGCCGGGAGCAGTGGCTCACGCCTTTAATCCCAACACTTTGGGTGGCCGAGGCAGATGGATCATGGCGTCAGGAGTTCGAGACCAGCCTGGCCAATATGGCGAAACCCGGTCTCTACAAAAATACAAAAATTAGCTGGGCATGGTGGCGCACGCCTGTAATCCCAGCTACTTGGTAGGCTGAGGCAGAAGAATTGCTTGAACCCGGGAAGCAGAGGTTGCAGTGAGCTGAGATCAAGCCACTGCACTCCAGCCTGGGCAACTGAGGGAGACTCCGTCTCAAAACAAAAAAAAAATTAACTTTAAAAATGAAGAGAAAAAATCCATAACTCCCTAATATTGTGATTGGAATATTGCTTGTGTAATCAGTCTTCTAAGATCTGTTCCATTATATCTTTTATGTTTACAATCTTAACTTTTTTTTTTTGAGGCGGAGTTGCTCTGTGCCCAGGCTGGAGTGCAGTGGCACAACCTCGGCTCACTACAACTTCTGCCTCCTGGGTTCGAGCAATTCTTCTGCCTCAGCTTCCTGAGTAGCTGGGATTACAGGCACCCGCCACTATGCTAGGCTAATTTATGTATTTTTGGTAGAGACTAGGTTTAACTATGTTGGTTAGACTGGTCTCGATCTCCCGACCTCGTGATCCGCCTCCCTCTGCCTCCCAAAGTGCTGGGAGTACGGGTTTGAGCCACCGTACTTGGCCCAAGAATTTTTTTTTTTTTTTTTTGAGGCAGAGTCTCACTCTGTCACCCAGGCTGGAGTGCAGTGGCGTGATCTCCGTTCACTGCAGCCTCCGCCTCTTGTGTTCAAGCAGTTCTCCTGCCTCAGCCTCCCTAGTAGCTGGGACTACAGGTGCGCGCCACCATGCCTGGCTAATTTTTGTAGTTTTAGTAGAGATGGGGTTTCACCATGCTGGCCAGGCTGGTCTCGAACTGACCTCGTGATCCACCTGCCTCAGACTCCCAAAGTGCTGGGATTACAGCCATGAGCCACCGTGCCTAGCCAAAATCCAACTTTTAAAAAAGGCCTTTTAACAACTTGCATTTAAAGATATTTAAAATGTTTATTTTAATGTGCGATTTCACCAAAAATCCTTTTTTCTTAAAAAAAGAAACTGCTCAATTACAAATTTCCACTATATTAATAATTAGGCATTGTTTAAAGCTACTGTGTTTGAATACTTAGAAAGCTCAAACATGAACTGAAACTTGTCCTGATAGATAGGATTAGCTGTGATTGCGTAATGTGACCCTTTAAACCATTGATGTCAGCAGGATGACCGCCTTACCCTTTCCACTTGAACAACTGTCACTTAGGAGGTTTGAACAATTTTATACTCGGCTGGGTGCAGTGGTTCACGCCTGTAATCTCAGCACTTTGGGAGGCCCAGGTGGGCGGATCAGCTGAAGTCAGGGGTTTGAGACCAGCCTGGCCAATGTGGTGAAACCCCGTCTCTACTAAGAATACAAAAATTAGCCAGGCGTGGTGTGGTGGCAGGCGCCTGTAATTCCAGCTACGTGGGAGGCTGAGGCAGGAGAATTGCTTGAACCTGGGAGGCAGGGGTTGCAGGGAGCTGAGATCGTGCCATTGCACTCCAGCCTGGGCAACAAAATCGAAACTCAATGTCAAAAAAAAAAAAAAAAAAAGAAAAAGAAAAGAAAGAAAAGCTGGGTGTGGTGGCTCATGCCTGTAATCCCAGCACTTTGGGAGGCTGAGGCAGGCCGATCACTAGGTCAAGAGATCGAGACCATCCTGGCCACAACATGGTGAAACTCCATCTCTATTCTTTTTAAAAATATTTTTAAAAAGTTAGCCAGGCGTAGTGGCACAGGCCTGTAGTCCCAGTTACTCAGGAGGCTGAGGCAGGAGAACTGCTTGAACCCGGAAGGTGGAGGTTGCAGTGAGCCGAGATCGTGCCACTGCTCTTCAGGGCAACAGAGCGAGACTCCATCTCAAAAAAACAAAGAAAAAAATTTTTTTTCTACTAACCGATGTTACCTTTGATTGTGCAGATTGTCAGTTATGCGGTGGAAAGAATGAATTTGTCAGCAGATTTGAGGTCAGAATGTCTTTGTAGCCCTGTAATTTTGAATTTGTATTGCATTAGCCCCATCCCAGACAACGTTACCCTTTCTTCTCTGTACCCAAGACTTTTATTGCATGTGCTTCTACATGGTAACATCTGTTCGGCTGCACTGGGATTATTTTTGCCTGTGTATCTCCCTTCCTTAACTGACAGGTAGTAAGTGCTGAGTACATATATGAAGAAAGGATCAATTTTATAGCAGTGGCTCTCAACCAAACATATGCACGGATCCACACGATCAGCTTTTTAGAAATATACATACCACAGCGAGGCACAGTGGCTCATGCCTGTCATCTCAGTGCTTTGAGGCTAAGGCAGGAGGATTGCTTGAGATCAGCCTGGGCAACATGGCGAGACCAGTGTCTCTACAAAAAAAATTAAAAAGAAATATACGGCCGGGCACGGTGGCTGTCACGTGTAATCCTAACACTTTGGGAGGCCGAGGTGGGTGGATTGCCTGAGCTCAGGAGTTCGAGACCAGCCTGGGCAATATGGTGAAATCCCATCTCTACTAAAATACAAAAAAAATTAGTCGGGCATGGTGGCGTACCCCTGTAGTCATAGCTACTTGGAAGGCTGAGGTAGGAGAATTGCTTGAGCCCGGGAGGCGGAGGTTGCAGTGAGCGAAGATCATGCTACTGGACTCCAGCCTGGGTGACAGAGTGAGACTCTGTTTCCATTTAAAAAAAAAAAAAAAAAATATATATATATATATATATATATATATATATATATATATATATATATTTACACACACACACACTTATACCTTGCCTCTAGAGGTTGTGATTCAGTGCCTGGGATGGTATTTTTTTCCTTTAGTTCTTCATAAATGATTGTGCATCATTGGTTAAGTAGAATAAAAATACCATATTTAAAAGAATCAAGCCAAGAAAAACTAAGATGTGATTTCTTTTTTTTTTTTTTTTTTTTTTGAGACGGAGTCTCGCTCTGTCGCCCAGGCTGGAGTGCAGTGGTGCGATCTCGGCTCACTGCAAGCTCCGCCTCCCAGGTTCACGCCATTCTCCTGCCTCAGCCTCCCGAGTACCAGGGATTACAGGCATGCGCCACCATGCCCGGCTAATTTTGTATTTTTAGTGGTGACAGGGTTTCTCCATGTTTGGTCAGGCTGGTCTCAAACGCCTAACCTCAGGTGATCTGCCCACCTCGGCCTCCCAAAGTGCTGGGATTACAGGCGGTAGCCACCACACCCAGCCTAAGATGTAATTTCTTAATAAATTGTTTTTTCTTCTTTTTTTGAGACAGTCTCTTTATGTTGTCCAGTCTGGAGTGCAGTGGCACGATCTCAGCTCACTGCAACCTCCACCTCCCGGGTTCAAGTGATTCTTCTGCCTCAGCCTCCCGAGTAGCTGAGACTACAGGCATGCGCCACCATGCCCGTCTAATTTTTGTATATATTTTTTAGTAGAGACGGGGTTTCACCATGCTAGCTAGGCTAGTCTCAAACTCCTGACCTCAGGTGATCCGCCTGCCTCAGCCTCCCAAAGTGCTGGGATTACAGGCTGGGATTACGGGCTGTGCCCGGCCTAATTTTTTAAAATGAAGTTTTTTACTCATTTCTTCAGATGGTAATCTTTAATGTCAAAAGCGAGTATTTCTTAATTTTTATTTATTTTAATTCAAAAAAATTAAATTTTTTTTTTAAGAGACAAGGTCTTGCTGTGTTGACCAGCCTGGTCTGGAACTCCTAACCTCAAGCAGTCCTCCGCTTCCTCAGCCTCCCAAAGTGCTGAGATTACAGGCATGAGCCACTGCACCCAGCCAGTGTTTCCTCATTGGAAGCCCGTTCCCTCAGTCATCAAGTGCTGGAGAGGCAGCGTGGCTCAGAAGTGGCACGTCCTGTGAGTCAGAAGACCCCTTCTAGATCTAGGTCTCCGCCACTCACTAGCTGTGTGACCTGGGTGGGTTAGTTGACCTCTCTATGCCTTAATCTCCCTATGAAGAGTTGTCATGATAACTGGGATGTGCTTAGAGCAGCACCTGGCACAAAGTAAGTGCATTCCAAGTGCTTGTTAAATGAGATAGTTTTTGATGTTTTGTGTCAGATACTGAGGATTGAATGATGAACTTGATGGGAACCCTCTGTACCTGTGCAGATGTTTAATAACAGCTGACATCAAAGCTGGCGTCAGTGCCGGGCACCAAATGCTCAGCTGCTCCGACAGCCCTGAGGCCTTGGCACTCTCTCCTCCTGCTCGTGGGTGCAGAGACTGGGGATTGGGCTCTGCTACTGGCCATGGTTGCACAGCTAGTAAGTGCTGCAAGAACCTCCAAGAACTGAGGGCTGTGACTCAGAAGCACGCATGCTTCCCACAGCGGCACTTGTTTCAGAGAACAGAATTTCTCCCAAGTGGGGGTATTTTGAAGCCACAGTTACTCCTTTATGTGATCCCTGGAGAAGTGGTCCTGTTCGTGTCTGAGTACAGGACTGCCGGAGATAGCAGTCACCAGTAGGCCAGGGTGCCCACCTTGGAGATGCTGCCAACGGCTGTCCTGTTGGGCTGTGACACCTGTCAGGTTACTGGAAACATTGTAACTTACTTGAGGTTTTTTGTCTTTTTTTTTTTTTGCTACCCAGTTGCCACTGTTGTGGAGGTTTTTAAAAAAACTTCTGACCCTTATAGCATACATACATTTCCTCCTCAAGCTCTGTGTGCTGATGCTCTTATTTTCTTCTATACCAAAATTGCCTTCTGAGGGTAAGTTTATTTTAATAACTCAAAATTCCTGGGTCTCTCCAGAGTAATACAGGCATCTTGTGCTGCCAAAGCTTACTTTAAATTTATTTAAATGATATTTCTTTGTTTTCCTCTGAAAGCTGAGACCTGGCTGGGCATGGTGGCTTACACCCATAATCCCAGCACTTTGTGAGGCTGAGGCAGGTGGATCACTTGAGGCGAGGAGTTGGAGACCAGCCTGGCCAACATGGCAAAACCCTGTCTACCCCGTCTCTACTAAAAATACAAAAAGTAGCCAGACATGGTGGTACAAACCTGTAGTCCCAGCTACTCAGGAGGCTGAGGCACGAGAATCGCTTGAACCTGGGAGGTGGAGGGCTACTGCACTCCAGCCTGGGCAAGAGTGAGACTCAGTCTCTAAAAAATAAAAATAAAAAAGCTGAAACCCTCAGCATATTTACTAAGTGAAAAAAAAATTGTATAATTGAAAAATGACTTAGTTTGAAATATTTCCTAATGAAGTGCTTCGGGTCAGTGAAAAGTGTTTGAGGAAACTTATAAAAGGGCAGCTTAATAAAAGCCAGCCTATGGCTGCTCCCATGTGGGCATCCGGGTTGTCAGTGGTGACTGTGGGCCCTGTGACTCCTCACCTGAGGGCGGGGTGGGCAGTCTCCCTGTCCACGCTGAGCTCCAGTCAAGTGTTAAGTCTCTGGCGTCTGCTGTGTCTGCCTGTCCGCTGCTTCTGCCTTGCTGGCGTCTGCTGTAGCTTCTGTACACTCATCTGATCTTTCACAAGAGTGAGAATATTTTGTCTGTTTTTAGAAACCTTTACTATGTCAAAAATAAGTGGTAGAATCTTCCCTAGATTCTCTAGATTCATTGGAAATGCCGTTAGTATGATCCTGCCTCAGTGTTGCAGAGTGTGGCTTGAAAAACCAAGCAAAGCAGACAGTAGATTGGAGGTTTCCTTGCACGCCCTACTTTGTTTCATTGTCGTGTAGCACCTTTTCTTTTTCTTTTTTTTTTTTTGAGACAGAGTTTTGCTCTTGTCACCCAGGCTGGAGGGCAGTGGTGCAATCTCGACTCACTGCAACCTCGGCCTCCCTGGTTCAAGTGATTCTCCTGCCTCAGCCTCCCTAGTACCTGGGATTACAGGCGCCTGCCACCATGCCCAGATAATTTTTGTATTTTTAGTAGAGACGAGGTTTCACCATGTTGGGTAGGCTGGTCTTGAACTCCTGACTTCATGATCCACCTGCCTCAGCTTCCCACCAAAGTGCTGGGATTACAGGCGTGAGCCACTGTGCCCGGCAGCACCTTTTCTTTATGGACATAGATTTTGGTATTTCCTTTACCAAAGGGAAGATAGGTGGGACTACTTCTGGTTATATGCTTCGCTTTAGGCTTGAAGAACAGTTGCTGTAAAGATTTTATTTTGTGAAAGACCCAAGGTTGAAATGAGTCGGATTCATTGGAATCCATTACTTTTCCAGGGAATAGGATTTTAAATGAAAAGCTAAGCATCCTCTCTTTCAATATCTGCCCTCACAGTGTGCCTGAGTTGCATTTACACTTAGAGTGACAGATGAGACTCGGGTGTGTGTGTGGTTGGAAGGCTGTGCTCACGCAGTGTGAGATCAGCCCCTGGGTGGTGAGTGCTCACTGGACTGGCATGCACGAACTTGTAGTGGCAGAGACAAGTGAAAGCATGTCATTTCTGCACGGATTCCAGTGGTGGCAGATAGGTGTTTGGCGTTAGAACAGGCAGAAACACCTGTTTTCCAATCTGTAATGAAAGAACTGTGTAATAACGTGCAATTTGTACAATTACCAGTGTCTCTACCGTAGTGATCAGATTACATTTGTTGCCAAACATCTTGATCAGGGAAGTGGAGTATGAGTAAGTCAGAGAGGAAATATTTAGCAGTGACCACTGTCCAGCTGGAAAGACCTATAGAGCTTCCATTCTGTCCCTTTGCTTCAGGATGGGGAAGGGAAGCCACTCCACCGATGTGTAGTGCTGTGAGGACCTTTCTGAAATTGGGCAAAGAGCTCAGCACTTTGAGTCCATGAGAAATAAAACTGACCAGACGTTAAGTAGCAGGTGAGGACCACAGTGAAAGATCCTGCAGCCTCTCCCATGGATTTCTGCAGATGGGTGAGTTGTGCCTTCAAGGCACCACGTCTTACAGAGATCCTCTGAGAAAGGCGGAACAGCGTATGCCTAGGATGATGCAGAAATTGACATGTGCCTTCCTGATAAGTGTTCTGGAATAAAGCACTAAATAGCAATAGACTAGGTTGGCAAACTCAATCAGATGGGCTTAGAGATAACAATTCCAGAATAGTATCCGAAAGGGACAGGGCACCAGGTGAACTGGCTGCGTAATCCATGTGTCTGGTTGTTCATTGAATTTAAGAAACACAGTGGAGGCTGGGTGCAGTGGCTGACACCTATAATCCCAGCACCTTGGGAGGCCAAGGTGGGTGGATCACCTGAGGTCAGGAGTTCAAGACCAGCCTGGCCAAAGTGGCAAAACCCCGTCGCTACTAAAAACAGAAATTAGCTGGGTTTGGTGGCACGTGCCTGCAGTTCCAGCTACTTGGGAGGCTGAGGCAGGAGAATTGCTTGAACCTGGGAGGTGGAGGTTGCAGTGAGCTGAGATCACGCCACTGCACCCCAGCCTGGCGACAGTGAGACTCCGTCTCAAAAAAAAAAAAAGAGAAACAGTGGAATCTTGTAATAAAAGCCATCACTGCTACAGCTGTGGAAAATGGAAATACTCGGTCGTATTTTCTGGACAGTTTTTGATGGTCTCCGTCTTCCCTGGAATTGACAGGCCTCATGCATTGTGCGTCAGCAGCAATGTTTATGGTGAAAAATGGCAACGGGACCGCGTGCATAATGGCCAACTTCTCTGCTGCCTTCTCAGTGAACTACGACACCAAGAGTGGCCCTAAGGTAGGAAACACCAGGGCACTTCATGCTTCCCTTGTGTGTGTGGAAAGATGATTTTTAACATTTCAACCAAGTCTTTGAAAAATGGCCCCATCTGAACATGGTGCTTTTCCTATCTGCATATCTCCTTCTGGTGTTGTCAGTAACCTGCGCTGTCATGTGCCATAGCCACAGGCACAGTAACAAACCTGTATATGTGCTGCACCTCACTGTTCATCATGAACATTTTCCTTTTTTTTTTTTTTTTTTTTTTTGAGACGGAGTCTCGCTCTGTCACCCAGGCTGGAGTGCAGTGGCGCGATCTCTGCTCACTGCAAGCTCCGCCTCCTGGGTTCATGCCATTCTCCTGCCTCAGCCTCCCCAGTAGCTGGGGCTACAGGCGCTCGCCACCACGCACAGCTAATATTTTGTATTTTTAGTAGAGATGGGGTTTCACTGTGTTAGCCTTGATGGTCTCAGTCTCCTGACCTCGTGATCCACCCGCCTTGGCCTCCCAAAGTGCTGGGATTACAGGTGTGAGCCACCGCGCCCAGCCTATCATCAACATTTTTCTAGTTTTCTTTTTTTTTTTTGAGATGGAATCTTGGTTTGTCGCCCAGGCTGGAGTGCAGTGGTACGATCTGAGCTCGCCACAACCTCCGTCTCCTGGGTTCAAGCAGTTCTCCTGCCTTAGCCTCCTGAGTAGCTGGGACTACAGGTGCCCACCACCACGCCTGGCTGATTTTTGTATTTTTGGTAGAGACGGGGTTTCACCATGTTGGCCAGGGTGGTCTCAAACTCCTGACCTCAAGTGATCTGCCTGCCTTGGCCTCCCAAAGTGTTGGAATTACAGGGGTGAGCCACCCCTCCCAGCTCTAGTTTTCTTCGTGATTGTCTTTTATAATCATAATGTAATACTTTATTATGTTAATTCACCATAATTTGTTACACACTCCCCTATTAGTAATTGGTAAGTTGTCTTGAATCTTTTTCATGCTCTGTGAATGTGGCTTTTTTGATTTAGAGAGTTATACTGCAAGAAATGTATATAAATGGTTGGTTGACATGCAATGCAAACACTGTACTAGTTTGATTAAAATGTTCCTTAGTGGTTTTGTTGAAATGGCTTTGTGTTTCTTTGGGATGACTAAAGCCTTTTGGAATAACAAAATATTTTAAAAATCCAAGACATAGTAAGATCTTATCTCTTTTTTAAAAAAAAAAAAAAAAGCCAGACATGGTGGAGTGTGCCTGTGGTCCCAGCTACTTGGGAGGCTGAGGTGGGAGGATTGCTTGAGCCTGTGAGGTCGAGGCTGCAGTGAGCTATGATCTTGCCACTGCACTCCAGCCTGGGTGACAGAGCGAGACCATCTCCAAAAAAAAAAAAAAAAAAAAAAAATCCAGTCTCAAATTATAAATACTTGTCAAAGCCTTTTTTCTTTTTTCTGAGACAGAGTTGCACTCTGTCCCCCAGGTGGCTGGAGTACAGTGCCAAGATCTCGGCTCACTGTGTCTTCCACCTCCCAGGTTTGAGTGAGTCTCGTGCCTCAGCCTCCTCAGTAGGTGGGACATCAGGTGCATGCCACCATGGCCAGCTAATTATTTGTATTTTTAGTAGAGACGGGGTTTTGCTATGTTGGCCAGGCTGGTCTTAAACTACTGGCCTCAAGTGATCTGCCCACCTTGGCCTCCCAAAGTGCTGGGATTACAGGTGTGAGCTACCGTACCTGGCCTCCAAGCACTTTTTTTTTTTTTTTTTTTTTTTTTGAGGCAGAGTTTTGCTCTTGTCACCCAGGCTGGAGTACAATGGCGCGTTCTTGGCTCACTGCAACCTCTGCCTCTTGGGTTCAAGCAATTCTTCTGCCTCAGCCTCCCAAGTAGCTAGGATTACAGGCATGCGCCCAGCTAATTTTTGTATTTTTAGTAGAGACAGGGATTCTCCATGTTGGTCAGGCTGGTCTCAAACTCCTGACCTCAGGTGATCTTCCCACGTCGGCCTCCCCAAGTGCTGGGATTACAGGCGTGGCCCAGCGTACCTGGTCTCCAAGCACTTTTTATTTAATTTCTACATCACTTTTTTAATGTTTGGTTTTGGTGGTTGGATTTTTTAAATATTCTATTATAAATTATGTTTCACAAGTGAGGTCACCTATATGCTGTTATGCACTTTGTTATTTCACAGAACATGTCTTTATCACCTTGTGTAGTTTCGTGTTGTTTTTTGGCCCACGTTAGTATACTGCTTCACTGTAGTTCATTTGACCTATCTAGTTTACTTTGATGAACATTAAGTGGTTTTCCAGTTGCTCGTTTTGCTTATAGTAGTAAATTTAAACATTTCTGCTATAAACACCTTCTTTGTTTAAAGAAACATTATTTAAATGAACATTTCTATAGTAAAAAAGTAGTGATAGCTTTTCTCAAATATATATCTCACCCTGAAGCTGGTGTGAATTGTTTCAATTTCAAGACGCTTTAAATTCTGTTATAAATTATATTAACATAAAATGAATTTATGGGGTTGTTTTGTTTTGTTTGGAGACAGAGTCTTGCTCTGTTGCCCAGGCTGGAGTGCAGTGGTGCAGTCGTAGTTCACTGCAGCCTCAAACCTAGGCTCAAGCAATCCTCCTGCCTCAGCCTCCTGAGTAGCTGGGACGACAGGCAGACACCACCATGTCTGATTAGTTTATTTTGTTTTTGTAGAGATGGGGTCTTGCTATGTTGCCCAGGCTGGTCTTGAACTCCTGGGCTCAAGCAATCCCCCCACCTCAGCCTCCCAGAGTGTTAGCATTACAGGTGTGAGCCACCATGCCCAGCTGCAAATTTTTGATTATATGAATTATTAAGCCAACTTTCTCTTACACCTGAAATACTTTTCAGTCTTTTACTGACATGTAATACTAACCTTTTTTTGGTTTATATTAAAAATGAGTACCTCAGTAGTGATATCTTAGTTGGAAATGAAGTATAAGTTTATATCAGACTTACAGAAAATCTCTTTCTTTGAACTTTTAATAACCTGCATCCCAATTGGGTTACATTTAATTGTGTTTATTCTAGAACATGACCTTTGACCTGCCATCAGATGCCACAGTGGTGCTCAACCGCAGCTCCTGTGGAAAAGAGAACACTTCTGACCCCAGTCTCGTGATTGCTTTTGGAAGAGGACATACACTCACTCTCAATTTCACGAGAAATGCAACACGTTACAGCGTCCAGCTCATGAGTTTTGTTTATAACTTGTCAGACACACACCTTTTCCCCAATGCGAGCTCCAAAGGTAAGAACCAAAATGGGCCGATTATGAAGTGATAGAAAATTGGGTTGGAGGATTGTCTAAAGTTACTTTTACCTAAGAAGTACAGGCTGGGTGTGGTGGCTCACACCTGTAATCCTAGCACTTTGGGAGGCTAAGGCAGACAGATCACTTGAGGTCAGGAGTTTGAGACCAGCCTGGCCAACATTGCGAAACACTGTCTCTACTAAAAATACTAAAATTAGCCAGGTGTGGTGGCGGGCACCTGTAATCCCAGCTACTCGGGAGGCTGAGGCAGGAGAATCGCTTGAACCCAGGAGGCAGAGGTTGCAGTGAGCCGAGATGGTGCCACTGCACTCCAGCCTAGGCGACCAAGTGAGACTGTCTCTAAAAAATAAAAAACACACAGCCAGGCGCGGTGGCTCACGCCTGTAATCCCAGCACTTTGGGAGGCCGAGGCGGGCAGATCATGAGGTCAGGAGTTCGAGACCAGCCTGATCAACATGGTGAAACCCCCTCTCTACTAAAAATACAAAAATTAGCTGGGCGTGGTGGCGCGCGCCTGTAGTCCCAGCTACTCAGGAGGTTGAGGCAAGAGAATCGCCTGAACCCAGAAGGCGGAGGTTGCAGTGAGCCGAGATCACGCCACTGTGCTCCAGCTTGGGCGACAGGGCGAGACTCTGTCTCAAAAAAAATAAAAAACACATAAAGTAAACTAAGTACTATAAGTAGTTTGCAATTGTGATTTTTTTTTTTTAATCTAGAAATCAAGACTGGAATCTATAACTGACATCAGGGCTAAAATAAAAAACACATAAACTAAGTACTGCAAGTAGTTTGCAATTGTGATTTTTTTTTTTTTTAATCTAGAAATCAAGACTGTGGAATCTATAACTGACATCAGGGCAGATATAGATAAAAAATACAGATGTGTTAGTGGCACCCAGGTCCACATGAACAACGTGACCGTAACGCTCCATGATGCCACCATCCAGGCGTACCTTTCCAACAGCAGCTTCAGCCGGGGAGGTAGGACGCTGACCCTTGGCCCTCTGGTGCTAGTGGTTGGGTAGCTGGGCTGCAGTGGCTGCGGGTGACCTCACTGCTCTGTGTCCTGGTGCTGGGCTCTGCCTGGAACGCGTGTGCACACAGCCGGCGACGTCTCTGCAGAACGTTCTCATCCTTCTTCCTAGGGCAGGTGACTTGTAGATGAGGGTAGACACATGTTGATTAAAAAGGGTGGAATATTGAAGTGAAATATCCCGGGACAGAGACAGATGTTGTGTGGTCTCCCGTGGGAGCTAAAGCAGTGGGAGTCGGCGGGGGGCGGGTAGAGAGAGAGGTGATCACCAGGGGCTGGGGTTAAGTTGGTCAGAAGATAGAGCGTTTCCGGAAGACAGGAGGAATTAGTACAGCATGTGACTGCAGTTAATAATGTATTCTGGCTTGAATATTGCTAAGTAGATTTTAACTCTTCTCACCATAAAAAAGTAAGTGTTTGATTTTAGCTGTCACACATGTAGGTGTATTTCAAAACATCCTGACACACATGGTAAACGTATACAATTATTACTTGAAAATGTCAGAAGGGCAAAGCAGTTGAAACCTTTGTGCTTCTACTGGGGCAGAGATGATGGGACCAGGGTCACAGATCTCTTGCAGTTTGAGCCAGTTGCCTTCACACAGAGACATAGTCTTATCTCCATCCAGCTCTGGCCGGCCAGCTTAGGGACAGGTGCAGAAAGACCAACGCTGCCTCTCTGAGGAGGTCAGGGCTGCGATGATGTACCTGCTAACCCAGCCGCCGGGCTCTGGGGTCAGGCAGGGTCCAGGCCACCTCCTAGCCCTGTGATCTTGAGCAGGGTAGTTTACCTCTCATTTTCTTTGCATGTGGCATGAGATTAAAAGCCTGTCTTCAAAGGTTGTTGGAATTAAAAGAGAAATGTATGCAAAATGTGTATCTCAGCATCTGGCACAGAGTTAAGTAGCAAGCACCTGGTAAATCCTGTTACTTTTGAGGAGCTTCTCTCCCGAGCCTCACAGTCCAGGTCATAGGTTGTTGTCATTTTGCTGAAGCGTGAGGGCCTGTGATTTGCCTTAGGGTGAGCTTTCCCGGCTGATAGAAATATGTATGGAGACATCCCTTAGGGTGGGCTTTCCTGGCTGCTAGAAATATATGGAGACATCACAGCCTTCTCTAATCTTGAGAGCTACTGTGGAGACCTTTGGTTTGCAACATTCCTCAGCAGTCTTGCTTAAAGGCTGAGGAGTGACTGCTGGGCTCCACAGGAGGATCGTCCGTCTCACTCCTCCCCGAGGAGCAGGTACTCTTGCAGGTCGGCACCCCATGGTGCTGGGCCGGTCTTGCCCACCTCCAATTTCCATACAGCCCATGAGCTAAGAACGGCTTTTCGATTTATAAATGTAACATACCAAAAATCAGAAAACGAATATTTCTTGACACATAAAGATTATGTAAAATTCAGTGTCCATAAGTTAAATTTTCTTGGAACACAGCCACACTCATTTATTTACACATTATCTGTGGCTGCTTTTGTATTAACAGTGGCAGGGCTGTGTTGTCTTGACAGAGAGCCACGGCCCACAAAGTCTGAAATATTTACTGTCTGTAGCTTTGCGGCAGACTTTGCCTTCCCTGGTGAGTGGGTGAAAAGGAGCCCAACTTGGAAACCCCGGGTGTGACTGGGACTTGATGGGGCCACGTGGGCTCCCATAGGGGAGGCTTGGAAGGAAACACACTTAGGAGCTGGGTCCTCTGTAGGTGCTGCTGCCTTTAATCCTCAACACAGGGCCCCGGGGGCCGTGGTGACAGCCGCTTTCCTGGTGCAGCCTCTGTTCACACGGAGCCTGGAGTCGTGTCTGCTTCATCAGGAAGAGCGGGCTAGAGTCCTCTCACATGGGCCGCGTGTGTCTGAGGACGGACGCCTGGCAGCCTGTCTAGGTGTGTTCATGCTCTCAGACACACCTCAGCCAGAGCTAAAGATAACTTCAGCTAGGGGCAGTGCTCCCTACCAAGTGGGAGTTAGCGTAACACATGGGGGTGACTAGTGTTCACGGTTATCGATTTCCAAATTATCTGGGCTCCACACCTAGCTGGCTACCTCTGGGCTGCATCAATGTGGCTTGAAGAGGAAAAGGAAGGGCACGCACTCTCTGTCAGAGCTTGGGAAATGAGAGAGAATTGGATGCTGACCTTGTCCGGGGACTCCCTACTGGCTAGGCCTGGACACGGTTGCAGAACGTGTCTCCTCCCCATGTCGCTCTGTGACCGAGGGGTGCGCATGGCATGACCGCTCACTCACTCCTGCCTGGAAGTGAAGGGCTGCTAGGTGGAGGTCAGCAAGGATGTTGAGTGCCCTGAGACGGGTGGCAGGATTCTCTAGATGAAAAATAAGGCTTCACAGGTCCAGAGAAGCTTGCTAGGTTCTTTTGAGAAACCTGTTTCTTCAGGTTAATAATTACTTTTAAGATAGACTATTTTTTAGAGCAGTCTTAGGTTTCTGTGTATTCTCTGCCGCTGCGCATGTACAGCCTTCCTCTGTGTCCAGATCCTGGACGTTGGTTCCTTTTTTAATGGAGAACACGCATGTGATTCCAAATGGAAAAAGGCCCGACAGCCCAGCCCTGGCCACTTGCCCCTCCTGGAGGCAGCCAGTGTGGAGATGCCAGTGTGCCTGGGGCGTGGCCTCCTAGAGGGAGTCAGTGTGGAGATGCCGGTGTGCCTGGGGCGTGGCCTCCTGGAGGGAACCAGTGTGGAGATGTCGGTGTGCCTGGGGTGTGGCCTCCTGGAGGGAGTCAGTGTGGAGATGCCCGTGTGCCTGGGGCATGGCCTCCTGGAGGGAACCAGTGTGGAGATGTCAGTGTGCCTGGGGTGTGGCCTCCTGGAGGGAGTCAGTGTGGAGATGCCCGTGTGCCTGGGGCATGGCCTCCTGGAGGGAACCAGTGTGGAGATGTCAGTGTGCCTGGGGCGTGGCCTCCTGGAGGGAGTCAGTGTGGAGATGCCCGTGTGCCTGGGGCATGGCCTCCTGGAGGGAACCAGCGTGGAGATGCCGGTGTGCCTGGGGCGTGGCCTCCTAGAGGGAGTCAGTGTGGAGATGCCCGTGTGCCTGGGGCGTGGCCTCCTGGAGGGAACCAGTGTGGAGATGCCCGTGTGCCTGGGGCGTGGCCTCCTAGAGGGAGTCAGTGTGGAGATGCCCGTGTGCCTGGGGCGTGGCCTCCTGGAGGGAACCAGTGTGGAGATGCCCGTGTGCCTGGGGCGTGGCCTCCCGGAGGGAGTCAGTGTGGAGATGCCCGTGTGCCTGGGGCGTGGCCTACTAGAGGGAGTCAGTGTGGAGATGCCCGTGTGCCTGGGGCGTGGCCTCCTGGAGGGAACCAGTGCGGAGATGTCGGTGTGCCTGGGGCGTGGCCTCCCGGAGGGAGTCAGTGTGGAGATGTCGGTGTGCCTGGGGCGTGGCCTCCTGGAGGGAGCCAGTGCGGAGATGCCCGTGTGCCTGGGGCGGGGCCTCCTGGAGGGAACCAGCGTGGAGATGCCCATGTGCCTGGGGCGTGGCCTCCTAGAGGGAGTCAGTGTGGAGATGCCCGTGTGCCTGGGGCGTGGCCTCCTGGAGGGAACCAGTGTGGAGATGCCAGTGTGCCTGGGGCGTGGCCTCCTAGAGGGAGTCAGTGTGGAGATGCCCGTGTGCCTGGGGCGTGGCCTCCTGGAGGGAACCAGTGTGGAGATGTCGGTGTGCCTGGGGCGTGGCCTCCTAGAGGGAGTCAGTGTGGAGATGCCCGTGTGCCTGGGGCGTGGCCTCCTGGAGGGAACCAGTGTGGAGATGTCGGTGTGCCTGGGGCGTGGCCTCCTAGAGGGAGTCAGTGTGGAGATGCCCGTGTGCCTGGGGCGTGGCCTCCTGGAGGGAACCAGTGTGGAGATGTCGGTGTGCCTGGGGCGTGGCCTCCTAGAGGGAGTCAGTGTGGAGATGCCCATGTGCCTGGGGCGTGGCCTCCTGGAGGCAGCCAGTGTGGAGATGCCAGTGTGCCTGGGGCGTGGCCTCCTAGAGGGAGTCAGTGTGGAGATGCCCGTGTGCCTGGGGCATGGCCTCCTGGAGGGAACCAGTGTGGAGATGCCAGTGTGCCTGGGGCGTGGCCTCCTGAGGGAGTCAGTGTGGAGATGCCCGTGTGCCTGGGGCGTGGCCTCCTGGAGGGAACCAGTGTGGAGATGTCGGTGTGTCTGGGGTGTGGCCTCCTAGAGGGAACCAGTGTGGAGATGTCGGTGTGCCTGGGGCGTGGCCTCCTGGAGGGAGTCAGTGCGGAGATGCCCGTGTGCCTGGGGCGTGGCCTCCCGGAGGGAGTCAGTGTGGAGATGCCCGTGTGCCTGGGGCGTGGCCTCCTGGAGGGAGCCAGTGCGGAGATGCCAGTGTGCCTGGGGCGGGGCCTCCTGGAGGGAACCAGCGTGGAGATGCCGGTGTGCCTGGGGCGCGGCGTCCTGGAGGCTGGGCTTCCTGCCTGGGTGGCGCTTCACCAGAAAGCCTCATGTATCTTGTCTTTTTTTTTTTTTTTTTTTTTTTTTGAGAGGGAGTCTTGCTCTGTTGCCCAGGCTGGAGTGCGGTGGTGCCATCTCGGCTCACTGCAACCTCTGCCTCCCGGGTTCAAGCGATTCTCCTCCCTCAGCCTCCTGAGTAGCTGGGATTACAGGTGCACATCACCACGTCTGGTTAATTTTTATATTTTTAGTAGAGGGGGGCGTTGCACCATGTTGGCCAGGCTGGTCTTGAGCTCCTGACCTCCCAAAGTGCTGGGATTATAGGTGTGAGCCACCGTGCCCGGCCCATCTTGCCTTTCAATACATCATCTTATCTAAAAAAGCTCGGGGACCTCATAGATTTTATTTTAAAAGGAAATGAAGCACAAGCCACCTTTGAATGGACTTTCCTGTTGGTTTTGTACCTTCCTTCCTGAGTATCTTCAAAGTAGGGCACATGTGGCTGGGCACGGTGGCTCAGTCCTGTAATCCCAGCACTTTGGGAACTCGAGGTGGGTGGATCACCTCAGGTCAGGAATTCGAGACCAGCCTGGCCAACATGGCGAAAACCCGTCTCTACTAAAAATATAAAAATTAGTCGGGCGTGGTGGCAGGTGCCTGTAGTCCCCCCTACTCAGGAGGCTGAGGCAGGAGAATTGCTTGAACCCGAGAGGTGGAGGTTGCAGTGAGCTGAGATCATGCTACTGCACTCCAGCCCAGCTGACAGAGTGAGATTCCATCTCAAAAACAAAAAAACAAAGTAGGGCAGATGACTGTCACTCCAGAGGGTCTGAGTGCAGCTCTGCCTGAGGCTGGAGTCAGCCAGATATCCATCCAAACCGGATTTCCAGCCCAGGCCCATATGGGGTTAGCAGATCTACAGTGAGGCTCAGCCAGGCTTTTGGGTTTATGAGTTCACCGGGAGGAGTGGGGTGTCTTCGTCTTTTATCCTCAGGGTCTGATAGGTGCACGCTTGTTGAATGAATCAGAGGACTGCCTGACTCCTGTTAGGAGTTGAAAATGAAGGTCACCGTGTCTCATCTCCCACCCAATTTGGCATGATTTTTTTTTTTTTTTTTTGAGGCAGAGTCCCGCTCTGTCACCCCAGGCTGGAGTGCAGTGGCGTGATCTCTGCTCACTGCAAGCTCCGCCTCCTGGGTTCACGCCATTCTTCTGCCTCAGCCTCCCAAGTAGGTGGGACTGTAGGCGCCCGCCACCACGCCTGGCTAATTTTTGTATTTTTAGTAGAGACGGGGTTTCACCGTGTTAACCAGGATGGTCTTGATCTCCTGACCTCGTGATCCGCCCGCCTCGGCCTCCCAAAGTGCTGGGATTACAGGCGTGAGCCACCGTGCCCAGCTGCAGCATTTTTTTTTCATTCCTAGGAACAGAGTCTGACTCCTAGCTTAAATGGAAGGAATCGATGGTAAAACATTGGAGGTGGAGGTTGCAGTGAGCTGAGATGGCGCCGCTGCACTCTAGCCTGGGTGGCAGAGCAACTGAGACTCTGTCTCAAAAAAAAAAAAAAAGAACTACCATCAGAAAGGCGGAGAGGATGAGAGTCCCTCAGGACAGGTGAAAGGGGCAGGAGAAGGTCAGAGGCCTGACACACCCAACATTGTCACAAAAAACTGTAAGAGAGGCTGTGGGAGCTATGAGTCGGGAACCTGGGTGCAAACCAATCTCATCCTCACAGACACCCTTGAGGGTCTGAATTGCAGCTTGCAGGTTGATGTGAGTATCTGCTGTTGCCGGGAGAGGAGGAGGGGCCTTCAGAGCACATGAGCTTTGGAAAGGCCCGGCTGTGTGCTGCTCTCCGGAGGGTGCTGGAGGAGGTGTGACAGTGGACCCTCAGGTCTCCCCAGAGGCTCCTGTGCCACCATCTCCCCCCGGGCAGCGCAGGGCACTCTCCAGTGCGTTCCGTGATGAGCTCTCCGTCACTGTCCTCCGCCCTCAGCAGGAAAGACTTTGGTATTTAGTACGCATTCAGGGAAGGAGAGTGTGGGTTTGCGTTTGTAATTCAGGTAGAAGGACGAGGGCATTTTATCCACACTTATTTCTCAAGTTCCAGTTTTTTAAACTGGTGGTTAGACCTGATGATGTTTTATTTGTGTTTCCAGCTTCTTGTGACCACTCTACAGAAACAGGGTGGGAAATGAATGTGCCACATGGATCACAGGTGAAAAACAATTGTCAAAGCAGCGTAGGTTACACTTTTTCTGTGCGTCGTGTGGCCATCTAGACTAGAATTTGGACAAGACTGGCCGGTTTTGCACATTTAACTTTTGCCTGTTTAACCCTGGTCTGTAACATTTTATAAAGGAACCGTGAAGCTGCTTTTTTTTTTTTTTTTTTGAGACAGGGTCTCCCAGGCTGGAGTGCAGTGGCACAATAACTGCTCACTGCAGCCTCAGCCTCCCAGGCTCCAGTGACCCTCCCTAGTCAGCCTTCTGAGTAGCTAGGACTAAGGCGCATGCCACCATGCCTGGCTCATTTTTTAAAAAAACTTTGTGGAGATGGGGGTCTCCCTATGTTGCCCAGGCTGGCCTTGAACTCCTGGGCTCAAGCAGTCCTCCTTCCTTGGCCTCTCAAAGCCCTGGAATTACAGGCATGAGCCACTGCGCCCAGCAAGTGAAGCTGTTTTGGAAAGGACTGGTCAACCTGCAGCTTCGCCAAGGGCAGTGAGCAAGGGTCCCTGAGCACATCCCAGGTTGGGACGGCTCCCAGTGGCCGTCAGTGCCTCTCACTTCAGAGTTTGGTGTGGTTACTGCAGCTCCTCTCTGCCATCTTGTGCTCTGTCCAGAAGGGGCTTTTACACCGGGGTGCGGGGGCACTCCTGTGTGTGTCTCAGAACCCGTTGGGGTGCAGTCATAGGCGACGTTGCCTGTCTCTTTCCTGCCCTGAGTAGATGGGATATGAAGGTGGGAATTGGCCACTGAATGTTGAGATGGAAGCGGAAGCAGCAGGTGACTGATGGAGTTATGAGTGGCAGATTCCCTGCAGGGTTGCCCACCCTGGATATGTGGGGCTCACGCGTGGTGACTCAGCCTAGCAGAGATGTGGAAAGGATCGAATTGGGTGGAAATTATATAAATATTATTCTTGAGTATCCACAGAAACAAGGTGGTAAAAGAAAGAACCTGATTTCAAGGTTGATGGTGTGTTAGTGAGAGTGTTGGCCACAGAAGACTCGGTAGAGCTCTACCTAGGGTTCAGTCTGTCTTGACTTTGAATATAAATTTGTGTTGTGAACATCTTGGTGGGTGAATTGCTGAAGGACAGAGTCACATTCAGACTGCTGGGCATTCCCCAGGGGTGCCATGTGCCCCCCCACCCCCACGGATTCCCTGAACTGTGCCCTCTTGTCTGGGGATTTCAGACGCACCCACACTCACTGCCTTCTCCCTCGTGAGGATGCTTGCCCATCCCCCACAGCCCCCTCCCCAAATGAAGACCCAACACAGCTGGCTAGCCTTGCCCGCCTTTGAGTCTCTGCTCACACGTGGGGTCCTCATGGAGACTGCCTGACCCCTGTCCTGCCAGAGGGCCTCCTTGGCTGCTCTGCGTCCCACCTGGCCGGTCTGTGTGTGCTGCAGACCCTCTGTTTCCCTCTGGGTAGTGTTTCCAGCACGATCCTGGCGCTCACCCGACAGCTCAGGGAGCAGTGTCTGAGTCGTCACCATTTCCCATGGGGTGAGGTGGCCGGCCACGCAGCACAGCTTCCTGCGTCCACTCCTTCGTGACAGCGTTCAAGGCTTTCTCACCCTCACTTTAGGAAGAGGGTGGCACAGTGGCCCCTGTCCAGCCACGGGGCTTGGGGTGTGGTGGGCGGTGCCTGCTGCCCAGGCAGAACCGTCCTGGGTAGTGGGAGGTGGAGGCTGAGGGTGCCCCACGGGCCTGTGCCTACCGCCCTGAGCCGTCTGCAGGACCCAGCTCTTTCCTGCGCGTCTAGAAAGGCATTAGCGAGAGCCACCTTGGGAGACTGAGAAAATAGTCACCAAGGACGCCAGAGTCCACAGATGTAGTTTTGTTTCTGAGTTTGGATCTTACTGTAACTGCTGATGGTTATGAGAAACCCAGACCTGAATCTCCCTCCACTGCACCTGCAGAGACACGCTGTGAACAAGACAGGCCTTCCCCAACCACAGCGCCCCCTGCGCCACCCAGCCCCTCGCCCTCACCCGTGCCCAAGAGCCCCTCTGTGGACAAGTACAACGTGAGCGGCACCAACGGGACCTGCCTGCTGGCCAGCATGGGGCTGCAGCTGAACCTCACCTATGAGAGGAAGGACAACACGGTAGGGCTGGGGCCTCACCTGGGAGAGGGGGACGGCACGGTAGGGCTGGAGCCTCTGCTCCCTGTGCACTGAGAACACGCGTCTCTGCACGTCATGCTGTTAAGTCAGGATGGGAGCTTAGCTTGCAGGACGTGACCCTAGAGGACAAGAGCTGGCGTCTGTGTCAGTGAGTCCATTTTGTAGGATCACAGCCGTCCTGCTGGTTCCATCATCCAAGGCTGGTGTCCCAGCATGGCCTATTGGGCAGTGTGGCCCACAGAGCCTACAACTTGGCCCCTGATAGAACCTAAGTTTTCTTTACATATTTATCATGGAAACATTTAAGTGTTACATTTTTATAGTTTTCTTTTGAAATAGTTTTTCTCCCCTAGTAGTGACAGGCTGTGGGGTTGTGGGGGTCGACTTGCGTGCCGTGGGGTGAGTTTGCAGGGCTGACTGCTGCAGGGGGAGGTGGTGCTGCTGGTTGCCCTCCACGCGGGGACGCTGCACTCCAAGAGCAGCTGTCACGGGGTCAGGGAGAGTCATCTTGGGATCCCGAAATCTGTACTAGTGTGGTCTTTCAGTGTTTTCCTTCTGGTTTTGGTTAAAACAAATGTGGCCTTGAATTCACGGTTTCAGGACTGTTTGTCTTTTCGAGAGTGTGGAGGACCTGAGCTAGGGTGGTGACTTGCTTGCTTGTCTTATGCAGACGGTGACAAGGCTTCTCAACATCAACCCCAACAAGACCTCGGCCAGCGGGAGCTGCGGCGCCCACCTGGTGACTCTGGAGCTGCACAGCGAGGGCACCACCGTCCTGCTCTTCCAGTTCGGGATGGTGAGGCTGGGGCGGCACCTCTCTGGGGGCGCCCACTGTGTCTCCACCACATCTTTTTGTGCCCTGGGTCTGCTCATGGGAGGCAGCGTTAGGAAGGAGGCGGCCTCACTTTTTTCTGCCTTCCCTTTATCCTGGGCTTTTTAGTTCCTTGGTTCCCCTCCCCCCTTTCCATTCCATTCATAGATGCAGCAGATGATGTGGGCGGGGCTGCTGTGCCCACAGTTGGAGTGGCTGCAGGGGAGGGCATGCAGGCCGTGCGGCCTTCTGGCTTCAGATGCTGCTGCCCTGTGGTTCCGTGGTGGCATTTCTGCCTGGGAGGACTCCTGTGCAGTTAGCAACATAAGACATGAAGCATATAATTGTCACTTGTCAGTCTTTTTAAATCGCTGTGCAAATGAATTAACAGTTCAGTTTCTTATAATTTTAGCTTTCCAAATCATGCTTTCCTGTGCTGTGATAGCTCCTGCAGTCCCCGTTTTCCAGAGACTGACTCTCAAGAGGTCTGGAAGGACCAGCCTGGGCAGCACAGGGAGGCTCCATTTCTGCAAATAATAAAACGAGTTAGCTGGGCGTAGTGGCGCACACCTGTGGTCCCAGCTACTTGGGAGGCTGAGGTGGGAGGATCACTTGAGCCCAGGAGTTAAGGTTGCGATGAGCCGTGATCACTCCACTGCACTCCAGCCTGGGTGACAGAGCAAGACTCTCAGAGAAGGGTCTGGAAGGAACTAACCAAAATTTTCATTCCCCAGAGATACACAACGCCTTTTATAGACAAGATCTTTTGCAGTTTTGTTCTAATACTAGAAATGTAGGAAGTCAGGTTTATTACCCAATGACCATTCACGTTTGATGATAAATGTGTGAATCTACTGGGGTTAAAGATCATCTTTCTATGAATCTGCTCCGTGATTAAAGATCATTTTTCTTTTTAAGAATGCAAGTTCTAGCCGGTTTTTCCTACAAGGAATCCAGTTGAATACAATTCTTCCTGACGCCAGAGGTGAGAACCCACAATCTCTGCGAGCCCCGCCCCCGCCCGCGCGCCCAGGGTATTCTGGAGCCACTAGACCTCTGTGTGTGTTGCAGACCCTGCCTTTAAAGCTGCCAACGGCTCCCTGCGAGCGCTGCAGGCCACAGTCGGCAATTCCTACAAGTGCAACGCGGAGGAGCACGTCCGTGTCACGAAGGCGTTTTCAGTCAATATATTCAAAGTGTGGGTCCAGGCTTTCAAGGTGGAAGGTGGCCAGTTTGGCTCTGGTGAGTGTCACCGAGGGCAGCTGTCGCGGGGTGTGGAGGACGTGCTTCAGACTCCGCCTGTGGACGTTTAGTCGCTTCCGTGTGGGCTGGGGCGACGCCCCTGTTCCTCTGCAAGGAGCTGTTTCTTCTTGCCGGTCTGAGATTCTAGAGGTAACTCCCCCTGCTTTAGAGAGGCCCAGCGTGTCTCTCAGCTGGGAGCCCCTGGTACCATTTGAGAGTAAGGGAATCATTTTAAGAAACAGTGGTGGCGCTTCTCCCATGAACGTTGAATACAACACTGTCATCTGATGTGCACAGAGGCCCTGGACGCAGCACAGCTGTCCGGCCACAGCCCCTGATTCCAGACGGGGGAGAGACGTGTGTGGTTTCCTCGCCGTGCAGAGAGCACCAGTCTCTGCAGCGGCTTCCCCAAGTGACAATTCCAGCTAGAGCTGGAACCTTCCGCCAGGGTTCCTCTTTGCCTTTTGGCTGATGTGGGGGAGTGGTGGGGAGAGAGGCCTGTTTGCAGGCCCCTGTGTGAGCAGAGCCCTGACACCATCCGTCTGTCTTGGCAGTGGAGGAGTGTCTGCTGGACGAGAACAGCATGCTGATCCCCATCGCTGTGGGTGGTGCCCTGGCGGGGCTGGTCCTCATCGTCCTCATCGCCTACCTCGTCGGCAGGAAGAGGAGTCACGCAGGCTACCAGACTATCTAGCCTGGTGCACGCAGGCACAGCAGCTGCAGGGGCCTCTGTTCCTTTCTCTGGGCTTAGGGTCCTGTCGAAGGGGAGGCACACTTTCTGGCAAACGTTTCTCAAATCTGCTTCATCCAATGTGAAGTTCATCTTGCAGCATTTACTATGCACAACAGAGTAACTATCGAAATGACGGTGTTAATTTTGCTAACTGGGTTAAATATTTTGCTAACTGGTTAAACATTAATATTTACCAAAGTAGGATTTTGAGGGTGGGGGTGCTCTCTCTGAGGGGGTGGGGGTGCCGCTGTCTCTGAGGGGTGGGGGTGCCGCTGTCTCTGAGGGGTGGGGGTGCCGCTCTCTCTGAGGGGGTGGGGGTGCCGCTTTCTCTGAGGGGGTGGGGGTGCCGCTCTCTCTGAGGGGGTGGGGGTGCTGCTCTCTCCGAGGGGTGGAATGCCGCTGTCTCTGAGGGGTGGGGGTGCCGCTCTAAATTGGCTCCATATCATTTGAGTTTAGGGTTCTGGTGTTTGGTTTCTTCATTCTTTACTGCACTCAGATTTAAGCCTTACAAAGGGAAAGCCTCTGGCCGTCACACGTAGGACGCATGAAGGTCACTCGTGGTGAGGCTGACATGCTCACACATTACAACAGTAGAGAGGGAACATCCTAAGACAGAGGAACTCCAGAGATGAGTGTCTGGAGCGCTTCAGTTCAGCTTTAAAGGCCAGGACGGGCCACACGTGGCTGGCGGCCTCGTTCCAGTGGCGGCACGTCCTTGGGCGTCTCTAATGTCTGCAGCTCAAGGGCTGGCACTTTTTTAAATATAAAAATGGGTGTTATTTTTATTTTTATTTGTAAAGTGATTTTTGGTCTTCTGTTGACATTCGGGGTGATCCTGTTCTGCGCTGTGTACAATGTGAGATCGGTGCGTTCTCCTGATGTTTTGCCGTGGCTTGGGGATTGTACACGGGACCAGCTCACGTAATGCATTGCCTGTAACAATGTAATAAAAAGCCTCTTTCTTTTTGGGGTGGGCCTTGTCCTTCTGTCAGCTAAAATGGGAGCTCATGAGAGAAGGACGTCAGGGAAACGGGGTTGAGGGTGGTCTCGGTGCAGAGAGAAGGGTGTCAGGGAAACGGGGGGTGAGGGTGGTCTTGGTGCCAGACGTAGGGAATGGTGTTGGGAGTGGCCCGAGTGCCTGGCACAGTTGTCTGGTTCATTCATGTAACATGATAATTTTTAAATCATTAAAAAAATTACCTTTCATACAGATACCATGGAATACTATGCAGCCATAAAGAGGTATGAGATCTTGTCCCCTGCAGGGACACGGATAGAGCTGGAAGCCATTATTCTCAGCAAACTAACACAGGAGCAGAAAACCAGACACCACTTGTTCTCACTTGTAAGTGGGAGCTTCTGATGAGAACACATGGACACAAGGAGGGGAACATCACACACTGGGGCCCGTTGGGTCGGGGGCAGGGAGAGCATCAGGAAGAATAGCTAAGGGATGCTGGCTTCATACCTAGGTGACAGGATGGTCTGTGCAGCACATCACCACGGCACACGTTTACCTGTGCAACAGACCTGTACACCCTCCACCTGTACCCAGAAGTTAAAAGTTGAAGGGAGAAAATGATCTTTCTAAAGAGAAATCACCTACTACGTGCAGAAGCCTCACATAAACTGCACGCTCTGTCACAGAAAGGAATGGAATATTGACACTGCCGCTGTAAGACCTCAGTGACCACTCACTATGTTAATTTCCAGTCAGCTGAGAAACTGATCACAAACACAGGTGTTGGCATACTTTATTAGATACAAACCCACACTCACATTTTATATATTATTGATCTCTCAGGTAAAAATAAGTTTTCTTTAAAAAGTATGACTTCATAGCTAATCATCAAAAGCTGGTAGAATGACCTGATTTTAAACTGCTCTTTTAAAAAATTCACAACTAAAGTGTAGTGATGTCAAGTATTTACAACACTAAAAAGGAAAGCAGTGAAAGTTGGTCCAGTGTCAACTCTGGAAAGGGGCATCGTCAGTGTAGAGACGAGCAACGCAGGGGACAGGCACGCTCACCCCTGTGCCAGCAGCCGGGCCCTGCAGCTCTCGCGGAGCTTGGCGACGGTGGCCATGGATAAGCTTCCAGGTTCTGAAAATATTTTCTGGAAGGCAAACAGTTAGTTTAAAAACAAACCCAACAACCCATTTCTACGTTAGCTCTCCCAGACTGGCAGGCAGGCAGACAGGCCTCGTGTGAGGTGAGGGAGGAGCAGTCCACATCCAAGGGCTTCTGGGGTGACCCACAGATTGTCACCATCTCACTCCTGCCCTGGGGCCTAGGACTGCAGCTTTGCTGCTCAGAAATGTTAAATGAATCAAACGGTGGAAGAAAAGGCCATCTGCTTCCATTAGACTTTTTTTTTTTTTTTGAGACAGAGTCTCACTCTGTTGCCCAGGCTGGAGTGCAGTGGCGCGATCTCGGCTCACTGCAACCTCCGCCTCCCAGGTTCAAGTGATTCTCGTGCCTCAGCCTCCCGAGTAACTGGGACTACATAAGCGTGAGCCACCACACCTGGCTAATTTTTGTATTTTTTAGTAGAGACGGGGTTTCACCGTGTTGGCCAGGCTGGTCTTGAACTCCTGACCTCAGGTGATCCACACGCCTTGGCCTCCCAAAGTGCTGGGACTGCAGGCGTGAGCCACCGCGCCCGGCCAACATGGTCTTCTCTTTGATGAAGGCCCAGCTGCTGAAATACCGCCCACGTTTGCCATGCTGCACCCAGAGTGGCCCCGAGCCTCCACTCCCTCTTAGGAAACTACTGACTCCCAGGCCTGAGCCTCTCCTGGCGTCTTGGCTTCCTCAGAAGGCCTGTCAGGTACAGCTCCCACAACGCCCTCATCAGGACCTGAGTCTATACGGCCTGCGCCAGGTCCAGGACCCAGTGGGGAGGCCGGGCCTCGGGAAGCCACACTTCTGGCACCACACACAGCAGATGAGTACAGCCATTAGGACCAGGAGCAGCGTCCGCAGTGCCAGGGCCAAGAAGACAGGGCCGCCATAGACAGGAAAGCCCTCGGAGGCCAGGCGCAGGGGGCAGATGCAGGACAGAGCTGGAGGCTCATCCTGTGCCCTATGCCCACTGGTGCCCGTCCTGTGCACCCTCCGGGTGGTCAGAGCAGCCCCCGGGCTGCAGGTGAGGCGGGGCCCCCTGGGAGGGGACTGAGCCACGTGCAGCCCCACACACCTGCATAAACGTGTGACACTCCATCACGAAACTCCCTTTGGTTATCTGCTTAAACTTATCGCAAATGTCTGGAACGCTGGTGGCTTCCAAAATCAACTCCTGGTGCTGCTTAATTAAGGTCAGGGCCACCCGGAAGATAATCTTCGAGCCTTCGTTAAACAAACAGTCCCAGATCCGAAGCACTGTCTGCAGAGACATGGGAACCCGGTGTCACTCCCTGGCGGCCCGCCCGCCCCAGGGCCCGAGTGAGGCGCTCACCTCCACGGGCAAGATGTCCACAAACAGGCAGATGAACCAGCGGGACACCAGCAGCGTCCACAGCACACCGAGACGCTCCATCAGGGCCCCCACAGCCGGCAGCTTCGCCCGCACCAGCTCCCCGAGGACCTCCTGGTCGGTCTTCAGGCCCAGCATGGCCGGGCTGTAGTAATCTGCCAGGCAATGTGGAGAAAAGACCCCGAGACACTCCCGTCACCTCCACAAGCCCCATTCCCCTCAGAGCCAGACAAAGACAACAGGGCCACCCTGGGAGGACCCCTCCCAAGAGGGAGGGACAAAGTTGGAGAGGAAGAGTCGGGGTGAGGCCTGCAGACACAGGGCTCATGGGGAGCGACCCCCACAGCCAGGCCTTTCAGGACGTCCCTGAGGCTGGAGGGATAGGCTGGATGCCGCCTGGCTGGGCATCAGTTAAAATCTGCAGGTGGAGGGTGGCGCGGTGGGGGGGGGGGGGGCGGGAGCGTGGCTCACACCTGTAATCCCAGCACTTTGGGAGGCCGAGGCGGGTGGATCACCTAAAGTCAGGAGTTCAAGACCAGCCTGGCTGACATGGCTGAAACCCCGTCTCTACTAAAAATACAAAAATTAGCCAGGTGTGGTGGTGGGCACCTGTAACCCCAGCTATTCAGGAGGCTGAGGCAGGAGAATCGCTTGAACCTGGGAGGTGGAGGTTGCAGTGGGCCGAGATCACACCACTGCACTCCAGTCTGGGCCACAGAGCGAGACTCTGTCTCAAAAAAACAAACAAACAAAAATCTGCAGGTGGAAAAGAGAGTCCCAAGGAGGTGCAGGCACCCCCGTGTTCCTAGCAGAACTATTTACAACAGCCAAGAGATGGAGGCAACCCACGTGTCCGTCGGCAGACAAGTGGATAACCAACATGTGAATGTCCACACGACGGAATATTATTCAGCCTTAGAAAGGGAGGAAGTCAGGCCACAGCAGCGGGAGGGAGGGAGTGACAGGACCGAGTTCAGTCTGGGAAGATGAAACAGCTCTGGAGAGGGCGGCGGCAATGGTTACACAGAGAGGTAAGCGGCCCTTGTGCCACTGAACTGCACAGGGGAAAGACATGGGTAAGATGGTACATTCTATGTTCTGTGTATTTTACCACAGTAGAAATAAAACGTACTCAGATAAATACTTCCAACAGCTTGCCCTTCTTTTGAATGGACATTTGTCTTACCAAAGCACTTTTGTGTTTACCTACGTAATTTTTTAACTTGTTCATGTAATGAGTTATAGTACATTTTTTTTTGAGACGGAGTCTCGCTCTGTCACCGAGGCTGGAATGTAGTGGCATGATCTTAGCTCACTGGAACCTCTCTGCCTCCTGGGTTCAAGCAATTCTCCTGCCTTAGCCTCCTGAGTAGCTGGGACTACAGGTGCTCACCACCACGCCCAAGCTAATTTTTGTATTTTCAGTAGAGACAAAGTTTCACCATATTTGCCAGGCTGGTCTCGAACTCCTGACCTCATGATCTGCCCGCCTCGGCCTCCAAAAGTGCTGGGATTACAGGCGTGAGCCACTGCGCCCAGTCTGTTCTTGTTAATTCAATATCTTGGTTAAAATAGAACCATCACAAACACTGACGCAACATCACGGTCCTGTCACTGCTTTTCAGAGTGAGCACACAGTGAAGTCGGTTTAATAGTAAATACTAACGCCTCTGAAGGTGATTTAGCCAGAGCCAATTCAGTGAGCAAGCGCCAAGGATTAAAAACGCCTCCCTTCCATATCCTTGTTCTGCACCTGCCACTGGGGTTCTGAGCGCTTTGCTCATCTTTCACCTTCTTAGCTGAGCACATACCGTTCCAGCTGGGGAGAGAGGGGTGAAGAACCATCAATCAGTGCCCACCCTGGTTCTGCAGGTGGCCCCCAACCCCACAGGTGGTGTGGCAGGGGGGCTTGAGTGCCAGGCAGCAGGGGGTCTGCAGAGACACACAGCCTGACCTTGGCCCCAGACACAGAGAAGCTTAGAACAGCTTCCAAAAATAGAGGCGCTGAACTCATTCCCTAAACTCCACCAGGCTGAGCCGGCCACCAAGGGGAGGATTAAATTAAAGCCGCAGCTTCTTTCCCTTCCTTGAACATCGAGGGCAAGGTGGTTCCTCCCAGGCCCAGCCGGCGCAGCGGCTGCTCCCTGCAGAAGGGGCTCATCCCTCAGGCTGAGGCGCAGGCACTGATGTTCCCAGGTGACCACCTCATCTGGTCTCGCGCCGCTATCCCCCCAGGCTCCTTGTCCCTGTCCTTCTGGGGACATCCACGCCTCTGCAAACCACCCAACACTGTGCATTCATCACCGAGGCTCCGGGACGGCACCTGCCTGGCCAGGACGGGGGCACAGCTCTGACACTCCCCTGCACACCCCTCAGGGTCTGCGGTCAGACGTGGGCAGGGGCCATACAAAGACGGTGGCCACAGGCGTCTGCACATGGCTGTGGCTTCCTCCTACTTCATTTCCACTCTGCAGATCTTCCTCTGAGAGCAGGTGTGAGTCCCAAGACCACTCTCTCACATGCACTCACAGGCCAGTTCTCCACCCTGGTGCTTTCAATTAGAAAACAAAAGGTGTGAGTTGAAGACTCAAACAATTTTTTGAGACAGGGTCTCACTCTGTCGCCCAAGCTGGAGTGCAGTGGTGCTATCACAGCTCACTGCAGCCTCAACCTCCTGGGCTCAAGTGATCCCCCTGCCTCAGCCTCCTGCGTAGCTGGGACCACAGGTGTGCACCACCACACCCAGCTAATTTTTAAATATTTTTTGTAGAGAGAAGGTTTTACCATGTTGCCCAGGCTGGTCTAGAATTCCTGGGCAGCCAAAACATTAAATGGTCTGTGCAGCCTTCTGTGAAAGGAGTTTCCATTCCCAGGGGCGTCTCCCTCTCCCTTTCCCTACCAGGAAAGACACCCCTGAAATCCACATCTCAAACCTTACAAAGCAGCCTTGTGGACTAAATTTTCCTGATTCCCTTCCCCGCCCAGAAGCCTGATGCATCTCAAACCTTACAAAGCAGCCTGTGGACTAAATTCTCCTGGTTCCCTTCCCTGCCCAGAAGCCTGAAGGTAGCAGGCTGCCCAGGATGGTGAATGCGCCCAGGCGCCAGCCACGCTTTATGTCCCCCGATCCGGGTGCTCTCCAGGGTGTGCGTGACACGTGTTGATAAGCGTCTTTTTCTCACTCATTATTCAGTCTTCGGCCAGTCCCATGTACAGAGCCCAGCTGGGGGACCTAAGGTGTACAGGGGAAGACCTTTCTTCCTCCCTGGCCACCGACAGTTAAGGAAGGTATAATCCACGCATAACACACTCTGCAGTGCCACGGAGACATTGGGAGAGAGCTTAAAAATTACCGCATTGGCCGGGTGCAGTGGCTCACACCTGTAATCGCAGCACTTTGGGAGGCTGAGACGGGTAGATCACCTGAGGTCAGAAGTTTGAGACTAGCCGGGCCAACATGGTGAAAACCCATCTCTACTAAAAATACAAAAATTAGCTGGGCGTGGTGGCCAGCACCTGTAATCCCAGCTACTCAGCTACTCAGGAGGCTGAGCAGGAGAATTGCTTGACCCGGGAGATGAAGGTTGCAGTGAGCCGAGATCGTGCCACTGCACTCCAGCCTGGGCAACAGAGTGAAACTCCATCTCAAAAAATAAAAAATAAAAATAAAAATAAATTACTGCAAGATGTGTGGAAATTCCCACCACGTGATGTCAAATGAAAAAGATGGGATGCGGGACTACATACAAAGCACTCCAAGTGTTTCTAAAATAGCTGCCCCATGTGCATAGAAAAGACGACCCAGGCTTGCACCAAAAATACCATTTGTGGGGCTCACCCCCACTGATAGGGGTAGTGGGCGGTTCCGATCTTTATCTAGACTTCTCCCTCTTCTTCAGTATTAACACAATGGAAGTGACTCATAAAAGATAATCAGAAAATGGTTACGTGAATGAGATAATGGCGTCAATGCCAAGGAGGGAGCTGGGCGCCCAGGTGGGCAGGGGATGTAGCTGATGCAAGTGTGCATGGAAAACCAGGTGTGTGCATGGGAGCCCGGGTGCGTGCATGGGAGCCCAGGTGCGTACATGGAAACCCAGGTGCCTGCATGGAAACCCGGGTGCGTGCATGGAAACCCGGGTGCGTGCATGGAAACCCGGGTGTGTGCATGGAAACCCGGGTGTGTGCATGGAAACCCAGGAGTGTGCATGGAAACTCAGGTGCGTGCATGGGAGCCCAGGTGCGTGGATGGAAACCCAGATGTGTGCATGGGAGCCCAGGTGCGTGGATGGAAACCCGGGTGTGTGCATGGAAACCCAGGTGTGTGCATGGGAGCCCAGGTGTGTGCGTGGAAACTCAGGTGCGTGCATGGAGCCCAGGTGCGTGGATGGAAACCCAGGTGTGTGCATGGGAGCCCAGGTGTGTGGAAGGAAACCCAGGTGTGTGCATGGAAGCCCAGGTGTGTGCATGGAAACCCGGGTGTGTGCATGGGAGCCCGGGTGTGTGCATGGGAGCCCGGGTGTGTGCATAAAAACCCAGGTGTGTGCATGGGAGCCCAGGTGTGTGCATGGGAGCCCAGGTGTGTGCATGGAAACCCAGGTGTGTGCATGGGAGCCCAGGTGTGTGCATGGGAGCCCAGGTGTGTGCATGGAAACCCAGGTGTGTGCATGGGAGCCCAGGTGTGTGCATGGGAGCCCAGGTGTGTGCATGGGAGCCCAGGTGTGTGCATGGAAACCCAGGTGTGTGCATGGGAGCCCAGGTGTGTGCATGGAAACCCGGGTGTGTGCATGGAAACCCAGGTGTGTGCATGGGAGCCCAGGTGTGTGCGTGGAAACTCAGGTGCGTGCATGGAGCCCAGGTGCGTGGATGGAAACCCAGGTGTGTGCATGGGAGCCCAGGTGTGTGGAAGGAAACCCAGGTGTGTGCATGGAAGCCCAGGTGTGTGCATGGAAACCCGGGTGTGTGCATGGGAGCCCGGGTGTGTGCATGGGAGCCCAGGTGTGTGCATGGAAAACCAGGTGTGTGCATGGGAGCCCAGTGTGTGCATGGGAGCCCAGGCGTGTGCATGGAAAGCCAGGTGTGTGCATTGGAGCACAGGTGTGTGCATGGGAGCCCAGGTGCGTGGATGGAAACCCAGGTGTGTGCACGGGAGCCCAGGTGTGTGCATGGGAGCCCGGGTGTGTGCACGAAAGCCTAGGTGTGTGCATGGGAACCCGGGTGTGTGCATGGAAACCGGTCGCAGCTCTCCTGTGAAGAAGCACCTGCCCAGCCCCGGCTTCCATCCAGATAGGAGGAATCCACCTCTTCCCAACAGACATGGTCTTTGCTCCTCATCTGAGCCACAGGATTGACCATGGCAGAGACCAGGTGCATGACCTGGGGGTTGGGGGCTCAGGGGCGGCTGCTACCAGGATGGCCTTGCCTCTGTGAGTGACCACAGCTGCGGGGCTGGGATACCAGGAGGCACGGGCTGCAGCATGGGAGGCGGCCCAGGAGGAGATGCCAAGAAGGCACAGCAAGGACAGCCAGTGCAGGAGCCACCCGGGTGCCCACCCAGCAGCTGCGCACCCCCACTGCCCGAGCCAGCCTCTCTGCATCTCTTTTCCTGAGAAGACTTCGGCGTGGCACAGCCCTTACAGGGCGTGAGCCTTCTCAGACGCAGCTCAGGTTACAGCAAGGAAGCTGCAAGGCTGGTTTTGCTGTTTGGTTTACTTTTTTTTTTTTTTTTTTTTTTTTTTAGACAGAGTCTCACTCTGTCACCCAGGCTGGAGTGCAGTGGTATAATCTCGGCTCACTGCAACCTCCGCCTCCCAGGTTAAAGCGATTCTCCTGCCTCAGCCTCCTGAGTAGCTGGGATCACAGGCATCCGACACCAGGCCCGGCTAATTTTTTGTATTTTTAGTAGAGACGGGGTTTCATCATGTTGGCCAGGCTGGTCTCGAATTCCTGACCTCAGGCGATCCACCCACCTCGGCCTCCCAAAGTGCTGAGATTACAGGCGTGACCCACCATGCCTAGCCTTTTGTTTACATTTAAAAAAAGGTATTTTGGGCCGGGTGCCATGTCTTATGCCTGTAATCCCAGCACTCTGGGAGGCCGAGGTGGGAGGATTGCTTGAGCCCAGGAGTTCCAGACCAGCCTGGGCAACAAAATAAAAAATAAATTTTAAAAAACCTAGCCATGAAATAGCAACAATAAGAACTGCACAAAGAACCCCCACATCCCCATCAGATTCCCTGACTGTGAACATTTCAGCACATTTGCTCCCCCGTCACCTCCCTATCTGCACGCACACCACACACAGGTACACACGTGCACACGCACACCACACACAGGTACACACGTGCACACACACACCACACGTGCACACGCACGCCACACACAGGTACACACGTGCACACGCACGCCACACACAGGTACACACGTGCACACGCACACCACACACGCACACGCACGCCACACACAGGTACACACGTGCACACGCACACCACACAGGCACACACGTGCACACGCACACCTGCCTCCATCCCCTGGACTGTGTGAGGCAGAGCTGCACACTCACTGCCCCATCGCACCAAATACTCCAGGGCGTGCTTCCCCAAACAACAGTATGGCCACCTCGACACTAGTCAACACCGACACCACCTCCCAGTTCCCAGATCCCACCCGACGGTCTTCAAGCACTCCGTAAGGACAGTTCCCACAAACACATCCCGAGGAATCCACCCAAGAACAAGCTTCAGGAGCCACACTGACAAAGGCCCAGTGACACACATTACGCCAGAGTTTCCTGGAGAAACAGGCGGGTCCAGGTCTGGGGCAGAAGGCCCATGGGGTGAGCCCAGAGTAGCCTGTCCTGCAGACTCGAGGAAGCCGTCGGCGCCACATTCACATCCACAGGACTCAGGGGCCAACCAGAAGAGGCTCCCGCTGGCCACAGATGGGCCAACCTGAGCTTCAAGAAGGATAAAAACCCTCCAGTGTGTGCAGCCCAGGAGTCCACAGTTGACATGGACACACAGCACTGACCAACCGCCTTCTAGTGACCAGACGCCAATTTATTATTTTGAGGGCGGGGACATAAAGCCAAGGGACCAGCATTTATCCCGCCTCTTCTAATGGACTCATGACATCAGGTCTTGATTCAGCCACCAGTCTGCAGGAAATTTCGAGGAGAGGGGCCCAGCCGGAGGGCGCTGGGGTATCCTCATCAGGAAAGCCTGAGGCGCCGAGCTCGGAGGGTTGGCTTACCCAAGTGCTTGGACAGGAAGAGAAAGAGGTGCAGATTCCCACGCACAGACCGAAGGGGCCCAAGGGTTCCTCACGTGTAACCCGGGGCAATGCTAAGACACACAGCCCAGGTGCCCATGCACATGGCGAACCACAGAAAACAGCACAGAGCAGTGTGGTCACAGTCAGGAAGATGGGATCCAGTCACAACCTTTGCCAAACTCACGAATGCACCCATCACCACTGCACCGTACGCTTGAAATGGAGGGACTGTGGGATAAGTGGATTTCACCTCAACAAAGATTTCTCTTCAGTGCCTGTGCTTTTATTGTTTTATTTTATTTATTTATTTTTTTGAGATAGGGTCTTGCTCTGTCACCCAGGCTGGAGAGCAGTGGCGTGATCTCGGCTCACTGCAACCTCCACCTCCCAGGCTCAGACAATTCTCGTGCCTCAGCCTCCCGAGCAGCTGGGATTACAGGTGTGCACCACCACGCCCAGCTAATTTTTGTATTTTTAGTAGAGATGGGGTTTTGCCATGTTGTCCAGGCTGCTCTTGAGCAATCTGCCTGCCTAGGACTCCCAAAATGCTGGGATTACAGGCGAGAGCCACCACGCCCATCTCAGTGCCTGTACTTTATTTATTTATTTATTTATTTATTTATTTATTTAGTGTGTGTGTGTGTGTGTGTGTGTGTGTGTGTGTGTCCGAGGCTGGAGTGCAGTAGCGCGATCTTGGTTCACTGCAGCCTCCACCTTCCAGGTTCAAGCAACTCTCCTGCCTCAGCCTCCTGAGTAGCTGGGATTATAGGTGTGCGCCACCATGCCTGGCTAATTTTTGTATTTTTAGTAGGGATGAGGTTTCGCCATACTGGCCAAGCTGGTCCCGAACTCCTGACCCCAGGTGATCTGCCCACCTCAGCCTCCCAAAGTGCTGGGATTACAGGGGTGAGCCGCCGCGCCTGGCCCATGCCTGTGCATTTAGAAACATGTAAAGTTTTCTCAAACACAGGGGACATCTTGAGACAGATAACATGAGAAACTCTCTGTAGGGTCCGGAGGACCGAGAGGGAGGGACCTGCTTCCCCTTCGTCCCCACCCTGCACTGCCACGACAGCCTCCCGCCCACCCTGCACTGCTACGACAGCCTCCCGCTGGCCTGTGACTTTTGCACCTAGAAGCTGACTAGTTAATAAAATTTAAGTCAGCTGCAAAGATAAAGGAATCGAGAAAAACAGAAAATAAGAACCGCAAATGCTTACCTAGGTATTAACTTAGTTCAGAGTGATAAATCAGTCGTGCGCGGAAACAGTTTCATCCTGCACTGAACCACTCTTGCGGATTCTCAATTTGAGATTATAAATAAGCAATAAAGTTGTCCTAGGGTTAGAATGAGAAACTGGTGGAAATCCTCAATTTGCTAGACAGAACAAATCTTTAAACAGAAAAAAAAAGCACGTAATCCTTCAGGCAAAGGAAAGACTTTCTAACTGGGGTGGGCAGAGCAGGGAGGGCCCCTCTGGCCTCGGGTTCACCAGGGAGAGCCGTGAGCAGCAACAGTGGGCTCATCAGACAGCCGCAAACATGAGCACCACAGCCCGGCAGTGGAGGACTGATGGCCTTTTCCTCTTTAACTTCTGTAAGTTTGGCTTGGCTAATTCTTTTCTTTTGAGATGGACACTTGCTCTGTCGCCCAGGCTGGATGGAGTGCAGTGGCGCGATCTCGGCTCACTGCAAGCTCCGCCTCCCGGGTTCACGCCATTCTTCTGCCTCAGCCTCCCGAGTAGCTGGGACTACAGGTGCCCGCCACCACGCCCGGCTAATTTTTTGTATTTTTAGTAGACACGGGGTTTCACTGTGTTAGCCAGGATGGTCTCGATCTCCTGACCTCGCGATCCGCCTGCCTCAGCCTCCCAGAGTGCTGGGATTACAGGCATGAGCACCATGCCTGGCCAAGTTTGTCTAATTCTTAAACCTGTCAGTTTTATAATGCTAAAAAGGTTTATTTTTAATATTTATGGATACCTAATAGGTGTACATATTAATGGTGTCCATGTGATATTTTGATACAGGCATTCAATGTGTCATGATCAGACCTGGGTCACTGGAGGCTGGCCGTGGTGGTGTGTGCCTGTAATCCCAGCTACTTGGGAGGCTGAGGCAGGAGAATCGCTTGAACCCAGGAGGCGGAGGTTGCAGTGAGCCGAGATCATGCCATTGCACTCCAGCCTGAGAGACAGAGCGGGACTCTGTCTCACAAAAAACAAAAAACAAAAACCTGGGTAACGGATCCACCCACATTTACCATTTCTTTGTGTTGGGAACATTCCAAATCTTCTCTTCTAGCTATTTTGAAATACATGTTACTGTTACCTATAGTGGGTCTGACCTACTAACACACGGTCTCACTTCTTCTAACTGTAGGTCTGTAACCATTAACGAGCCTCTCTATCCCCCTCCCTTCCTGGCCTCTGGTAACTGCCCTTCTACTCTCTGCCTCCATGAGTTTCATTTTTATTTAGCGCCCACATGTGGGTGGGAACATGTGATATCTGTCTCTGCACCCGGCTTATTTCACTTAACACAGTGTCCTCTGGTTCCCTCCATGCTGCTGAAATGACGGGATTTTTTTTTTTTCTTTTTGAGATGGAGTCTTGCTGTTGTCGCCCAGGCTGGAGCGTAGTGGTACAAACTCAGCTCACTGCAGCCTCAACCTCCTAGGTTCAAGCGATTCTCCTGCCTCAGCCTCCTGAGTAGCTGGAATTATAGATGCCCGCCACCACGCCTGGCTACTTTTTGTATTTTAGTAGAGAAAGGGTTTCACCGTGTTGACCAGGCTGGTCTGAAACTCCTGACCTCAGGTGATCCACCCGCCTCGGCCTCACAAAGTGCTGGGATTACAGGCGACAGCCACCACGCCTGGCCAGGATCTCATTCTTTCTAAGGCTGAACAGCACTCTGCTGAGTGTGTGCACCCCACTTTCCTTATCCATCCATCTGCGGTCAGACACCTGGGTTGATTCTATCCTGGCTGCTGGGAGCAGTGCCGTGGCGAACGCTGGAGGACAGATGCCCTTCAACAGAGTAACTTCCTTTCTTCTGGAAACACACCCAGCAGTGGGAATAAGGTAGTTTTTTTTTTTTTTTTTAAGGCAAAATAGGTACTGTAAAATTTAATTAAAAAACAAACAAACATGCAAAGGGTTCCTCACCCTCTAGGTGTAAGATTCAGTCCCAAGTCCTCCTCTGAAAGCAAAGTGCCCTCGGTGTGCCGAGCACTAGGAAAGGCCAACTTGGACTCAGCACCAGGCCAGGATTCTCCACTGCTGCCTGCAGACACCATCGCTGGGAGACTGAAGAACAGGGGGGCTCTGGCCGTGGTTGGGGGCGAGGTGAGGGGGGCTGGCTTCAGAGCCACCCGCTGGGGTGGCCCTGCCTACACCTACACTAGCTGTGCAGGACACCAGCCCCTTGCCCTGGGCCCTACCTCTGCACTGGGAACACGAGACCCCACCTGATGTCCTGAAGCCCTGAGGACAGCGGACACATGAACTGCCCTAGAACGGTACCAACCATCCCTCCAGACAGCGGACGCACACAGGCCAAGTGCCCGCCTGGCGCTCAGCCCTAGAACTGTACCAACCATCCCTCCAGACAGCAGATGCGTGAGGGTGAGAGGGCTCTGGGAAAACCCACCGCACTTCCCAAGTGCCCTGTACAAATTTCCAGATTCCAGAAAAGGTGCAGAGAAGCTACCAGGAAATAATGTTTCTGATGTGCTTATGCTGTTACATTTCACAAGTAAAAAGCTAACAGACCTGTTACATGTCAACTAAACAAACTGAGGCCAGGCGTGGTGGCTCAAGCCTGTAATCCCGGCACTTTGGAAGGCTGAGGTGGGAGGATCATTTGAGCCCAAGAGTTCGAGACCAGCCTGGGCAATTCAAGAAGACCCTGTCTGTACTCAAAATAAAAAAATTAGCCGGGCATGGTGGTGCACACCTGCAGTCCCTGCTAGTTGGGAGGCTGAGGTGGGAGGATCACTTGAACCCAGGAGGTCAAAGGCTGCAGTGAGCTGTGATGGTGCCACTGTACTCCAGCCTGGCAACAGTGAGATCCTGTATCCAATAAATAATAAATAAATAAACTTTAGAAGTAGCTAAGATCTCCGGCTAAATACTTGGTAGAAAACTGAGCAATTACTTAAATTTCAAGATCCCACTAAATTAGATCAACTGTCTTGAATTCAGCAATTTGTTAGCATACAACTCAATTAAACTTTATCTGCTATAACTAGGAGACCCTGAATGGAAAAGCGGCAATGACTTTTTTCCCTAATATATAGAGTTCTTTTAAAAAAAAGTAGCTTATGGCGAAACCTGGTATCAAGAGGCCTCGGATTGTACAGCGTGCTTTCTGCGCAACCCTCTCACGGAATAAGCTCACACTTAAGGTGCAAGGCCTGAGGCCCACAGGTCTGGTGAGCCTGGCCGCCTGGTGACTCAGCGCAATCTGATCCCAAAACAGCTGTTCCTGACCCCAGAGACCAGCCTCCTGTGACAAAGCCAGCCCAACGGGGGCGTGGCCCAGGCCACATGAGCACCACCCTCAGGACAGGTGACCTCAGGGAACCCCACTCGGGAGGACGCAGGAAACGCACCTCCGATGTGGCAATTGCGGCGCCAAGAGCCTCCCTCCACCCACCTCTGCTCACGGGGCTGAGCCGTGGTCCCCACAGAATGTGCCTTGTCGGTCCACATCTCAGCCAGTCCTCCCAGCCAGAGCTGAGGTATTTCTATGTCGAGTTGTTAAAACCTGACCTGCTTCCCTATTTTTCAGAGGAAACCAGGTCAAACCCATCTTTCAGGATGTAGAGCGCTAATTCAGGGCTGCACCGACTCATGACTGACGCAGTCTTCCGAGACAGGGCCCCCTCCACCCTCAGTCACGCGGCAGGGCCCGGTCAACCTCCTCCTCTGAGGAGGCCCGGGACCCATCGCCCGCCCGGGGAGCGGCGTCTGCACCTTCTTCCTGCGTCCTTTCCATGCCTTGTTGGGATGGTGATTGATGGCCATCATCTTCATGGGCTCTACAAGAGGCCGCGGGTGTGGCAGGTGTTCTGGGCTGAGAACTCGGGGTGTGGGGCATCTGCGTGTGGATGGTCACAGGCCACGGGGAGCGTGTCCTCAGGTCACTTCCTAACTGAATTGGGATTAGAGGCATTTGCTGGTAAAAGTAACTCCCTTAATTGGACCCCCTCTAAGTGACTCATGAGCGATGAACCAAACAGTCCGCAACAACAGTGGTGGGGGAAACCGGGGAGGCAGATGTGGGGTGCAGGCCTTGGGCGGGGAGGCCTGAGATGGGATCTCAGCCCGGGGATGGGATCTCAGCCTTGCTGGCGGACTGTGTATGAGCTACTTAATCCCCACCAGTCTCGGCCTCCTCCAAGGAAAAAGACGACAATGTGCATGACATTTTCAATACCCAGACGGACTCGCACCCCGTGGTCACTGCCCCACGGCAGGGAGCTTTCGTTTTGTGTCACGGGCCTGGAGGCCTCGGTGGCTGCAGAAGGCTCCACTCCAACCCCAGTCTTTCCATTTCCACCTTCATGCTCACCAGGGAGCTCAGCCATGGGTTCACAGGTCTGCTGGCCATTCCGGTCTCTATTTTGTAAATTGCCTGTCAGGCACATTCTTCACCTGATGTTCTGCTGAGCTGTTTCTTTTTCTGCTTAGATTTTTTTTTTTTTTTTTTTTTTGAGACGGAGCTTCACTCTTGTTGCCCAAGCTGGAGTGCAATGGTGCAGTCTCGGCTCACTGCAACCTCTGCCTCCCAGGTTTAAGTGATTCTCCTGCCTCAGCCTCCCAAGTAGCTGGGATTACAGGTGCACTGCACCATGCCCAGCTAATTTTTGTATTTTTAGTAGAGACAGAGTTTTACCATGTTGACCAGGCTGGTCTCGAACTCCTGACCTTAGGTGATCCACCCACCTCAGCCTCCCAAAGTGCTGGGACTACAGGCATGAGCCACCACACCCTGGCTTTCTGCTTAGATTTTTAGAAATTCACACACAGTCCAGACACTAACCCTTTGTTAATTATATGGATCAAAGATACTTTCTCAAACCAGCAGCTTATCTTTTTACTTTGCTTATGATGTCTCTTACCAAAATTAGTTTTTAAATTTTCATGTAATTAAAATTATCAATGCCTTTTATACTTTTTGAATTATGTTCAAGAACTTCTCCCCTACTCCCACATGACACGACTGTTCTGTATTTTGTTCTCTGAGTTTCAAAGTTTTACTTTTTTACATGAGTCTTAAATCCATCTGGAAATGAAATAAGGGTTTAATTTTGTTTTCTTCCATACAGTCAACTGTCACTGAATTATGTTTTAAACAGTCTTTTTCCCATTAATTGATATATCTCACAAAAGACATTCCCATAAATTAATAGATCCACAGACTGGTTGATTTCTATCTGGCTTCGCAATTTTGTTCCATTGGTCTGTTTATCCATTCATAACCTAATACCACACCATTTTAATTATTAGAGCATTATAATATATCTCTAGTGTTCTTCTTTCAAGCCTTCTTGGCTTGGCTTTGCCCTTGATTATTCCATATGATTAAGCCATCCTTGGATTTCTGGAAAAAACTATCTTCAAACTAAAAAAATACTTCATAGTCACCTGTAGATTCAAGTTGCTAACATTAATAATTAACAATTACATACTTCTATTCATCAGTGAGATTAGTCTGTATGGTGTGAAGGCTATACTAGCTTCATAACATGAAGTGATGAGAGTTTCTTTTTTTTATTTTCTGCAAGATTGATTAATTAATCAGTTATTTAGACAGGGTCTTGCTCTGTCACCCAGGCTGCAGTGCAGTGGCACTACCACAGCTCACTGCAGCCTCGACCTCCTTAGCTCAAGTGATCCTCCCACCTCAGCCTCCTGGGTAGCTGGGACCGCAGGCATGCACCACCCAAAGTGCTACGATTACAGGTATGAGCCACAGATTTATTTTTAAAAAACAGGAATTAATCACAGCCCTTTGTGAGGCCAAGGCAGGAGGACTACTTGAGGCCAGGTGTTCAAGGCCAGCCTGGGCAACATAGCAAGAACCTGTCTCTACAAATAAAAAAAAAAAAATCAACTAGGCATGGTGGTGCCCACCTGTGGTCCCAGCTACTCAGAAGACTGAGGTGGGAGGATCACTTGAGCTAAGGAGGTCGAGGCTGCAGTGAGCCATGATCACACCACTGCACTCCAGCCTGGGTGACAGACTGAGACCCTGTCTCTAAAAAATACAATAAAATGGCCAGGCGCTGTAGTTCACGCCTGTAATCCCAGCACTTTTGGGAGGCCAAGGTGGGCGGATCACCTGAGGTCAGGAGTTTGAGACCAGCCTGGCCAACATGGTGAAACCCCGTCCTTACTACAAATACAAAAATTAGCCGGGCGTGGTGGCGGGCGCCTGTAGTCCCAGCTACTCAGGAGGCTGAGGCAGGAGAATGGCGTGAACCCGGGAGGCGGAGCTTGCAGTGAGCCGAGATTGCGCCACTGCACTCCAGCCTGGGCGACAGAGTGAGACTCTGTCTTGAAAAAATTAAATAAATAAAACAATAAAATAAAAACATTAAAAAGCAGGAGTTACCTGTTCCTTCACAGTTTGATAGCAGTAAAAACCCAGTGTGTCCATGCACACACCCATCAGATGTTCTATTTTCTCTCTCAAGTCAACTTCGTTAGGCTGTTTTTTTCTCAGAATTATCCATTTCTGTCTCTTCATTTTTTTCTTTTGATTCTTAAAAATCTCTACAAATCTTCAAATTACAGCACCTTTTCATTTCTACTATATCTTATCCTTTTTTTTTTTTCTTTCTGAGATAAGAGTCTCACTCTGTCGCCCAGGCTGGAGTGCAGTGGTGTGATCTTGGCTCACTACAGCCTGTTCTAAACTCACGAATGCACCAATCACGACTGCACCATACGCTTGAAATGGGGGAACTGTGGGATATGTGGATTATACCTCAACAAAGATTTCTCTTCAGTGTCTGTGCTTTTATGTATGTGTGTATGTATGTATGTTTGTATATATTTATTTGAGACAGGGTCTTGTCCTGTTGCCCAGGCCTGAGTGCAGTGGTGTGATCTCGGCTTTCTGCAACCTCTGTCCCCTGGGTTCAAGCAATTCTCCTGCTTCAGCCTCCCAAGTAGCTGGGACTACAGGCACCCGCCACCACGCCCAGCTAATTTTTGTATTTTTAGTAGAGATGGGGTTTCACCATGTTGGTCAGGCTGGTCTCGAACTCCTGACGTCAGGTGATCCTCTTGCCTCAGCCTCCCAAAGTGCTGGGATTACAGGCGTGAGCCACCGTGCCCAGCTACATTTTTTTCTTATCAGTCTTACCAGAGGTTTGTCTATTTATCAGTTTTCCCAAAGAACCAGATTTTTGTCTGAGTTTATCTTTTCTTCTGTTTCTCTGTTTCTGTCGCTAATTTTCAGTCCTTCATGTGTATGTTTATATCGGTCTATAAAAACTCTGGAAATACATACATCAGACTGATGATAACAGTTACCTCTGAGTAGGAGATAAATGGGGATGTGCCAGTGAAGGCGGGTCGTCACTTTTGTTTAAATTTTTATTTTTAGAGATGGGAGGGGTCTCACTTTATTGCCCAGGCTGGTCTCGAACTTCTGGGCTCAAGTGATCCTCTCACCTTGTGGCCTCCCAGATGCTGGGATTATATGTGAGCTACTCTGCCCGGCCCTGTTTTTTTTTGAGATGGAGTCTCGCTCCGTCTTCCCACACTGGAGTGTAGTGGTGTGATCTAGCTCACTGCAACCTCAGCCTCCCTCAAGCTGATTCTTGTGCCTCAGCCTCCTAAGTAGCTGGGATTACAGGCATCTGCCACCACACCTGTCTAATTTTTGTATTTTTAGTGGAGGTGGGGTTTTGCCATGTTGGCCAGGCTGGTCTTGAACTCCCCTAAATGCCTGCCTCGGTCTTGCAAAGTGCTAGGATTACAGGCGTGAGCCACGGCTCCTGGCTGTCACTTTTTATTCTATAAAAAGTACTGTTGGGAGGCCGAGGCAGGCGGATCACGAGGTCAGGAGATCGAGACCATCCTGGCTAACACGGTGAAACCCCATCTCTACTAAAAATACAAAAAAAAATTGGCCAGGCGTAGTGGCGGGCGCCTGTAGTCCCAGCTACTCGGGAGGCTGAGGCAGGAGAATGGCGTGAACCTGGGAGGCGGAGCTTGCAGTGAGCCATTGTGCCACTGCACTCCAGCCTGGGCGACAGAGCGAGACTCAGTCTCAAAAAAAAAAAAGTACTGTATTTTTTGAACTTCTGAAATGAGAATATATCTGTGTATTTCTTGTATAACTTAAAAGCAGCAATTAAGAGCAGGATAACAGTGGCACTGAAACGACCTAGTTTGGGTAACTATAACTTCGAGGATGGATTTTAGAGCAGGATGACTGTGGCACTGAAACGACCTACTTCGGTCACTGTAACTTAGAGAAGGACATATATTTGCCTCTTTTCTCTGCCGCTGGGAGAGCTCTGCCGGGATCGGAATAACCCCCTTTTCCTCCCATGATCCTAACAGTTTAGTTTTTGTACTTTCTTTTCTTTTTGAATCCAGACCTATTTGCATTGCAGTTTCGTTCAACTTAATCTCATAATGAATATCGGAAGTGACGTCGTACGGACTGAAAACGCATCTGTCCATCACACCAGCACGGCGGGGCCTGCTCCTGCCCTCTAGGTTGGTGCTGAGCCCTCCGACCTGAGCTCTCACCTGCTGCTGCTTGAGGTCTGCCCTCCACAAAGACAGGAACTCGTGTGTGCTCACCGATGTTTCCCACACCCCTGAACGGCGCCCAGAACACGATAGGTTTTCAACAATATGTGGTGAAAAGAACTGCATGGCCCACGGCTGTGAAGATTCGCCATGATTTGCACTCAGACATAACCGAAGCAGGCTGTGAGCCCGTTTCCATGTCCTACCAATCCCACATTTGGATGTCTCCTAACTCCATCTGCCTCTAATTTCACCATTCCACCTGGTCCAGGTGTTCACCGAACTGAGCTGAGACAGCCGGCATCCTTTCCGCCCTGCGAGGTTCTGCCTGCTGCTGCTGCTGCTGCACTGGGTCCCTGGGCCCCAGCCGGGTCAACAGCTCTTCCCACTCCCGGGAGCTCTGTGGGGTTCCCTTCCTCTGGGGCGGCTCCGTCAGGCTGGTCTCTGGCATCCTCATTTCTGCGCCCTTGGGTTGAGGGTGGCGCTGATTCCTCCCTGCCCTTAATGATGCACTTGAGCTTTGCCCCATCCGTGAGGACACACACTATGGTCTGTGAGTCACACAGCCAGGATCTGAACCAGGCTCTGCCATGTACAGCGGTGGTCAGGCCAGCACGCAAATTCTCCCGGCCTTCGGTGTCCTCACCCTGGAAATGGGGTGGGTGACTGTGTCCGTGTGGTGTGGCTGTTCTGAGGACAAGCGCAGCTCAGCAGGAAACTGACACATGCCGTGTGCTCACCAGGCAGGAGCTGGAGCCACACACCCCCAGGCTCCAAACACTGGGGACTGGCCCGGCTGCCCCTCACGTCTCCTCTGCCCTGCAGGATGAGCACGCAGCCCCCTTGACCCAGCACCACAGCCAGGCTGGGGAAGGGCAGAGTGGTCTCAGCCCCAGGCCCTGCCCACCCGACTGATCCTCAGCTTCTCTTCCCAAGTGACTTGAGCCTGCAGCTCATCGTCTGCACTGGCCTTCACCATAACCCGTGGATAACTTATCCACTAATAAATACACTTTAATTATTAAATAATTAAACATTAATAAATAGAAAAGTGGAAAGGTTTGAAAAGAATGGTTTTCACCTTAAAAAGTAAGTAATTACTTAAAAAGCAACCATGGATATATATAGCGCAATTATTATGCTCTTACTAGTATTCACAAACTCAGTACAAATACATACATAAAACCAAGATAGCCTCTCAGAGATTCTGTGATCAATACAAACCACACCGTGGCCCTCAATAGGCACAGAAGTTACCAACTGAGGAAGGGGTGAGCCAACCACACAGCCCCAGCTGCCCACAAGGGCTAAGAGACGGCAAAAGGCCCTCTGCCGTCCCAGGAGCAAGCAGTTGCTGCAGCCGGACCCTGGCCACTCACATGGGTTTCTCCTTTTCAACTCAATTTCAAAGAAATTTTTTTACTGCAAAAAGATTTTTGGCCAGGCATGGTGGCTCATGCCTGTAATCCCAGCACTTTGGGAGGCCAAGGCGGGTGGATCACCTGAGGTCAGAAGTTTGAGACCAGCCTGACCAACATGGTGAAACTCCATCTCTACTAAAAATACAAAATTAGCCGGGTGTGGTGGCACACACCTACAATCCCAGCTACTTGGGAGGCTGAGGCAGGAGAATCACTTGAACCCGGGAGGCAGAGGTTCCAGTCAGCCAAGATCACACCACTGCACTCCAGCCTGGGCATCAGAGCGAGACTCCGTCTCAAAAAAAAAAAAAAAAAAAAAAACGGTTTGTAACCTCATCTCCCAAACAATTCAACCATGTTTTAATTAAATTTTGATTTCTCAGCGGAATCATTTTGGCAGCACCAGAAACAGGACAGTTCGGGCATACCGCAGGAATTTTCAACATACCTGGTAGTATTCTTCCAACAAGAGCATCTAACAGCCAAAAAGATTCTTCTTCATTATTTGTTATAAGAATCAGATATCCTGCTATAAAATTCATTCCCTGAAATTAGAAAAATGAGAAACAAATTCACATTGAGTTTTAAGCCCCCATTTGATTCTGCAATCATTCGGCTACAAACTACCCAGTTTCCATTTCTCTTGCTTCTCCTTAAAACCTGCATAATTGCAGAATGATCCTTTAGTAGAACTCTAGAGTCACTAAATACCTACCGTCTAGTAATGTGTTTAGTCAAGCTTACGTGAAAAGTAAAAGCAAAAGGAAACAGTTTAAAGAAATCCTGAATACTAAAATCAAAGACTCTTCCACTAATGGTAACCTTGTGATAAAAGAACATAACTTACCATTGCTTTCTAAAGAAATTACTATATATCAACAGCATGAAACTCTCTGCCAGAGAGAAAATTATACCAATGACCACATTTTATAAAACCGTAAGGAACATGTGCTGACACGCGGGTGTTAGGAGAATTTCGTGGTGGAGACCCTTTTGGGAAATCCACGTGCACACCTGCCAAAGGGCGGGTGCTGCCTCCAACATCACGTATGTGACCCTCTCCATCGAGGGCAGCCCCAGACCCTGGGGGCTTCGCAGCCGTGAGTCAGCGCCATTTCCAGGTGACTGCGTTTTACACGACTGAAATTCTCTTCTTTGTCACTCATTTGTAATTTCTAAAGTAAGTATTTCTCTAGTAATAAGGGAAAAGAATCCAGCTTCTGCCAGCCCACAAGATCAATTCACGTGATCGGAAGTGCGGAGGGGCAGCTGCAGAGAGCGATGCTGGCAGCAGCGCGGCGGCTTCAGTCACACAGGGATGTGGCGCTGTTCACCCGGAGCCAAAGCACTGGAGGACGGGCACGCAGCCTTACACGTCCCTTGGCCTGGACCTCCCCTTAAAAACAGACCCTAAGAGTTTCACTCAAAAAGCAAAAGTAACCAGTGCAGAGAAGATCATGTTCCAGAAGATGACGATGGAAGCTCTGGGAAGAACCGACTGCTTCGAGCTGATGACGGAAATGCTGGGAAGACCTCTGTGGCCAAAAGCAGACCCAGGAGGACTTTTGTGGCCGAGAGTGGACCCGAGAGGACCTCTGCGGCTGAGCAGACCTGGGAAGACATCTGTGGCCGAGAGCAGACCCGGGAGGACCTCTGCGGCTGAGCAGACCTGGGAAGACATCTGTGGCCGAGAACAGACCCGGGAGGACCTCTGTGGACAAGAGCAGACCCGGGAGGACCTCTGTGCCTGACAGTGGACCCGGGAGGACCTCTGTGGCTGAGAGCAGACCCGGGAGGACCTCTGTGGCTGAGAACAGACCCGGGAGGACCTCTGTGGCCGAGAGCAGATCCGGGAGGACCTCTGTGGCTGAGCGGATCTGGGAGGACCTCTGTGGCAGAGAGCAGACCCGGGAGGACCTCTGTGGCCGAGAGCGGACCCAGGAGGACCTCTGTGGCTGAGAGCGGACCTGGGAGGACCTCTGTGGCTGAGCAGACCTGGGAAGACATCTGTGGCCGAGAACAGACCCAGGAGGACCTCTGTGGACAAGAGCAGACCCGGGAGGACCTCTGTGCCTGACAGTGGACCCGGGAGGACCTCTGTGGCAAAGAGCAGACCCGGGAGGACCTCTGTGGCAAAGAGCAGACCCAGGAGGACCTCTGTGGCCGAGAACAGACCCGGGAGGACCTCTGTGCCTGACAGTGGACCCGGGAGGACCTCTGTGGCTGAGAGCGGACCTGGGAGGACCTCTGTGGCTGAGCGGATCTGGGAGGACCTCTGTGGCAGAGAGCAGACCCGGGAGGACCTCTGTGGCTGAGAGCGGACCCGGGAGGACCTCTGTGGCTGAGAGCGGACCTGGGAGGACCTCTGTGGCAAAGAGCAGACCCGGGAGGACCTCTGTGGACAAGAGCAGACCCGGGAGGACCTCTGTGGACAAGAGCAGACCCGGGAGGACCTCTGTGCCTGACAGTGGACCCGGGAGGACCTCTGTGGCTGAGAGCGGACCTGGGAGGACCTCTGTGGCTGAGCGGATCTGGGAGGACCTCTGTGGCAGAGAGCAGACCCGGGAGGACCTCTGTGGCTGAGAGCGGACCCGGGAGGACCTCTGTGGCTGAGAGCGGACCTGGGAGGACCTCTGTGGCTGAGCGGATCTGGGAGGACCTCTGTGGCAGAGAGCAGACCCGGGAGGACCTCTGTGGCAGAGAGCAGACCCGGGAGGACCTCTGTGGCAGAGAGCAGACCCGGGAGGACCTCTGTGGCAGAGAGCAGACCCAGGAGGACCTCTGTGGCCGAGAGCAGACCCAGGAGGACCTCTGTGGCTGAGAGCGGACCTGGGAGGACCTCTGTGGCTGAGAGCAGACCCGGGAGGACCTCTGTGGCTGAGCGGATCTGGGAGGACCTCTGTGGCAGAGAGCAGACCCGGGAGGACCTCTGTGGCCAAGAACAGATCCGGGAGGACCTCTGAAGCCGAGAGCAGACCCGGGAGGACCTCTGTGGCTGACAGTGGACCCGGGAGGACCTCTGTGGCTGAGAGCAGACCCAGGAGGATCTCTGTGGCCGAGAGCAGACCTGGGAGGACCTCTGTGGCCGAGAGCGGACCCAGGAGCACCTCTGTGGCTGAGCGGATCCGGGAGGACCTCTGTGGCAGAGAGCAGACCCAGGAGGACCTCTGTGGCTGAGAACAGACCCGGGAGGACCTCTGTGGCTGAGAGCGGACCTGGGAGGACCTCTGTGGCTGAGCAGATCTGGGAGGACCTCTGTGGCAGAGAGCAGACCCGGGAGGACCTCTGTGGCAGAGAGCAGACCCGGGAGGACCTCTGTGGCCAAGAACAGATCCGGGAGGACCTCTGAAGCCGAGAGCAGACCCGGGAGGACCTCTGTGGCTGAGCGGATCTGGGAGGACCTCTGTGGCAGAGAGCAGACCCGGGAGGACCTCTGTGGCCAAGAACAGATCCGGGAGGACCTCTGAAGCCGAGAGCAGACCCGGGAGGACCTCTGTGGCCAAGAACGGACCTGGGAGGACCTCTGAGGCCGAGAGCGGACCCGGGAGGACCTCTGTGGCCGAGAGCAGACCTGGGAGGACCTGTGTGGCTGAGCGGACCTGGGAGGACCTGTCTGGCCGAGTGGACCCGGGAGGATCTCCGTGGCTGAGAATGGACCCCTTTGAGTGGACAGTGCTACTGGACCTGGGAGAGGGCGACCATGTGGACAGTGTGGACACATGGAAATGCAGGTGGGTGATCATCGTGGAGAAAAAGCAGAACATAGCCAGGCACAGTGGGGGATCCCAGCACTGTGAGAGGTAGAGGCAGGAGGATCGCCTGAGCTCAGGAGTTCAAGACCAGCCTGGGCAATGTGGCAAAACCCCGATCTCTACAAAACATACAAAAATTACTCGAGCGTGGTGGCGCACCTGTGGTCCCAGCTACTCAGGAGGCCAAGGTGGGAAAATCGCTTGAGCAAAGGAGGTTGAGGCTGCAGTGAGCCGAGATCACGCCACTGCACTCCAGCCTGGGTGACAGAGCGAGACCGTGTGCACTGTGTAACTCTACACATATGCCACACATTGAACTGTGTTGCCCGCCCCAAAATTCATCTGTTGAAGTCCTAACCCCTAGTACCTCAGATTGGGACCTTGTTTGGGAAAAAGACTGTTGCAGATGTCATTACGGATGGGGTCATGGAGGAGTTGGTGGGCCCTATCCAAGCCTGGTGTCCTTGTCTTACGTGGAGCTTTAGACACAGGCATGCACAGGAGAACGCACATGGAGATGGAGGCAGAGATTGGAGTAGTGATGCCACCCGCCGAGGGGCACCCAGGACTGCCAGGAACCAGCAGAACCAGGGCAAGGCCTGGGACAGTCCGTCCGTCACAGCCTCAGAAAGAACCCGCCCCGCAGACGCCGCGACCTCACCTGCCCCGCAGATGCCGCGACCTCTGATGCACAGCTTCCAGAGCTGAGAGAGAATTCGTTTCCACTGTTTACCAGGCTGTGGCATTTCCTTAGGGGCCCACAGCAAGCTAACAGGTGCACATCTCCGCACACACATGTACGTATGTGCCTGTAGGTTCCAAAAGCCAGCTGTGCTCTGGCATTCTGTTAGTATGTAACATTGTGTTTGTGCCTTGTTTTTTAAGAATAGAGATGGGGTCTTGCTCTATTGCCCAGGCTGGTCTTGAACTCTTGGCCTCAAGCAAACAATCCTCCTGCCTTGACCTCCCAAAGTGCATGATTATAGGCAAGGGCCACCCAGGTGGGTGGTGTTTTTTTTTGTTTGTTTCTCGGTTTTTTTCAGACAGGGTCTTGCTCTGTTGCCCAGGCTGGAGTGTAGTGGTGCCAACATGGCTCACTGCAGGCTTGACCTCCCAGACCCAAACGACCCTCTCACCTCAGCCCCTCGAGCAGCCGGGACCACAGGCGTGTGCCACCACACCCCGCTAATTTTTAAAAATATTTTGTAGAGATGGAGTCTTGCCACCTTGCCCAGGCTGGTGTATGCATTTTAATAAAGCTGTTTTTAAAACACAAAGGAGCAGTAAATAGAATGATGTAGAGGATTTCTTGCCCATTCTACCTCAACTCCAGAAGGCCACGTTCTTGCTCCTGGACAGTCATAAAAGTGAGGAATGGCAGGAATTCTGTCTGCAAAGGAGGGACTCTCCCAGCTTCACCCGACACGGCACTGCCAGCCAGCTACAGAGCCACACACGCACAGCACGTGGAACAGCTGGTGAGGACAGCGTGGTCCCGTGGCTCTGCTGCTGGCCTTTCACAGGGCGCTCCTCACGCAACGTCCACCCTTTCTCCTCGGGAGCATTCACTCTGCCAGGTGCCAGGCCCAGGGCTGTCCAGGCAGGGGCTCCACACTCCTCCAAACGTTCACTCAAACTGCATTTTCTGGTTGGTGCACGCCTGGCTCCCGGCTCCTACAGGAAGTTTCTGGGGGCATCACTGGGACTGCTAGGTTCGAACCACCCATCGCGACGATGTCCTTCCCTGTCCTCCTAGAAACGTTTAAGCCAGCCACAACCCCTAGGAGCCCGTGAAGCACATGGCCTAAAATGCCAGGAACGCACTCTCCAATCCCGGTGGCAGCCGTGGGCTCCAGGCTCTCAGCCACGGGGACTCACAGGCAGTCACGGGCTGTGCGCACACCTGGAAACCCTCGTGGAGGCCAGCCCTGCCCAGATGCCTGCCCTGCCCTCGGCGAGCTCAGACAGACTGGAACAGCACCACCAGCGACAGGCCCAGGCAGGACACACAGGCTGGGAGACTGCACGGCTCCTGGTTGCCCTGCATTCCGGCCTGTTCACTCCACTAGTTACTAACAGCAATGCCCTTAATATGCGCCCAGCTAGGTGGCCTCCGGGAGGCGCAAGGACTCTCCCAACTGCAGCTGCTGGTTCACACCACGGAGCCAGCCAGGGGATGACAGTGTAGACAGCAGACACTCTGGGAGTGGCCTCAGAGGACGACACACACCTCACAGCACATGCACCCCATAGCACACACATCCCACAGCGCACGCACCCCACAGCGCACGCACCCACAGCACACATATCCCATACACACACCCCATGGTGCACATGCCTTCCAGCATACACACCCCACAGCACACACACCCCACAGCACACACACCCCACAGCACACATATCCCACAGCACACACACCCCACAGCGCACGCACCCCACAGCACTCGCCCTCTGTGTCCCGTGCTGATTCTCCTCCCGCCACCTGAGGCCGGAATGAGGTCGTCGGCTGCTGCTCCCTGTCCTCCCTGCTGGGAAATGGCGTCCGAGCCTCAATGGGGCATCAGGACGTGGAATTCATGAACAGGGTTGACAGAGACGTGAGGCCGTCACTGCCGAGCCTGCAGCTGTGGACAGACCTGTCCTCACAGCCACCTCATGGCGTCAGAGGGTCCCGAGGCTCACCTGGCAGTAGCCCACTCCCTGGTTATGGTGCCCATATGCCAGCAGCACATTGTACAGGGTCCTCTGTAAGCAGGGGTCCGTGGTCTTCCGGAACTTCACGTTGTCGGGGAAGGTCCGGTTCAGGTCTGTGGGAAATTCAGAAGGAATCACCCACGGGTTTCTGTTCCACAAGCCTCCCACCCCTCCAGCTGCCCCGAGGGTGGCCACCTGGGTTCCACTTGGGACTTACGGACTGGTTTTCACCCTGGCCGCACAGCAGACTCAACACAGCCAGAGCGACAGGCTCACTGGGCCAGGAAGGAGGGGGTGATCCTGAACTCGGGGCGGAGAGGGGCCCTAACCGTCCTTCCCGCAGAGTCAGGGACAGCAGAGCGACCCCAGAGCTGGTGGCCAGGCCATGGCACTCCCTCCTCAATGCCCGTCTCCTCCCGGCCCCCAGCACAGGCCTCCTGCACCTCGGACCTCGCGCGTAGCGGAGGCAACTCTGCCTCGAGGACCCAGGGTGACAGGTGGAGAGAAATGCACACAAAACTTTGAGGTGTTTTCCTAATTTCAAAGATCCAAAACAGAAGGAGACAGAATAAATTGAGACTCCTCAGAGATAAAGGACACGGCTGAGAGCTGAGAGCTGAGAACTGAATAAACCTCGAGTTGTCAGCTTGTGTGTGCAGGAGGCATCCCTGCCGGCCTCTTCCTTCCTCAGCACCAACCCCTCCCACTGTCCCGCCCAGGCATCTCTTGGCAGGACAGTGTGGCCTTGGCCAAGCTGTTTAGTGCTGGGGGACCCGGATACCACGTGGGTCCCTGAGACTAACCAAGCCTCACGCTGACCAAGTGCCAGGCCTCACTGAAGCTGACCTCCGCGTTAACCCTGGACACAAGCCGAGCAGGAAGGATAATGCCGGCTTGACAACTCCACTGGTTTCTGCTCCCACTGGCCCTACCTCTGTTAGAGGTGTTCGCCAGGCACCCCATGCGGTCACCAGCAGACAGCCGCTTTCTGCACAAGTTCCAAGATGGACTCACAGCAGTCCCCGCCAGCCATGACGCTGAGATGGGTGTACACCCAGCTCTGGAGGAACCCAACCGCCTGTGGTCTCTCCACAACGGCTGCAAAATACTGTAAGTCTGTTTCCGACCTCTGGCCCCAGGCCTTATCTTTGCTTACAAAAAACTAGATTTGGGCCAACATTAGTTCAATGCCTCAGAGCACATTATTTCTCATTGTGTGTTTTCTTACAAAAGAGCCTTTTTTTTTTTCTGGAATTCTAAACATTCCAAAAAATGGAATCAGTCAAGGGGAAGTTAGTATTTTTGCTATTTCAGACTAGAGTGACCAGCTGTGTTCATTTATATGTAATATTTTTATTGAGTTTTCTATATTTATATATATATTTATATATATTTATATATTTTTATATTTTTATATATATTTATATATATTTATATATATTTTATATATATTTTATATATATTTTTATATATATTTTATATATATATTTATATATATTTTATATATATATATATATTTATATATATATTTAACACAGGGTCTCACTCTGTCACCCAGGCTGGAGTGCAGAGGTGCAATCACGGCTCACTGCATCCTCGACCTCCAGGGCTCAAGCGATCCTCCCACCTCAGCTTCCTGAGTAGCTGAGACTACAGGCACACACCACCATGCCTGGGCTAATTTACGTATTGTTTTGTAAAGACAGAGTTTTGCCATGGTGGCCAGGCTGGTCTTGAACTCCTGAGCTCAACTAATCCGCCTGCCTCAGCTTCCCGAAGTGCTGGGATTACAGGCGTGAGCCACCACACTAAGTTTCTTGATATGTTTTGATAACATCCTGTGGGAAAGGAGATGGCTCCATCTCCATTGTGGAGACAGAAGAGCATGGGAGCTTTCTGTCTGCACTGCGTGGCCTGGCATTGGCTCTGTGGGACTGGACCATCCACTGCATGGCTCCTGAAAGATAACTGACCAGGTGGCTCCAATTACTAAGCACAGAACTGTCATGGATCCAGCAGCCCCACACTCTAGGTAGGAGCCCACAGCTGAAAGCAGGGACCCAGTAGAATCCACACTCTGGGTAGGAGCCCACAGCTGAAAGCAGGGACCCAGCAGAGTCCACTCTAGGTAGGAGCCCACAGCTGAAAGCAGGGACCCAGCCCCACACTCTGGGTAGGAACCCACAGCTGAAAGCAGGGACCCAGCCCCACACTCTGGGTAGGAACCCACAGCTGAAAGCAGGGACCCAGCCCCACACTCTGGGTAGGAACCCACAGCTGAAAGCAGGGACCCAGCCCCACACTCTGGGTAGGAACCCACAGCTGAAAGCAGGGGCCCAGCCCCACACTCTGGGTAGGAACCCACAGCTGAAAGCAGGGACCCAGCAGAATCCACACTCTGGGTAGGAACCCACAGCTGAAAGCAGGGACCCAGCAGAATCCACATACCCAGGCTCACGGCCATGCCACCCATAACAGCCGTGCGGCAGGAGAGCCCAGGGGTCCACTGATAGATGGATAAATGAACAAAATGTAGTCTGCCCATGCGTGGAATATTATTCACCCTTAAAGAAGGAGGAAATTGTCACACAAGATGCAGTACAGAGGATCCCTGAGGACTGAGGCGAGGGAAAGGACCCCAGCTGCAGAGGACGCAGCCCACGGGACTCCTCTTATGTGACCCTGGAGTTGCCAAAGCACGGAGACAAGCGTACAGTGGGACTGCCAGGGGCTGGGCAAGGACACGGGGGTCGGTGCTTGACAATGGGGATGGCACAGAGACAAGCGCACAGCGGGATTGCCAGGGGCTGGGTGAGGACATGGGGTTCAGTGCTTAACAATGGGGAAGCTCCCAAGAGCTTCAGCTTGGGAAAATGAAATGGTAAATTTTATATTAGGCATATTTTACCATAATTTAAAAAACAATTCAGCCAGGTGGGTGGCTCACTCCTGTAACCCTAGCACTTTGGGAGGTGAAGGAGGGCGAATCCTCAGAGCCCGGGAGTTCAAGACCAAAACCCCATCTCTGCAAAAAAATAAAAATTAAAAAATGAGCCAGGTGTGGTGGTGCACACCTGTGGTTCAGACCACTTCCAGCTACGCAGGAGGCTGAGGCAGGAGGATCGCTTGAGCCTGGTAGGTCACGGCTGAAGTGAGCTGTCACTGTGACCGCACCACTACACTCCAGTCTGGGTAACAGACTGACACCTGTCATAAAAAATAAAAAAATTCATCCAAAAAACCACAAAACAGAGACTTTAAATGCATTTTTCAGACAGCAGTGCTGTTTTAATATGCACCCCCACCCACTGCACCCAAGCTCTCCTCTTCCCACCCTGAATCAGCGTTTCTGGCCGCCAGGCTGTGCACTGGAGACCTTTGGCGGCCATCACTCTGTGGTCAGGATGCAGCCTCTCCCCTGGCAGCCCCAGCTCCCAGCCTTGGGAGCCCCCTCCCCACTGGCTCAGCCCCGTGGACAGGAGACCCCCAGGAAGGGCAGCAGGATGCACCATGTCCTCCCCGTCCCGTCTTTCTAACCTCTCAGCACTTTAAAGCCACTGGGTTTTTTAAAATTAAGTATATTGTGTTTAAATGTGTATTTCTCAAAAACTGTTAAAATCAGAAGGGCAGATGTACTTTCTAAAAATCTATTCAATTTAGGTTAACCAATATTTTTTTTTTTTTTGAGATGGAGTTTCACTCTTGTTGCCCAGGCTGGAGTGCGGTGGTGCAATCCCAACTCACCGCAACCTCCACCTCCCGGGTTCAAGCGATTCTCCTGCCTCAGCCTCCCGAGTAGCTGGGATTACAGGCATGCGCCACCACGCCCGGCTATTTTGTATTTTTAGTAGAGACCGGGTTTCACCATGTTGGGCAGGCTGGTCTCGAACTCCTGACCTCAGGTGATCCGCCCTCCTCAGCCTCTCAAAGTGCTGGGATTACAGGCGTGAGCCACCGCGCCCGGCCTTAGGTTAATCAATTTTGTTAGCACTCTGAACTTCTGAGAGCCAGGGACCCTATGGTTATGTGATTACTGAGAAAAATCAGAGGAGAAGGGAGTCCAGCAATTATGATAACCAGATACAAAAAAGGAAGCCCTGGTGTGCGGCCTCATGAGCGCAGCTGCGTCCGAAGGCCGCGTGAACAGTGCCCGGTGCGAAGCGCACCGGCAACAGAGGCCGCCTCTCCCTGTCCCGCGAGTCTTCATGGAGCGCATCTGCTCCTTCATGCCCATTTTCTTATTAGCCAGCTAGGCACGTGAATATCTGCTGAGTGAATTACGATCATTGTTCTCCCCTTGCAAAGGCTTCAGTTTTGATTCTTTCATGGAGGAAGACGTAACTTCAAGTTAAAAGCAGCAGGCGCACCGCTCACCCCTGGACGCTGAGGCTAGACACTGGGTGGAAACCGGTTCCTTCCGGCCCCCGGGCCCTGCACCAGAGCTCGACCCCCACCGCCTCACCTGTCCTGATGGCGTCCTCCAGCCTGGGGTTTCTCTCTCCCTGGAGAAGCTGGTGGTAGTAGCCGGGATTCTGGTCCATCTGCGCCTGGGCCCCACTCAGCACCATCCAGACGCGGGCACGGTGCTCCAGCGGGACCCCTTTCCGGACATAGCGCTTCACTGAAGGCCGAGAGGACGGACAGCGTGTGAGCTGGACCAGGGGCCTGCGGGGCCCACGCGTTCCTGCCACACTTTCCACTCTCACCAGTTCTCTTCTTAAATCAAATATTAAAGAGACCCAGAACTTCGTCCATCTCCACCAAAACTGGTACATATACTCCTTTAAAAATTCTGCTCTCCTCTCCCTCTCAACAGAGCACAAACCAGACTGGCTACAGAACCGCCCCCACGCCCACTTCACCATTCAATGCAGGTGGTCAAGAAACAGAGCCGCGGTCAGATGGCTGCTCTGCAAAGCTTCCTGGCAGCCGTGCAGAGCAGCAGCAAAGGGGCAAAGCAGTGAGAGGCCCAGCTGAGTACAAGGAGGCCGGCTGGGCTCAGCTGTGAGCACCTCAGGTGGGACGCCACAGCTGGGAGAACACGGTTTCAGTGGCAGACGTCACTGTCCAACTCGTGCAGTTAATCTCTATATATTGAAAGCTACTCCATTTTGTAGGGATATTTTAATTGACAATAAAAATGTGAAAAAGTAATTAGTAATTTTAATGGCCACAGAAACATATAGGGACAGAAAGAAGCCAAAAGCCATGAGCTATCTTCATTAGTCAATACTGAGTAATTTCTTAGGCAGATGGAAAAGGTATGTATGGCTAACATCTGAATTAATTATGTTAAGTCCAAAGCTGCGACACTGTGCTCTTAACCTACAAAACAGTTAATTTTCAAAGCAAATATTTAAAGTTTTGCTGTTTTCCTTTGATACTACACTATATATATTTTATTTTATTTTATTTTATTTTTTTCGAGACGGAGTCTTGTTCTGTCGCCCAGGCTGGAGTGCAGTGGTGCAATCTTGGCTCACTGTAACCTCTGCCTCCCAGGTTCAAGCAATTCTCCTGCCTCAGCCTCCTGAGTAGCTGGGATTAAAGGCACCTGCCAACATGCCTGGCTAATTTTTGTATTCTTAGTAAAGACAGGATTTCACCATGTTGGCCAGGATGGTCTTGAACTCTTGACCTCATGATCCGCCCACCTCGGCCTCCCAAAGTGCTGGGATTACAGGCGTGAGCCACCACGCCTGGCCCTGCACATATTTGAAAAGAAACCAATATTTTAAAAGAAACCATACTTTACAAAAGAAAAGAAGGCATATGCAATTTGTAAAATTCTATAAGCTGCCTTAAAAGAAAAAAATCTGAGGCACCAGCTGTATTTAGCAGATAAAAACTCATAACTTTATAGGCTACAGTCAAGAAAAGCACTATAGGGTAAAACTTTATGAGCTCAAATTCCAAGGTGATCCACAATGTATGATCATCTGGACACGAGCAGATGATCATGTGCTATGTGATTACTGAGAAAATCAGGCTCTGGAAGGACAGGCCCTTGTCTGTCCACTGGGCCTCCCACTCCTGGAAGGGAACCTGGGAGGCAGTAATTGCTCACTAAATACGTGACGAATTATACAAGGACAACGAGGGAAGACCCAGAGGAGAGAGAAAACAGACACTAATGCCATCCACTGAAAGCCAAAGAATCCCTCTTAAGGGCCGGGCGCAGTGGCTCATGCCTGGAATCCCAGCACTTTGGGAGGCCAAGGTGGGCAGATCACGAGGTCAAGAGATCGAGACCATCCTGGCCAACATGGTGAAACCCTGTCTCTACAAAAGATACAAAAATTAGCTGGACGCGGTGGCTCATGCCTGTAATCCCAGCACTTTGGGAGGCCGAGGTGGGCAGATCACCTGAGGTCCAGAGATCGAGACCAGCCTGGCCAACATGGTGAAACCTCATCTCTACTCAAAATACAAAAATTGGCTGGGCGTGATGGCTCACGTCTGTAGTCCTAGCTACTCGGCAGACTGAGGCAGGAGAATAGCCTGAACCTGGCAGGCAGAGGTTGCAGTGAGCCGAGATCACGCCGCTGCACTCCAGCCTGGCGACAGAGTGACACTGCCTCAAAAAAAAAAAAAAAAAAAAGAATCCCTCTTAAGAAACCCTCTTTCTGGTTTAGAAACATATTTGAGGATCATGTCTCAGGTAAGAACATCTCAGCACACTTGGTTTACGGTTTATTCACACTGCTTACAGGAACATGAAAAACATGTTTTGCTTTATTTTTAAAATTCTACCAAAGACACCAATAATTCAGCCTGACTTTCCTCCAAGTTAGTACGATTCATACTGAGGTTTGCTGTAGGTCTCATGACCCTCAGAGGGCAGCTTGACCAGGAATGCTCTGAATGAGTTCTTAGTCATTCTGTGCTATACAACAGCAGGAGACGGTGAGTCCCAGCACAGGCAAGGACTGTTCTAACTGAGAGGGACAGAAGCAGAAAGGAGAGGCCATGCAAAAACCAGTGGTACTTCTACAAACTAATAATGAACACCTGGAAATCATATATTTAAAACTGCGGCCTGGCGTGGTGGTTCATGCCTGTAATCCCAGCACTTTGGGAGGCCAAGGCGGGTGGATCACCTGAGGTCAGGAGTTCAAGATCAGCCTGACCAACATGGCAAAACCCCGTCTCTACTAAAAAAAATACAAAAATTAGCCGGGCGTGGTGGCAGGTGCCTGTAATCCCAGCTACTTGGGAGGCTGAGGCAGGAGAATCGCTTGAACCTGGGAGGCGGAGGTTGCAGTGAGCTGAGATTGCACCACTGCACTCCAGCCTGGGAGACACAGAGAGATTCCATCTCAAAAAATAAATACATAAAAATAAAAAAATAAAATTGGCATCATTTACAATAGTAACAAGAAATAAAAGGAGAAATACTTAGGTAAAAATCTAATGAAGTATTTGCAGGATCCAAATACTGAATGCTGCAAAAGCAATCAAATAAGACTGAAATAAACTAATAGATACACCATGTTCACAGATTGCAAGGCTCACTCTTAAGACGTCAGTTCTTCCAAAGTTGATCTACAGATTCCTATATGCACCTCTTTATCACTGTTCCAGGAAAAAATACTTTGTAGACAATGACAAGCTGATTCTAAACTTTATATGCAAAGCGAAAAGAACCAAAACAATTTTGAAAATGAAGTTGGAGGAGACATATTACCTGATTTTATGCTTTACTATAAACCTACAGTAAGACAGACAACGTGGTACTGAAAAAAAGGTAGACAAATGAAATAATGGGATATGATAAGGAATCCACAAAGAGACCCACACAAACAGAACCAATTGCTTTTTGATAAAGATGCAAAGGAAATTTAATGCACACAGAATAGTCCATCTACAAAAGAATGACTAAAATAAAAAAACACCAACAATATGAAGAGCTGGCAAGAATGTGGAGCAATTAGGACACTCATATATTTGTGGTGGGAATGCAAAATTTACAGCCACATTGGAAAGGCGGTTTGTAATTTCTTACTAGTTAGTTAAACATGCACTTGTCACACGACCCAGCAATCCCATGCGGTGTTTAGTCAAGATAAATGAAGACCAAGTTCACACAAAAACCTGTAGGTGGATGTTTATAATGTCGGCTTACACATTCCAAATGTCTTCTGCTGATGAATGGGTTTTTAAAAATTGTAGTACATCCGTAAATGAAGTACCTCAGCAATAAAAAGGAAGGAACTATTGACACATACAAGGTCCTGGATGGATCTCCAACGCATTAGGTGAAAGAAACCAGACTCAAAGGCTACAATCTGCATGATTCCACTAATGACACCATAGAAATGGCTGAACTACGGGAATGGGGAAGAGCTCAGTGATGTGAGCAGTGGGCTGACTTCAAAGGACAGGATTGTTGAAGGCGACAGAATCTTGACTGTGGTGATGACTGCCTAGCTGCGTGTTTGTCCAAATTCACAGAACCATATACTGTTAAGAGTGAATTTTACTGTAAATTGTTAAAATTATTTGATAGGCCAGGTGCAGTGGCTCATGCCTGTAATCCCAGGAGACTCCATCTCTACAAAAAAACCCTTAAAAATTAGCTGGGCATGGTGGTGCACACCTGTAGTCCCAGCTACTCTGGAGGCTGAGGCGGGAGGATTGCTCCTCTAGGCTGCAGTGAGCTATGATCGTCCCACTGTCCTCCTGCCTGGGTGACAGAGCAAGACCCTGTCTCGATAATAACAATAATATCAAGGTTGTATTTAAGAGAAAGGTCGAAATGGCTAAATGCACCAGCTCTGGAGTCAGACACTCTGCTCCGCTATGACTTGCAGGCTCCAGACCCTGAGCGTGCCTTGGTTTCCTCATCGTAAAGTGAACAGAAGGCACCGAGCCTGCACCCAAGGCCCCCGAGCAGCTCTGGCAGTTGGAGCAACACCCGGAAGCTTCACGGAACAAAGAATTCTGCGACTTTTTGATAAGTTTGTTATCTGGATTTACACTGTTTCTTTATAGAAGAAAGAAAATTGTTTACTTGTCCTCACAGACTGACACTTTCCCAAGGGCAGGGCTAACGCACAGAGCATCACTAATGTTTGGAGAAGTATAAAATATCAAGTCAAAACAGTTGGGAAATTTTTAAAAAGAAGCTACATCCAGAGAACTGACGTCCATCTGTCTACCCTGACAAAGTTAGGCAAATCCCCAGTTTTTCGGTGTATCTTTGAAAATATGTTTTCTCGATTTAACTTAGGTGGTGTTAATATTCTAAGCCACCAGGAAGGAGGTCTCAAAGAAGCCAACGGCCCTGAAGCTGCTTCCCTGCAGACGTCTATTCTCGAGATGGAGAATGAAATAGGAATCCAACAGGACTAAGTTTGTTGAATTTAGTCTTTCCAGGGAGGAAGAGGAAGCTGTCTTCCTAAGGGCTCCTGGTGGATATTTGCTATGGAAAAAGGAAAATACAATATTTATTGTACCCACCAAGAGTGTGATCAGGCAGAATACATAATAACTGTCCCTTAAGACATGTGGAATGCTGAGATTGGTAGATGATTGTGTTCCTGGAGACTTTAACATGGGGAGTGCAGATGAAAACCCTCCAAAAGGAGAGGAAAGAACTCTATCACTGTCAGCCTGGAATACCTGGCAGGAAGAAGTGGTATTCCCATTTTTGGAATAACTCGTCCACTCCAGTTTTATACCCGACCCTCTGCTCTTGGGGCTTTGCCAGTGCTCATGGGCACCCTGACGGTCACACTGGGACCCAGGCCCCAGGCCAGTAGAGACACGCGATCACTGACTCCATGTGCCTCCCACCGGAGTCACCAGCATCCCTACTCCCTGCAGAACAGGCCCACAGCCCTGTGGCTCCCACCCCTCAGGCTGAGGCTCATATAGGATCAAAGAGATATATTTGCTCACAGACCCATTTATGCCAGTGATGCTTGCTACCATAATTACATGGTCCACTTAACATTACATAAATTAGCCCAGCATGGTGGCTCACGCCTGTCATCCCAGCATTTTGGGAGGCTGAGGTGGGCGGATCACTGGAGCTCAGGAGTTCGAGACCAGCCTGGCCAACAAGGCAAAACCCATCTCTCCTAAAAACACAAAAATTAGCCGGGCATGGTGGCGAGTGCCTGTAATCCCAGTTACTCAGGAGGCTGAGGCAGGAGAATTGCTTGAACCTGGGAGGCAGAGGTTGCAGTGAGCCGAGATTGCGCCACTACCCTCCAGCCAGGCTGACAGAGCTAGACTTTGACTCAAAAAAAAAAAAAAAAAAAAAATTAAAGCAAAAAGAAGAAAGTTGTTACTTCAATAAAAACAAAATGAAATTTTTAGAAAGAGTTGATAGAGACCAATGCTAAAAAAAAAAAAAAAAAAAAGCAAAAACAAAACTGTTGACTTAGGTGTAAAATAATTGCAAAGGAGTGGGGAAAAGAATAAAAATCTGGAGGATTTTGCATCCGGATTGCTCTTTTCCTTTTCCCTGCTCTTCCCAGAACCCCCTCCCAAGTCCATATTGGAAAGTGGGGGCAATGTGCTGAGTGGTTCCCTAAAAAGGAAAATATGGAACCCAAGTTAGCAGCTCCTGGTCGAAGAAAAGGACAGCAATAGGACAGACCCAAATGGCAAAGGCAAAGACGGGAGAATGACTGTGCAGTTGTGTTTTCTGTAAAAACAAAAATTTATGCACAACCATACATCTTTCAGATTCTCCGCTGTAACCAACCTCCAGGTCACAGCCACAGGACTTCCCACGGACTTCCCCTGCTCTTAAAGCAAACTGCAGAACCAAGCGTGGACTTCTGCTCCTGAGGGGGACGGAAGGACAGTCCCCTGCGGTCATCTCTATAGGAGATGGGGGCCATGGGTGGGAGAGAAACTCCCTGTTGCACTTTGTAGCCCTCAGTATGATTAAAGTGTTTACCATGTACATAAATTATGCTTTTTAAGTTCACATGTCTTATATACTTTTACGTTACTTTTTAAAATTAAAAGACAGTTAACTTTTAAGAATAAATCAGGCGCAGTGGCTCATGCCTGTAATCCCAGCATTTTGGGAGGCCAACGTGGGCAGATCCCTTGAGGTCAGGAGTTTGAGACCAGCCTGGCCAATATGGTAAAACCCATCTCTACTAAAAAATAGAAAAATTAGCCTGGCGTGGTGGTAGGTGCCTGTAATCCCAGCTACTTGGGAGGCTGAGGCAGGAAAATCGCTTGAACCCAGGAGGCAGAGGTTGCAATGAGCTGAAATCATGCCACTGCACTCTAGCCTGGGCGACAGAGTGAGACTCCGTCTCAAAATAAAAAAAATAAGAAAATAAAAAATAAATTAGCCAGGTGTAGTGGTGTGCACCTGTAATCCCAGCTACTCAGGAGGCTGAGGCAGGAGAATCACTTGAACCCAGGAGGTGGAGGTTGCAGTCAGCTGAGATCGCACCACTGCACTCCAGCCTGGGCGACAGAGTGAGACTCTGTCTCAAAAATAAATAAATCAAAAAGAATAAATGAAAAGGAAAAATAAAGACACACGTTCCACTGGAAACATGTGAACATGCAGAGGCCACAGGGATGGGACATGATGCATTCGTGGGAAGCATATAGGATATTAACTTCCATCTCTATAAAAAATTTAAAAATTAGCCAGGAGTGGTGGCCACACCAGTGGTCCCAGCTATGCGGGAGGCTGAGAGGGGAGGATGGCTGGAGCCCAGGAGGTCAAGGCTACAGTGAGTGGTGATTGTGCCACTGCACTCAGAGGGATACCCTGTCTCAAATAAATAAATAAAAGCAAAAGTTGATCTTGTCACCCCCTGCCTGGAAAACCTTTAACAGTTGGCTTCTCTGTGCCTGGCCGTGGTCACCACACACCTCCGACCCTCCGCCCAGGTGCAGGGCCCCTGGTTTCATCTCTGTCCTTCCCCACCAGGTCCCTACTGCTCGGTCCCTGGAAGCCCAGCTGCCATTCACATCCCCCTTCTCAGGAAGCCCCCAGGACTCCCCTTTGACCCCACTTCTCTGAGTTCCTAGCTCCAGGGCACACTCCCACCAAGCCCTCACCCCAGGCAGACACTTCATTCATTCACTGAACACACAGGGAAGTCGCCTGGCACTGCCCCAGGTTCTGAGGACTGAGCAGTGAATGAAAAATCCGTTGCAGGGAGGAAGGGTTTTTGACTCCAGCAGGGGCTGTGCTGGGAAAGGCAGAAATGAGGAGGTGCCCTCCGCACAGGGAAGCCTGGGGCGCCCCGGAGGAGGGGGCCCTGCAGCTAACCCCGAGGCGGGCGGGCGGTCAGGCCGGTGCTCACCGCAGCAGTAGGAGGCCTGGGGTCGCGGAGGAGCGGCAGGTCGAGCAGGGCCCTGTGGGTCCCGTCACAAGGACGGAGTCTCGCTCTGTCGCCCAGGCTGGAGTGCAATGGCGCAATCTCGGCTCACTGCAACCTCCGCCTACTGGGTTCAAGCGATTCTCCTGCCTCAGCCTCCAGAGTAGCTGGGACTACAGGCAGGAGCCACCACGCCCGGCTAATTTTGTATTTTTAGTAGAGACGGGGTTTCACCATGTTGGTCAGGCTGGTCTCAAACTCCTGACCTCGTGATCCGCCCGCCTCGGCCTCCCAAAGCGCTGGGATTACAGGCGTGAGCCACCGCGCCCGGCATGGATCGAGTTTTGATCCATCCCGATATGGCTCCCTGCTGGGAGGGACGGGTCTCCTTCGCGTCCGACCCGCCGGCCCATCTCAAAGCGGGAAAACCGGTCCCTGCGGCTGCCCTAGCTCGGAGCCCGCAGCTTCGTCCCGACCTGCCCGGAAAGGTTCCTCCCCCTCCCTCCGCTCCGGGAGCCCGGACTTTGCCCGGCCCGTCCCAGCCCAACCCACCTGCGCCCTCGGGACCCACCTGCGCCCCCGGGACCCACCTGTCCGGCTCCTGGGGACGCCCCCGCCCTGCAGCAGCCGGGACCATTTGATCGCCCTGCGGGTGAGCGTGACCAGGTAGCTGGAGAAAAACTTCTCGTAGGCGGCGTCGTCGAAGTCCTCAGGCCGCTCGAATCCGTACGGGTCGATCCTGCAAAACCGAGAGAAGGAGGCCGGCGTCCCCGAAGTTTCCTCTGGGGGGTCGCGGGCCCGCGCGGGGACCGCAGCCGCCGGGGACGCCCGCACCCCGCGCCACACACCTGGGGACCCGCGAGCGCTCGGCGGGCTGCATGCGGGGAGGGAGGCGCGCACCGAGCGAGGCCAGCGGGTCCCAAGTTCGCCTCCCGGCTCCGGGGCGCTTAAGTCCTTCCGGCGGGACCGCGGGCGCGTGGGGGCGGGGCGGGGAGCGGAGAGGGGCGGGGCTGGAGGCGGGGGCGGGGGGGGGCAGGGCGGGGGGAGGGGCGGCTGGGGGCGGGGAGGACTTGGGGAGAGAGGAGGGGCAGGAGCGGGGGAGGGGCAGGGGAGCACCCAGGGCGGGGGAGGGGCGGGGCTGGGGGCGGGAGGACCTGGGGAGAGAGGAGGGGCAGGAGCGGGTGAGGGGCGGGGGAGGGCCGGGGGAGGGGCAGGGGAGCACCCAGGGCGGGGGAGGGGCGGGGCTGGGGGGGCGGGAGGACTTGGGGAGAGAGGAGGGTGGGGGCGGGGCGGGGCCTGCTCCCGGGGCTTCCGAGGCCGCGGCGTCCCGCGGGCAGAATCGGGGGCGCCTCCCGCAGAACCCCCGCGGCCTGGACCCGGGTGAGAGGAGCTTCTTCTGCGATTCCTTCAAACCTCAGTGCCTGGCCGACCCGACTCTGACACCTGACTCCTATTTTTATTTTATTTTTTATTTTCTCCGCTGCATTTCAAGGCCGAGACCAACACACAAATGAGAAGCCCCCAGGGGCGCCCGCCCGTTCCTGCCCCCCCAAACCAGGGACCGGGGTCCCCCCACCGGCGAGCCAGGCCTGGGAGAATCCGGGGCAGCTCTGGTTCCGAACGGCTTCTTCTCGGTCCGCATCCAATGACATTGTCCTGAGATTTCAGCTGCTTTTCGTGTCCGGGAGGCCCCGGAAATTTGCCAGAACTGCAGATTTTGAATTTTGCTCTGGCGACGTGGCAAAGGGGAGCCCCCAGACGTGAGGCGCTGGGGCGACCTCGCCCTGGGTCCCCCAGGGGTCTGGAGCGGGGGCTCCTCCGACAGGCCTCTCCCCGCCTGTAATTTAGGCCCAGGGCGACCTGGACAGGCCCCAGGAGGAGGCCGTCCCCGGACTCCAGACGCACTTTCCTGTGAGAAGCAGCCCGGCCTCGTCTGGGTGAGGCGAGGATCACAGGCTCAGCGTCCCCTGCGCGTCCGTCAGGGCCTTTCGGAACCAACTTGGGACCTTCCCATGGGTGTTTCCGGAATGTTCCATGCGAGCGCCACCCAGGAGCCTGGTCAGCAGCGTGTGGAACGGACCGGTCCCTAAGTGCGGACTCCCGCCTCTGCCTTTCACCCTTCTCCAGCCCTTGCAAGACCGGGGGGCGGGGTGGGGGTCAGTGCCCAGCGGAGCAGAGCCCCCGACACGGTTCCTCCCGTTCCTAGTCTGCTGGTTCTGGGAACTCCCCAAGCTTTCAGCCCAGCTCCTCAGCACTGGCCTTTGGTAACACGCGGCGTCCCTCATTTGAAAGATCACACAGCCCCCACTCTACGGTCTGACCTCCTTGGGATGTTTAGACCCAAGCCAGGAGACAGGGCCATAGCCTCCTGCCCCTCGGCCTACGGGTGCCCCACAGTCCAGGACTGACAGGTGGGCGTCCGTCCCCAGGGTCTTCGAACCCCGTCTGGGCTCCTCTCTGCCTAAGTCAGTGACTCCCTGAACCCCTCTCGGGCTCTAACTGACGCCCGAATTTCCTATATCGCATCCCTCGCGCTTTCTGGAGCAACAGACACAGTCCTGCTCCCCACTTCCCAGCACCCGGGGTCCTGCGCCCAAATCGCCCCACACCGCGCAGCTTCTGTTCCAACCCCAGGCCTGGAAGCCTCACGGCTCCCCTTTTCCCTAATTCCTGCCTTCTGGCCATGGAGATGGGGTTCTAACCTCCCTTTCCCACCACTGCCGTGGAAAGCAGCGTGGCAGGCAGCACGGACCAGGGGCCGCCAGCTCCCGAGCCTGAGTGTGATGGCGGGACTGCCACCAAGTGTATTTTTGGGCCAGATGTAGGGAGACTGTGGGGGAGCAGGTCAGATAAGAGCGGTGCCCTCCAGGAAGAGTGGAGAGGAGAGATACAGAGAGGCCAGAGCCCCAGGCTCTGTGCAGGGTGGGCAGCCAGACCGAGGCAGCTAGAAAGGTCTCCCGCTCCAGCCCAGGCCTGGCCAAGCCCCAACCTGGGACCTGACTGGGAGACAGCAGCTCCTATCTGGAACAGCTCCCACCTGGGACAGCTCCCACCTGGGACTGTGTCCCTCAGGTGCCTCCATTCACCGCCCCCCCGACCCCAGTGCCAAGCACCCAGCAGGCACCCGAGCATCCTCACACAAACTCCCTTTCTGTGAAGCCACCAGCACAGTCAGCCATGATGCAAAAGCCAGGTGCACACCCACCCCAGGAGTGACTGTGCTGGCCACAGCCGCTCCAGACAGCCCTTTCCGGGGGAGGCTTTGCAGTGCTGGAGCTCTGGGTCAGCTTGCCCTGCAGTTCAGGGACTCAGAATTCACCCTCCCCCGGGGGACCCAGCTCCCTTGCAGGAGGCCCTCTTCAGTCTGAGGGGCCTCAGGGGCCACACCAGGGGGCCTCTGTGGGGTCACCACCCATGATGCCCCTCCTCCCTTCAGGAATTCAGCCGTCTTGTTGCTTTTTTTTTTTTTTTTTTTTGAGTCGGAGTTTCACTCTTGTTGCCCAGGCTGGAGTGCAATAGCTCAATCTCGGCTCACTGCAACCTCCGCCTCCTGGGTTCAAGCGATTCTCCTGCCTCAGCATCCCAAGTAGCTGGGATTACAGGCATGCGCCACTACGCCCAACTAATTTTGTATTTTTAGTAGAGACGGGGGTTTCTCCATGTTGGCCAGGCTGTTTTCGAACTCCCGACCTCAGGTGATCCGCCCACCTTGGCCTCCCAAAGTGCTGGGATTACAGGCGCGAGCCACTGTGCCTGGCCCTTGTTGCTTTTTTTGTAGAAGCTGCTGCCCTTTGGAAGTTAGAAGGGCTTCAGGAGTACTTCAGTTCTGGGGTGCCCATCAAGATAGAAGGAACGTCTAGCATCCCCAAGGCCGGGAGGACCTGAGAAAATGGGATGTGAGTACAGAGGACAAAGATAACGGCAGCAGAACCCACCGAGCAGTGATGAACCATGACGTGGGCATCTTCGTGGAGCCACAGCATGTGCCAAACCCCACGGAGCTCCAGGCTGTCCTGGAGGCTGAAGCCAGTCAATTGACCACATGCTGCCTGGTTACAGGAGACGGGCAACTGGGAGTGGGGAGGGTCACCCAAATCTCACTGCAGGAAATTCCAGTGCAGTGCGACTCTAGCCCTGAGGGGAGGACAGGTCTTGCCAGAGACCTGTGGGTCCTGGTGCTGCAGAGCTGGCTGGGGACTGGGACGCTGCATTTCCAACCTGCTAGCAGGAGGCCCTGCTCTGGCCCATGGACCGCATTGTGCAGCCAGGCTGTGGAACCCGTGGCCTGATTTTCAGCAGAGGGCTGGAGACAGAAATCGGCGGCGAGGGGGCAATGTTATAGGTGGAAAGGGTGTGTTAATATTTCAGGGAGAGTCAAGCCCTCATCTGAGGTGTGTGTGTATATACATACATAATAATATATAACAGTAATGATTATTTTTAAGGAAAATTGACAGATAAGCTTTACCTGAGCCCTATGATCCTGGGAGGTTAGGAAGTCCCCCCCTTTATGTTCTGGAAACAGCTCAGAACCCTGTCCCCAGGTGACAAAGATGAGATTCATGATGTCCCTTATTTACCTGTGACAAGGCTGGACACATCCTCCAAAGTCCTGTCTTTTGCCTCATAAATATGTAACTGAACTGTTGTTCTAATTGGAACCAAATACACTGGTGACCAGTTCTGGTTAAGTCTCCTCCAGGGCCCTGACCGTGGGCCCAGTGACCAGTTCTGGTTAAGTCTCCTCCAGGGCCCTGACCATGGGCCCAGTGACCAGTTCTGGTTAAGTCTCTACCAGGGCCTTGACTGCGTGCCCAGCCTCAGCCTGGGCAGGGGTTCAGATGCAGCTTTCTCGCATTGCTGCCTGGTCAACAGGCCCCCCACCCCCCCTCCCCACACCTGCTGCTCCACTGCACACA